>NC_000005.10:156670414-156973445 GCF_000001405.40 Homo sapiens
ATTCTGTTATTCTTCACCAATACGCAATTGCTTTCGACTCTTCCTTTTTTTCCCCTCAGTGGGATGCCCCTGCTGGGTGTATAGACAGAAAATCTTGCTTAATTACCCCTTTCATGATCCTGGCTTGAAGCCAGCCTTGTTTTATTCCACTTATAACCTTTTCAAAACAAAGAGTAATGGGAGTTTAGAGGAACAAGCTTACAACAGTTTTTACCTGAAATAAGTTGAGAACCAGAAAGTACATTTTTTAAAAATATCAGCCAAAGGGGTTCTTATTTTTTCCTCAATCCAGAACTTTCCATGGTTTATTAGACTATAATATGAATGAGAGTAAGACGATCAGATCTCAGGGAAAACTAGATAAGCCTGTCTAATTTCCTGGCCATGGGCTATGTGCCATGTTGGGCTAGATGTCCTTCCTTGTTTGCTGTCCTTCAGTGGCTGTCACTAACTTGAAGGTAAAATTTCAAAGCAATAGCATTCATATACAATCTTAGCCATTGGTCGAGTCATCTCCCATTACCCTTTCCCCCTCCTTTCACCTTTTCTTAGTTGTATTTCTTCCTCTGCCCTTTCCCTATTTTCCATTCCTTCCACTAAGCATGTAATTCCTGCTGTCATATTTTAATTTCCAATGTTCTTTACACTATGGTGGTTTCCTTTTATAGCATCCTGTATTAATTTCATAGAGATACTGTCTTCTTTTTTCTTTTTGAGTCTATTAATAATAGTTTCTCTCAAGTTTCTTCTGTTTTCCACATTAAAAAAAAAAGAAAGAAAGAAAGAAAAATTCAGGTCTCTGGCTTTCCAATTGGAGCTTTATCAAATGGTTGGTGATTCATGGATATCTATTGATTCTTTTTTTTTTTTTTTTTTGAGACAGAGTCTCGCTCTGTCACCCAGGCTGGAGTGCAGTGGCTCAATTTTGGCTCACTGCAACCTCTGCCTCCTGGGTTCAAGTGATTCTCCCGCCTCAGCCTCCTGAGTAGCTGTGATTACAAGCTCACACCACTACACCTGGCTAATTTTTGTATTTTTTAGGAGAGAAGGGGTTTCACCATGTTGGTCAGGCTGGTCTCGAACTCTGGACCTCAGGTGATCCACCCACCTCGGCCTCCCAAAGTGCTGGGATTACAGGCATGAGCCACTGTGCCTGGCCCTATTCATTTTTAAGAATGAAGCAGTAAGAGTCTGCTGGAAAGTTTTGTGTACATAGATGGGACTTATTGGGTGGCAGGCTTCTAGGTAGAAGCATGAGCTGGGATTTTTAGGTGGATGCTTTGTGTCAGTGCATTTTGCATTGTCATAAAGGAATACCTGAGATTGAGTAATTTATAAAGAAAAGAGGGTCATTTGGCTCACAGTTCCACATGCTGTGTAAGAAGCATGGCACTGGCATCTGCTAGGCTTCTTGTGAAGCCTCAGGAAGCTTTTACCTGTGGCAGAAGACAAGAGGAGCCAGCATGTCACATGGCAAGAGAAAGGGAATAAGAAAGAGACACCGGGCTCTTTAAAACAACCAGCTCCCATGTGAAATAATAGAGTGAGAACTCCACTGTGAAGGCACAGTAGAGTTTATTTATTAGGGACCTGCCCCCATGACCCAAACACCTCCTCTAGGCCCTGCCTCCATCACTGGGAGCCACATTTTAATATAAATTTGAAAAGGATAAATATCCAAAGTATATCAGACCCCAAATGTCAGAATCTGTAGGTATTTTCTCTTGGGCTGGTCATTTTCCCCAGAGAGAAATCCTAATCCCTTGCTTGGGATACATCTGGTTGTCAATATTGTTCATATTGGAGTGTTGGAGGTTTCACTCTTAAATATGTAAGTTTTCATATAATTCCATTTTTAGTCCAGCACTGTTACCCTCAGCTGTCCTGGTATCACAGATTCCAGAGTTAACCTCAAGTCTTAAACAGTAAGGGTGGTCTGGTTGCCAGGATGTACATAGTGAAGAAACAGTCTCTAGGGGTCTTATGGTTTCTCACAGAGACCTAAACAAATCTTCCTGAGTGCAGCCCCACCAGATGCTCCCAGCCACAGAGGTGCCTGGTAGCTCTGATTCCTGGGCCTGGCCATGAATTTACAGCTTGAATCAACCCACAGCTCTGTCTTCACCAAACCCACAGGCTCTTAGCTTTTAGCTTCCCGTCATCTGCCAAGGAAATTACTATTTGTTGCTTGCTTTTCAACTTCCAAAGCATTGTTGACATGTTTCTTCTGTTCTTACTTCTTCTCTCTCCCTTCGTCCCTTCATCCTTATGGGTTTGGGTCATTTTAGGGTCCATTTATAGCCATTGTATGAGTGTTTCAGGAAAGAGCAGAGGTAGACAAAGGTGTTCAGTTCAGCGTTTAATCAGAAGTCCTCTGTCCCCTGTCCGTAGGCTTTAGATATCCTGCCCTTCTCTTGTTTGCTGTAGAGTGCCTTAGAGCCTTTATGTTGCCGTTCTCTTTTCTTGAAGCACTCGTCTCTACATTTTTCTAGATAATTCTATTTATTTTTCAAGTCTCAGCTTTAATGTCTTTTCCTAACCTAAGGACATCTTTCTTGGTACACCCTAGGCTCACTGTACTTCCCCTATTACACACATACGCAGTGCCCTACACGTCTTCATTTTTGGATTCATTGACTGAAATGTCTTCCACCTTTGCCATTGTCTGCAAGGGGTTTCAAGTTAGATGAATCATTACAAATCCATTCCCCTCAAAAGTGTGTGTTCAGCCAGCATAAAGATAAGTAACTGTCTGCAACACATTGTTTATGAAGGAGGGCTGTCAAAGCTTTCCTGGGGTCTGTAGTTATGCCTAAGCACATATTTATCTCATGCCTTTCTTTTTTCTATTCATAATATATCATTTCCGAAAGAGAATAATCCATTCCTCTTTCATTTACTGAAAGCAGTTTTAAAACTTCACATTCCTTTTTTGTTCATGGGCTGTGCAATAGTCACGCTTCAGCAGAACTGTGCTTAATTTGAAGCCCCTGGCCTACGGTTCCTATTCATCTTCTCAAGCATGGTTGTCGTAATTCACAGAGGAAGGCCAAGTCCTCTTTTACCCAGTTATACCTTTCATTGCCGCTTCCTATTCACAACGGAAGATGAGTTTCCAGTTCTTTGAGCTTTTTTCACAAATATAACCTGACTCGTTAATGATAATTTTCCTTGCCTGGCATCTGGGCTCAAACACACTCACTCCAGAATAACAAAGCACAGAGGAATTTGAATCCCTTGACAATCCAAGCACCATATCCCTAACCTTGAATAGAAAATAGATGCTAATAAATTCAGGGTCTTAAAAATGTGAATTATAGTCACTTCACACTTCGTGGCAGCTTCATGCTGAAGAAATAGCTTAAAACTTAATTACAATGCTTGTCCCTTCCTTAAGTGCAGATGACATTCTTCAGATAGATTTTTGCCATGACATGTGAGGAACAGAGTTTAGAAGCTAATAAGTTATTCATGATGGAGAATATTGACTGTGTACTGATTAAAGTGTTGACACCTTCCTAACATAATGCATCTGTCTATTAGTGTATGGTTCTCCCTCTGGCCCTCATAGAATGCTCTTTGGGAAATGATGAAAATGCCATTCAGCCTTTGAATGCAGATGTATGTATTAATAGCAAATGTGCCTGATGAGTGGGATTAAAATGGAGAGCAGAAGGCGTTAGGCTTCTTCTGATTGCCTACCCCTGCAAATGACTAGGCTGCTCTTTGATAGCCATTTGTGAGACACACAAACATAATGGATTGGACATGGCCCACTTTTGGCATTTGAAAAGCTATGACAACACATTCAATACTTTCATGGCTAATTGTAAAGCAAGAAGTCAACTGGAAAAGGATGATGTATGAAGGATTCTCTTCCCCGTTACATATAATCCCATAGCGTGAGCCATGCAGCAACTAAGTTAAGAACAGGTAAAGGCATAATCCCCCGTCTTTGTGCAAGGTGTGATACTGTTACAAAAAGAGAATTTTCTTCTTTATTCTTATGCCTTAGGATGGCTCAGGAGTGAGAGGGGCAGAGACAAAAGTGAAACAACTTGATATAAGAAAGCAGTTTCTAATGGACTGAAGTGGTAAACGATCTCCCATAGTCACGGACATCCCATCACTGAGAGACTCAAGGCAAGGGGAGACTATCATAGGAAGACTATCATAGAGATGTGTCAAGCATCAGAAGGAGAGAGGATTTTAACTAAATAATACTCAGGTCTGCTCTCATATGAAGATTCTAAGACTCAGGCTTCAAGTGCTGCTCAAAAATACAGTTAGACCAGGAACCTCGCATTAAGTTAAAATTCCTTGCAAAACACTATTCCTTGAGTAGTTGAAGGACAGAATCTGTGACCAGCATCGACTCCTTTTTGTGCCTTATACTATGGGTGTTTAGAAAACAGTTCAGATTTTTATAGTGGTTTATAAATTTCAAGAGGGCGTTTTCAGAAGTACTCCTCTAAGAATTTCCTAAAGCAGAATGGGACGCAGTGACTTCATTCCCATTGTATTGATGAGAAAACTGAGAGGTTAATGTGAAATGCCTCTTGTTTGCCATAATGAAAAGTATATCCTTTCTCACAGCTCCATAAGACTTTAAAGTGTTGGTGGGCGACTCAGAATCTCCGTGATGGCAGCACTTGGTAAAGATGAGCAGAACTGTGGAGTCTGACTGCTGGACACCAGATCCTGCCTTTGTCACCTCCCAGAGTGTGACTCTGGCAAAATTTAAAATCCTCTTTCTGTCTCAGTTCCCTCATTTGTGAAATGGGACAAGAACAGCACCAACCTCAGAACAAATTTTTGAGAATTAAATGACATAATACATATGAACTACTTCAAACATTACCTAGAATGTGGAGCTTAATAAATGTTAATTTCAGGGGCTTCATTTTTGAAGCAACAGATTGTTACTTATTCTTGAGAAAGGCCAAGGAACTGGTCCCAGTGACCAATAATGTGCCTGTATCTTCTTCCTTATAGATAATGGTCAGCAACAGGTTAATAGCCTATTTTGTACCAGTCCAGATAATCAGGACAGCAATAAGACAAGGATGGACCAATTAATTTGCCAGGCTGGTCCCAAAATTAAAACTGAACTTTAACCCTGCTTGTGAAATGTTCTCATAGCAAAGGTATTTGCCTTTATATGAAGGCATGAGAGAGCCAAACTGTTGCTAAGGAGAGACAAACTCAGAAACTTAAGCACTACATAGACAGGATGAAGTGGTAAGCACTGTGGCTATGAATAAAAAGGTGAGTTTTGTAAGCATTCCTACTGCAAAGAGTTTTTGAACTTTTTCTGAATTTAATTGCAGTATGGTGAGAGACAGGGTGGCAGCATTGTCTAAGAATGAAAAAGAATAGAATTTAAATATTAATGTTCAAAAATCTAACTCTAATACTATAGTGTGATAGTGACCAAAATACTTTACTTCCTGACTCCTTCAGCCATTTGTAAGAAGGATATGACTGATTAAATCAAGCTCCTTAGAGAATCAGACCAAGCAGAAAATCTCAGAAACAAGACGCCTTGTCTGGCTACGTTTTATTCCTGTTGCCAGCTGCTGCCAGGAATCAATAGCTCTCTCTTAACCATAGCATGGAAATGAAATTACACATTAAACTCTAATGAGATTTATTTAATTTAATTTTTCAAATGGAATATTTTGTATTATCCAAGAGAGTGTCCATTTATTCTTCAATACGTTCATACAGTTTTTGATCCTCCATTAAGTTGTGCCCCCTTATGAGTTATATTGTGTTCTTTACCCTGAAAGCCAATTGAGTACCTATTTTTCATGTGGCTTGGGTAGACTTTTGTCTCATAACCCCAGGTTGTTGCCACAGAACTCCTGGTTCCTGCCTGCAACCTGTTGCTGGCCCAGACTAACCTATAAGATAAAGTGACTGCTGTGTTTTCTTCCAGGAATATTAATTATTTTTGGTAATAACAGGTAGACACCCTCTGTGGCCATTAAAAGCAAATCCCAGCAGTATTTTTCAAAGGGCTGGTGTCACTTGAACAGACACTGCGAATGAGTTCTGCTGGATAAATAGCACGTAGTCAAAATGCTGGTTTCAGGGGCTTTCTGGGGCGGCTCTTGAAACAGGGTTGAGGGCTTTAGCTTGGGACCTCAAGACAAGGTAAGCAATGCTGGCCTTGCGGTTCACGAACAACTCCCACATCCCACCCAAAAACCTTGATGAGCCCTGGGGATACAGCCTAGGAAGAAGGAAAAGGGACAGCAGCCTCAGAATGTCATTTCACAAGGTGAACCCATTCAGAAGGCTTTGAGATGACATCTGATGCCAAAATCTGTACATTTCAGCTGAATGGGTGAACTCTAGCTGAACTTGCCATGCTAAACACATAAATACCACCCAACTGAATGCATTCCTTACACAGATATTTGAATGCTTGCTATGTGTCTGCCTATATGTGCTAGGGAATCAATGATGAGCAAGACAGATGTGGTCCCTGCCCTCATGGAGTCTGTGTTCTAGCCAGGGAGACCTTAAATACCTAGGCAAGGTGATCAGCATTTATTGAGCACATTCCTGGGCCTACCATCAGTCTATTTCCTTTGTAAATATTATCTATTTAAACTTCTCATTAGGAGAACCTCCTTTGGGAGAAGGCTCTGTAATCATCTCCATTTTCCAGATGAGGAGTCAAAGACTTATAGAGCTTCAGGGGCATGCAGGAAGATGTTGAAAGAGCCATCCCATTACTGGGTATATACCCAAAGGATTATAAATCATGCTGCTATAAAGACACATGCACACGTATGTTTATTGCGGCACTATTCACAATAGCAAAGACTTAGAACCAACCCAAAGGTCCATCAATGATAGACTGGATGAAGAAAATGTGGCACATATACACTATGGAATACTATGCAGCCATAAGAAAGAATGGGTTCATGTCCTTTGCAGGGACATGGATGCAGCTGGAAACCATCATTCTGAGAAAACTATCGCAAGGACAGAAAACCAAACTATCGCAAGGACAGAAAACCAAACACCACATGTTCTCACTCATAGGTGGGAATTGAACAATGAGAACACTTGGACACAGGGTGGGGAACATCACATACCAGGGCCTGTTGTAGGGTTGGGGGAGGGGGAGGGATAGCATTAGGAGGACTACCTAATGTAAATGACGAGTTAATGGGTGCAGCACACCAACATGGCACATGTACACATATGTAACAAACCTGCACATTGTGCACATGTACCCTAGAACTTAAAGTATATAGATAAAAAAAAAAGAGTCTGGTGGAGAAAATTTTATATTTGCCTGACATTAGCCCATATTCTTCTTGCTAAACCCTACCACTATGCAAAAGGAGTCTGCTCTCAGCTAGGGGACAGTAGGAATCTCAGTGTCACATTGCATTTCTTATTATTTCTATTGCATTCATTTAGGAAGGTTTTCAGACTTCCTGATTAACTAGAAATAGCCAGAAAGAGTGAAACACCTATCTCCATGGCCTTTTGCATCATGTAATTATTATTTATTTCCTTGCTTTATTGTTCATCTTATTTATTGGGTTGTAAATGCTAAGCCAGTGATTCCCAATGTTTGTTTCATTTGGGGACCAGCTGGGGAGTTTAAAAATAATCCTGATTCCTGGTCCACATCCCAGAATAATTAAGTCAGAATCTTTAGGAGTGTGACCTAGACATCAGTAGTATTTAGAACAGGCCTGTGGTGCCAGATGATACCAGGCTGTGGCTGAGGTTGAGAACTGGGTTCTAACAGCACAGATCCTGTGTCAAGTGCTCTCGTCACCAAACACACTAATATTGTAAGCTGTGAAACAGTGCCCAGTCTATAATTGTAGTAAAGTTTGTTGAATAAATGGGTAGGTAGAGAGACACAGGGGTGGGTGAGTGAGTGAACAAAGAAACCAATGATTGCAGCAGTTATTGGAGGTAAAGTTTTAGAATAACTATTAGATAATTGTTTACAGTTGACCTTATAACAGTTCAGATTCTGTATACTACTGCACCAAAAAAATCATGGAAGGTTTTAGATAAATACATAAGTGTATGAAAAGTACACAGCAAACTGCAGGGTGCTCACATCATCCAGAAGTGAAATTCTCTTCACCTTCTTTAATATGCATTAATCTCTGATCTTGGCACACTCCCATCTCGACAGTGCAGGCAGCCATTACATCAAAGGTGATGGTTCATTATTATTTCTTCAGTGAATCATTGTTTGTCTGAAGGAAGCAAAGATAACAAAGAGGAAATTATAGTTTGTGTGGAATGATATGATTGCTTGTAAACCAAGCCATAAAAAGGAAGTATACGTGAGCAATTGAGAATTCCCTCTCTGTCCTCTAACTGCAGAAACTGAGCAAAGTGAGCAGTGTATGCCCTATTAACATTTTAATTAGGGTGGGAGACAGACACCGAAGCATTTTCCACACCTGAGAAACCCACAATTTTCTTGTTATAGTGTTGATTACACCCCTGGATAACTCTGTGGAATACCAATGCCATGTTGGGCAAATCAATGTTTTTTTTCTAGTTCTGATTCACATAAAAGTTCAGATGAGTCTGTGAATATGGGAGGGAGCAGCAGAAAGACCAGTGGAGAATGCAGCATTTGTATGGATTTCTGCTGATGTCCCTAGTACTGCTTTGTCCATATATTACTTGGATGTCAGCTGAGATTATCCTCTCCTGTAATATTTACCTAAAAGTGATTGATGCAAAATGCTTTTGACAGATTGTGGCAAATCTAACGTCTTTCTAAGGACCTCCTTCTAGTTTCATGATCACCTCTGACTTTGAACTCCTGTTCTGTCAATGTATTCAGTTTAAGACCAAGCACCACCACTAGACCATATATTACCTGTGTTTAAATTAGAAAAGGATACCGCCTCTGAGGTCAGTTTACTTCCATCTGTCAGAAAATTGTCATAACATGGTGATTTTGGTAGAACAAGACACTGCCATATAATGGAAAATTCTGAGAAATGCACAGATCTGCCATACCTAGAATTTGAATTGCCTGTCTACACATACATACATGCACATGCCACCCTTGGGCAATGCACAGCTGTATGGAGCCCTGGAAGAGCATCTCCCCATCTTGCTCTAGGGGCCATTTCATAACACATTGGGCAGGATTTGGAACTCAGCATTTTTCATTTAATTTCCACCAAAAAGACTACTTACATATGGCTCTGATGTGCACAGATTTTACTAAAATTTTAAAAAAGCAAAACAAGCTAAAATTTTACAACAAATATTCTGTTCCAAAAAATCCTGCGGCTACGTTACTTAGAACTCTATCTTCTCTAGTGGACTTTCCTTCTTTCTTGCTTTTCTTCTCCACTTTTCTTCTCCGCTTTTTACTCCTAACCCCCTAGATTTCTAGATTCTTTCTCATATGTATCACTTTAGTTATCTTCTTAGTTACTCAAGTGACTATAGACTAATGCCTCAGGATTTTACCTTTTCTTCCAGCTGCCTATCAAAGTATTTTCTCAAACAAAGAGAATTCCTTCCCTAAGAGAAATTCTGGGGCAAGCAATCAGAATTTTACTTTGAATTTTATTGCAAATATTCAAAGTGTAATTAGGATTAGTTCAGTATAGCAGCTTGTTTCTATTTACTTAAAATTCTGTAAGCTGCAAATAGGAAGGAAACTTTAAGGGAAAATAATTATTAATAATAGGAGTTGAAGATGCAAATGGCCTTTGGATATTAGCTGGTTCAATTCTGTCATACTACAAATGGGGAAACCGAGGCCTAGAGAGGTGGAGTGACCTGCCTCAAGTCACATAGCTAAGTAGGGTGTTCAGCATTGGAACCAAAGTTTCCTGACCCCCGGGACTGGGTACTTTCTGGTATTTGACTTCCTCAAACACCATTTAATCTCTGCTTTGTGTTCTGATCACATGCCAGCCTGATCTCATGATTACTAGAATCTTGACATTAGAGTCAGACAGTCCTTACCCTACCACTTATTACCAGGGACTTAACCTCTCTGAGCTTAGGTCTTCCCATTTGCAAAATGGGGATGCTAATATCATTACGTAAGAAAATCCAGGCTGAAATGCACTCACTGGGTTTTGGAAGGCTTGTCAGAATTTTTAGAGTCCTGTATTTCATCCACTCAACTAATAAGCACATCTTACACACGTTTAGATATTAGAAATGCAGAGACGAACAAGCTATGGTCCCACCTCAGTGAACACATCACCTAATACATGTGAAAGTCAGTCTTATAATAGGCCTATGTGAAAGGGGAAAACTGAGAAGAAAAGATGTGTGTGCTGTGTCTCAAGGCAGAGTCAAAATTCACCAAGAAAATGACAAGGTAGAAGCACTTCAGCAGGGAGAGGTAACATTATATGGTATTGCATGGAGACATGAAAGCACATGCATAATGCTGAGACAGGATAGTTTCCTTGACCCCCTTCATGGGCAGGAACTGGAGTGACTCGTTTCACTCAGCCTGCCACTGGCCACTCCTCATGGGAGGGAGTGTGCCAGCGAGTGAGTGCAGGAACCAGAGTGAAGGAACACTGGAACCAGCCGGTCGCTCCTCTCTGGCAGAAGCAGGCTCTCTGTGGGCCCTGCAGCAGTGTCCAAGCATGGTATAGCCAAAGGTCATTCAACTCTGCCATCTGCGGAGGGCCAAGTGCCAATCAGATCAGTAGGGGATCAGGGTGGCAGCCACTGTCCTCTCGGCACCCAGGTTCTTGTCCGGCGTTCAGGAAGAATCAGGTCACACGAACTGTTTGAAAGGTATTGAATGCCGAAGACTTTACTGAGCGGTAGTGGCTCTCAGCAGAAAGGCTGGAAAGGGGATGGGAAGGTGATCTCTCCCAGAAGCCCAGCCATCTCCATCCAGGCCCCTCTCTGAAGCCACATTGTCTGAAGTTAGCCACAACTGTCCTTAGTCTCCAAGGCTCAGTTGCTTCTCTGCTCACTGCTCAGTTGCTTGTATCCTCTCCACGCAGCCACTGGTGTTGCTCTGCCAGCTGAAGTCTTTTATGGGCACAGGATAGGGGTGGGCCAGGCCAAAAGCAGTATTTGGATGAAAAATGGGGTCAGCTGTTTTTACTTAGTGCTGCGGTTCCAGGCTTAAGGGTGGAGTTTAGCTGGGAGAATAGCCCTTCTGTATCAATATGTTGGAAGTATGATGAAAATGTCAACAGGGTATTTGGGGCAGAGAGTGATAGATGATTATGTTTGACGCTGGAGAGGAACATTAGGTCTGGATGATAAAGAGTCTAGAATGTCATGCCAATAAGTTTGGATTTCAACCTATAGATGATGGGGGAGAACAAACACAATTGCAAATTAAAAGAAACTCTACCATAGTCATCATTAGAATGGTTTTTAAAGGTTTCATTATTCATATTCTTGATTTATTCTCAATTTGAGGTTACTTTACTGATGAAAAAGTTCTAAGTTGTCCATCTAAAAATGGTTTATGTCAAATGACGTTGCCAAAGCAAATGCTATTATGAAAGTGAAAATATAATCTCAGCAGGCGTTTATTTAATTGAGGGCCAGCATAATGAAGGAGTTTACTGTACCTAAAATAACATGTTCTCAGCCACTGGATTTAATGAAAACCTGCTTAGAATCTATATAAAAAGGGTAAAAATTGAGTTGCATTTTCTCTCTGGTATATTTCTCAGGAACTGACTTGGTAAGGATCAAACATGGTACATGTTACTGACTTATTCAAGGATTTGTAACTTAAAAAGAGAGAAAAGATAACGTAGAATGTCACTGTAAATAAAAATACATAGCTGTGGCCAATTATAGCTGTTTCCACAACTATAATAGCATAAAATACACAAGTAGTAAATGTATAGGTTTATTCTCGTTGAGAAATAAAATGCTGTTTTCACATAGGATGTTATGGGCATCTGAATATTTAAAAATAAGATTCTGGAAGGCATGAGCAGAAGTGTACAAGTTAAATAGGTTCTAATGTGGACAAGTAGCAAGAGTAAAATTATGTGGAAAAAAACTTTTAGGCTAAGAGAAGTAATAAAACACAAATCTGTTGACTTTCACTTGACCCCTGTTCTACAAAATCAAACTGTATAAATGCAAAAGTCTGTTCAGCTTCTGCCGAAAAGGCAGTATACTTCAGACTTGCCTTAGGGTTAACACAGTGACCAAGACAAAAAGAATGTAGTATGGACAAGGAACATTAAAGTTCTAAGTAGAAAGCTGATTGGAAATGTAGGAAGAAACCAGCACGTCTAACTGTGAAGAGAGATGGAGGATATCATTTGATCAGCAGGGGCTGGGTTCTTCAGGCCTTTGTGGTATTAGGGGTCAAGGACCAGGGGAGGCTTAGTTTACATTTGAGAACACTTAATAATGACTTTGGAAGCAACATTAGTACCGTACCGAAGGTCTCCAAAGTATTGACATAGAATGTACACATGCACACAGTAGAATAATGGGCATTAAGCAAAGCTGATGCCAGCATTTCCCATTCCCGTGCATCCTCTTCTTTGCACACATTCACACGGGAAGTTTAACTTACAATCCCCAAGAAAGCAAAGGATATTAAAACAGTTGACACATTACAGTGAAACAGGTAAGTTATGGAAGGGAAAGGCATGATTTCACTAATGTTTCTCTGACAGAATGGAGTGGGGTGATCTGAGTGAGTGATAGCCAAGCCTTAAAGGAAACAGATGTCCGAGATATATAGATGTTTAGTTCCATCAAATGAACCACATTAGATTGCAGGAAACACCTGAGTGTAGGATTGTTCATGCTGTAAGATTTTATTGAGTTGATAAACTACATAAGCTTTGAAACAGACACAAGCCCATTTACTTCTGCTTTTGTTGCACATTCACTTTTAGGTGTATTTCCTTCATCTTTGTATCCATAATTAGCCAAAAGCATCATGCGGACAGGGTAACTTTTCTTTCCTCTCTATTTTATCCCCAGTATCAAACACAGTGCCGAATGCATGGAAGCTAGTAAATATTTGTTGAAGGAGAGATAAATAAGATTAAATCCAAATCAGCCGACATGGTTAATCCTAAGAGAAGGGATGAGCAATTCTGTAGACAACATTATATTTTGCTGAGTTATAGAAATTCTTCTATTTCTCTGGCCTGACACAGGTCCAAATGTCTTTATCAGACAAAAACAAAAAACCTTCCTGGTAAGTTAATTAAGAAGAATGACAAAGCCAGCAGTTACAAAGCATCTAAACCCCTATTCAATACCTTGAACTTTGCATTTGCATAGACCTGAGTGAAATCCCTGGCTTTGTCACTACACAGTCACGTGATCTTGAGCAACTCTCCTTAACTCTTGGATGCTCAGTTGTTCCATCTGAAAAGACAAATCATAATTGATTCATCTCATAAGGCCTCTATGATATTTGGTAGACAAAGTGCCAGCACACAGAGACATCTAATGGAATGACATAGCTATTCTAATTCAAGGGAAACTTTCAGGAGTTTAAGATTAATTTAGTGAGACTCCACAAAAAGTTGAGACCAAACTACAAAAATGACAGCCCAACAAATTTTAACTCATATGTTCACTAGTTGATTGTCTCGTGTACAAAACTGTAGATTCATAAGCCAGGGACGAGGTTTGTCTTGTTTATTCCCATGTGGTACTAAGTACAGGGCCCTGCACATAGTAGGTCATTAACAAACATTTGAATAATGAATGAATGAATAAGTAAATTTCCACATAAGATGTTATGAATTACCAAACTAGTTAGTGCTCTGTGGTCTACACTAGAGTTGATGTCACTGAGAGTTAGGAAACTGTAGAAAGGTGGATGGCATTCTGGGTGGTGGAGGTGGGGAAGATGATGAAGTGAGGATGCTATGACAAGAAAGAAAGTGTAACACTGCTGTAGTCAGCAGCATGAGCTCCTCCCAGGAGGTCATGGTCATGGATGCTTTTGATGAGGGTTGAATAGTCTTTCACACCTTGACCTCTGTTTTGCTCCTCTGCGCTATAGATTCCAGCTATGGTGAATTATTTCCAGAATCTCAAATGCTTTCTCTTCCTGGATGGCCTTTGAACAGTCCTCTGTTTGGAACACTTCCGTATCCCTTTTATCTATAACTGCTTCTTACTCTTTGGGTCTCAGTTTAGATATCATCTCCTTTTGTAAGGCTTCTGTGAACCCCCAAACTGATTTCAGGCTTTAATACAATCACAGCAATTATTCATCTGTATTGTATTTCCATGCTGAGTTGTTTCTTTCCCCCAGCAGGCTGGGAAAAGACCAGGACAGTCTACATTTACCAGCCTCTAATACATCACAGTCAGTATCCACTGAATGAATAACACCATTCTGAGATGTCAAGCCTCAAAGAATTAGGAATGCTTCTAAAGAAATAGGAAGGTTATGGGGGATGGTTGGGGCTTAAAACTGGATAATTTCCGGTTTTAGTTTTCTTTGAAGTAGCAGAAAACCCAGTGAGTAGAAATATCTAGTAATCAATAAAGCAGGAGTACTAGGGAGAAAAGACAGGGCTGCAGTGGATATCATCTGCAGAAGAGAAAGAAAAACAAAGGGTGAAAAAGATATACTCGCATTTAGGGAATAGAAGGAAGAAGCAGAGCTGACAAAGAAGTCAGATATAGAAGCTTAATGGGAAAGAAACGTTTCTCAAAGGGGTAGTTGTCATTCACCTTGAAAGCAGAAGATTAAAAACCCCTTAAAGGAAAGGGGCAGATGCTGAAAGGAAATGGGTGGTAGAGTGGAGTCAGCTGCTCCAGAATCCAGGGGAGATGCGTCGCAGGGTAAGAACTCAAGTGGGCTACTCGGCCAAGGGCAGCTCTTATCCAAAGAAGTCAGGCTTAGGCTTGTGTTAAGACAATGGAAAGGGAGAGATGGAAGATGGTAGAAAAAAAAGCTCATGGAGGCTGATATGAGCTAGAAAGTTGTCGGTGTTGCTCTATTTTGTCCTGGATCCTTTTAGTTTCTTATGCTTCTTTCCTGCAGGGAAATGGAGTTAGGCATATGCTGTCTAGAATGCTTTAGAAGTTTCCCAAACATTAGACGAAGCAAGCTGCAGAGTGCCATAGAGTAGAAAGGGCCATCAGCAATCCTGATGAGCATCTTTTTGCCTTAGTTTGTAGCTCCTAGGGATGTAGGGTATTTCACTATCCACAGAACCTCCAGCTTGCTTATGTGCTGCCTTGGAACCCTTCCTAAGCTTACCTCATGCATGCATGCCTTGTCAAGAAGCTTACAGTACAGTTGGGGAGATAATGGGGATATTGTCATTTACTTTAGTGTCTTGGCAGTAACCAGTATCTACAGTACCTACTTAACAAATGTTTAGTGAAGTGAAGTCAAGCTGGGCTGATGTTCTTTTATGCCATGAGGCCTGACATACACATTCTTTCTTCTAAGTGAATAAAAAACACTTTAGTGGGAGCTAAATGATGAAAACACATAGACACAAAGAAGGGAACAACAGACACTGGGGCTTTCCTGAGGGTGGAGGGTGGGAGGAGGGAGAGGGGCAGAAAAAGTAACCACTGGGTACTAGACTTATCGTGAGTTTACTTAAATAACAAACTTGCACATATACCTCTGAACCTAAAATAAAAGTTTTTAAAAAACACTTTTGAAAGAATTTTACTCTTCCATGAATTACTAAGAATAGCAGCTACTATGTATTGAACAATGTGTAAAACACTTTACATCTATTTAATCTTCAAAACAGTTCTATGAGGTAGGTTCTGTTTTTATCCCCATTTCATTGATGAGGAAACGAAGGCCTAGAGGGGTTATAGAATTTATTAATCCAAGGTCATATTGCATGTAAATGGCTCAGCTGCCATTCGAATTCAGGTTTGCATAAATCTAAAGACCCCTAGGTTAGCCTGCTCCTCACATGGTCATTTCGTCTCTGGGCCTCTCCATAAGGCATGTACCCAGAAAATGTCAGGACTATGGTAATCTGCAAAGCCACTGTTCTCCTACCTTTTTCCTCCTTTGCCCTCCAGCCCTGGTAGAAGCCAAGGTTGCTTTGTGATTAGCACAAACACTGTCTCATTTAGCAGTAGAACCCTGATGGATAGTCTCTCTAGGCAGGCTAGTATCTTGCACACCATGGGTCCCAGCTGTCTTCATCCTTGAACAGAATCCCTGCTGAACACAGAACAGCCATAGTACTTGATACAAAGCTTACTCAGATGCTGACAGGTTTGTAAGTGTCTAGGGGACAAAGCAGCAGCTGATTATTAAATTTCCTTTAGATCCATCAAATGATTTAAGCAAGGTGCTTCGAGGTAACCAATTTGAGTAACTCCTTTGAGTAACCGGGGACAGCTCTGCTTGAATCTCTGATCAGCTTTGTTTTAGAAATTCTATAGGCAAAGCCAAAGCTACAAGAGAATTTGATCTTTAAGGACTTCACAGGGCCAGTCCTTAAAACTGACCATTTCTTTTCCCGTTGTCAGCCACTGTCAGAATTTAACAACCGTGGCTGTGATTTATTAACGTGTCTGATTCCCTCTGGGGGCAGTCCCATTTTTCAAGGATATCCAATGCTCCAAGCAGCTCTTTGCACAGTGACCATCCATCAGAGGCACCTGCTTCAGTAATCAGCAGCTCCAGATATGCTCATGCCGCACCAGACAATGCTACAATCTCCTGGGAACTGGCATGCAGAGAAATAATGGATTTATAGAAATACACCACTGTGACAAAGTGGGAAGACAGATTAAGCAGAAAAGGCAGGGCAGGCTAGAGGCTGAGGAACATAGGGACAGAATTACAGGAAACCAAGCCACACAACAGTAGCTCTTAACAGGACTGTAGAATCTTAATGCATTCTTCCCACCCAGCACAAATGTGGGGGGCTCAGATTGGGATGGAGGCGGTCTAAAAATCAGCAGAATTAAAAAGACACATTCAAGTGAAACAGGCTTTCCTTGCTTCCCATCTTTTCATTCCATGTTATTTTCTTTTCCTCTCTGAAAACCACTTGGCAAGGATCATGAGACAGAACAAAAAGAAAAGGGGAGGTGAGCTATTTACTGAAGGCATAAAATTCAACTTGTGTTGGCATTATGTCACTGAACTGAATAGCTATCGGAGACTCTCTTTCCTCAACTTTGAATGGGCCCAAAATGTTACTGTTATCAAAGCCGCACATTGAAGAAGACAGCAGATAATGTACTTGGTAAAACAGGCAGCCTCCGCCAGGAAAATGTGTAACGCTTCCATTCACTGACCCTCCTTTCCCTCCGCATCAACTTGTGTCATAAATTGCTATTTGCTGACAAGCTGTGCTGATATGAACCCAATGCTGGTTGCAGCACAAGAAAAACATGCCATTTACTTAGTGCCAGGGAACAACAGCCTTGCTTCTCCCAAGCTGATCACCATGTTGCTGGCTGGTAGAGGGAGAATGGATGGTAACCATCGTTCGTTACCAGCCTAATTCCCAGGTATGCACTACCGTAGCATTAGTGACCAGAGGAAAGACATTCAGCTATTCTAGGAAGCATGAGAAATTTTTCTGACACCTACCCCAGCCCTTCCCAATGTCCCCAACAGATGTACTCACACCACTATCTCACTGCACAGCCAGGTGTACTACAGAACACTTCAGCTTTGAGTTGTCTTGATAATTGTTTTTAACTTCTAATTTCAGGGGTACATGTGCAGGTTTGTTATTAGGTAAACTCGTGTCGCGGGGGTTTGTTGTACTGATTATTTGATCACCCAGGTAATAAGCCTAATATCCTTTAGTTATTTTTCCTGATCCTCTCCCTCCTCCCAATAATTATTCTAAACCAGTTGCTATTTTTGGCATAGTGGCTGACACCTATAAATATTTGGAATTTAAATATTCGTTGAATGAAAGAGTGACCAAATGGATTTTATCTGAATGCATTTATCCACTAGGTTATTCACAGCAAGTACTGTTTATAATGATGGGCTTTCATAGATATTAGCTCATTTGATCTTCATAATAACCAAGCAGCAGCTACTCCACCTGCCCTCTTACTTAAGGGTCTTTGATAGTAAACAACAGAAACTCATTCTGATTAATTACCTAAAAGGGGATTTTTTTAAAGGATGTCAGAAACTCCCCAAATTAACAGGAGGCTGGAAAGGGTCCTAGAGACAGGAGAGAAGTAAGATGGCTTCAGAAGGCTCGCAGGTAGAAATCCTGGGAACCAGCAGAGTCTGATCACAGTGAAGAAACTCTGGTTTCTGCCTCTTTGTCATGGTAGAGTCATATCCCAGGCAGGGCTGCCAGGCTATTTCAGATTGGGTTCCTTCCCCACCCCTTGACTCGATGGCTCTGTTGGATGGTATTCAGTGAGGAGAAAATCCCCAAAGGAAATCTGCAAAGAAGGGGATAGATGCTGGACAGCCAAAAACCTACCAGGGCTATCATATCTCTTGTGCAAATAGGAACATTGAGGCTCAGAGCTTAGCTGATTTCTTCAGTGTTATGCACATGGTGCTTCAAAAACTGATTCAAACCTGGGTTTTCTCACAAATTCCGTATTCTTTCCTTTTGTATGCCACAGTCATATAATGTGTCCATTTACACCTGAAAACAAGTTACTACACACAGTGTACTATCCTAGATTGGATCCTGCATTTTAAAAAGACAAAAAGACATAGAAGACTGGTAAAATCCAAATAAAGTCTGTAGTTTAGTTAATAGTATGGGATTGTACCAGTGTTAATTTCTTAGTTTTGACAAACGTACCTTGGTTATATAAGATGGTGATATTAAAGGAGGCTGGGCAAAGGGTATAGAGGAACTCCCTGCACTATTTTTACAACTTTTCTCGAAATCCAAAATTAATCCAAGTATAAAATGTTGTTTAAAAAACAGATTGATAGCTCTCCTTGGGCTTCTTTGGGACAAAGTGACACACATTTTTGGATAGCCTTCTGATGCAAGGCACATGGAATTCCCGAAGATCTCAAAATGTCAGCCTTTATACAAAAGGAAGCCATAGTCTAGAAAGGGCAGTACCATACCAAAAAGGAATATGAGGGATAGGCATCATATCCCGAAATCTTGGATGAGGCAAAGGAGATCAAGGGGGAAAGTGGTACTTGAGTTTATCATTTAAAAAATGACGAAATTTGGATCTCCAAGGAAAGGGAAGTAGGAAGCATAATCCCTGGATCACAGAAGAATGAGAATGAAATTACCAGTGGTGTAGGCACATGAAAGACCCCACCATCCAAATTGAGAATTTGGGATTTCGTGTTTGTTGGCAATTGGTTGAGGTCATCAGGGCTGTTCTGACTTGACAGGTAGGAGGCTCTGAACAGGAAAGCAAAAGACAGAAAGGATGGTAAGAAGATTATTCAAGATTAAAGATAAGAGAGAATTCAAATCAGTTCTGTGTCTTAAGCCCTGGAAATAGTCATTATGTGTTCATCCAAATATCCAGAACTATTTGATAAAGACACGAAACACTTGCTGTTATTTATAGCAGCCTAGAGAAGCAAACTAAATGTAGAATACAGCTTATGTCTTGTAGTGTCTGTGATATCTTGGTAAATAATTCTCAAAATATTACCCCTTTTAGTGTATGAAATGGCTATTTTCAAAACATAATTTTTATGTTCAAAATATGCCGTTGCTATTTAAACACATATTTAAAAGTGACTGTCTTCCAGACACTGTCCTAAATGCTTTACAAATATTAATTCACTTAATCTTCATATTGTACACCCTTAGAAGGTAAGTACTATACTAGCCCTGTTCTACAGATGAGAGAGCAGAGGAACCAGGGAGGAAGGAAACTTGCCTAGAATTATGGAGTTAGGAAAGAATAGAGCTGAGATTCAAACCCAGGCAGCCTACTGAGCCCATGCTCTTGATCAAGGTGTATTATTATTGTTATTATTTAAAATTTGTGGTTAAAACAGATGATGTTAAAACAACAGTGGGACTCCAAGCTAATGAGTCTTGAAACTGGAAGTTTTTCTGGAAAATTTGGGGAAAAGTGAGCACTCAAGGGAATAGAAAGAGGTGGTATAAGCTAAGCTTTGGTTTGTATGCTGGTGAGTTGTTTTTGAGTAGAGATGTACAGCAAGAAGTCAGACTTACAGAAACTCTGCCCAGGAGTTACAGATAGCACAAACTCTCACATCTAAGCAGAAGCTCATCTGCTTAGATGTGAGAGTTGATGCCATAATAATAAAAGTTATTGTCAGGAAAACAATTATAAATAGAAGACATAGCCAGGTCATTAGTAAATGTCTACTTTTAAGAGGAAGAAAAGGAGTATACAATAAACAGAGTTAGAAGGCAATTTCAGAAGCACAGAAAGGAGAAAATCATTGGTTTAATGTAGCAGAGATGCCAAGGAAAATGAAATCCAAGAATAGTATATTGGATTTAGTAACATGAAAGTCAGTTGTATGGGAAAAAATAGGATGACTGTTAAAGTCAGATGGTTAAGGAGATGGCAAGGATACTGTAGTCTTTGAAAGTCAAAATGAGATCCAGAGCCGGGTGCAATGGCTTACTCCTGTAATCCCAGCACTATGGGAGTCCAAGGTGGGTGGATTGCTTGAGGTCAGGAGTTCAAGACCAACCTGGCCAACATGGTGAAACCCTGTCTCTACTAAAAATACAAAAATTAGCCAAGAGTGGTGGTGGGTGCCTGTAATTCCAGCTACTTGGGAGGCTGGGGCAGGACAATCGCTTGAACCTAGGAAGTGGAGGTTGCAGTGAGCCGAGATTGTGCCACTGCACTCCAGTCTGGGCAACAGAGCGAGACTCTGTCTCAAAAAAAAAAAAAAAAAAAAGAGAGAGACCCAAACTTCCATTATAGACAAACTAGAACTGCATTGTCTACTAGGTACATGTGGCTATTTAAATTAATTACAATTAATAAAAATTCAGTTCCTCAGGCATGCTGGCCATAGTGCGAGACTCAATAGCTATGTGGCTGCTATACTGGACCACACAAATGTAGAGCACTTGCATTGCAAAAAGCTCCCTTGTGCAGAGGTGAACTAAAATAAGGGTCAATAAATTTTTTCTGTAATAGTAATATTTTAGGTTCAGTGGACCATACAGTTTGTGACATAATTACTCAACCCTGCCATTGTAGTTCAAAAGCAGCCACAGAAAATACCTAAAAAAGTGGATGTGGCTGTGTTCCAATAAAACTGTATTTATGGACAGTGATAATCAGAATTTCAAAATTTTCATGTCATGAAGTATTCTTTTAATTTTAACCATTAAAAAATGTAAAGCCCATGCTTAGTTTGCATGCCATGCAAAAACAGATGACAGATCAGATTTGGCCGATGGGCCATAGTTTACCAACCCCTAGATTGGAATATTATGGACCCCAGCAACCGAATTAGCATGTGCTGAATATCTGCATATGCTAGATTTGCTGAACATGAATAAAAGTATAAAATGTATGTATATTAGCACCAAGTTTCATCTGTTCTTCATTATCCAAATCAATAATGCAAATCAGAGAAAAATACACATCAAAATTATATGAACTGTTAGAATGTAAAAGGAGAAGCTCTTAATATATCATGATGAAAAGGAAATTTTGATGTGTGGAACTGATATTAATATGCTAGACTTTCAACTTGTGACTAGGTAACTTTCATTTTCACATAAAAATCAAATTAGAAGTTCACAGTAAAAAACAAATTCCCACATAAATCCCAATTTCCTGAAATAACAGTATTTACAATCCTAAGCATTAATCATCTCAAGACTCTACAAAGTACTTAAAGAAAATGCAGTTAAGTACAATAATGACCTTCCTCATTTATAAGACAATGAGAATGAAGAGTTTTCTTCTCATCTAACAATTCCTATCAATTGACAGTAGTTGCCTGAAGTCCTGAGATGAGGAGTATCGTGATTGACTATTAATGTCTGCCATGGGTGACAGCGTGGGGAGATATGGCACAAGTGCTAGATATCTGCCATTCCTGCATCAGCAGCATGATGGAGTGGGGAGAAACAAATTAGATTTTGCGCCAGCTGAAGATCTAACTCTGCTATACATGAGGCTGTTTATTTTTAACCTTTTATTATAGAAAATTTTAAACATATACAAAAGAGACAATGGTATAATGAACCTCTATGTACCTATCACCCAGCTTCAACAATTATCAACTCACAGCCAATTGTTATTTCATTTTTCCATCTCTATATTGTTTAGAAGCAAATCACAGACATCATAGCATTCACAAACTGTTTTTCTGACCAGTGGCTAACTGCCTAACGTGCCTTGGTTGTTATAAAATAAATGCTTTTAAATTGCTAAGTGTTTTTTAGTGTGTAATATTAAGAGGAAATCAGACTGAGATAGGTTATATTTTAGAAAGGGTCTAAAAATTAATGATTTGTTTTAGAAATCAACTGCATTGTAACCTAATTAGCCTGCAATTTGTATGTACAAGTTTGTAGACAAAATTTAGTGTATGTACTTGGAAGTATGCAAAATCCTCAGGCTCAGCTTGCAATTATTATGCACTAACCGTGTGCCAGACACTATACACAGCACAGTCACCTCCTTTTATCCTCCTCAGAGCCCTGTAAGACACTGCTATCACAAGACAAACTGAGGCACATGTACTAAGCAGTGAATCTGAGGTCACTCAGCCCGAAAGAGGAAAAATCACAGAATAATGTACTGTTTTAATAAAACATGGCTTCCAATACACCTAAACTTCCTTAGCCATATTCAACCAGAACTTATAACTTTCTGATGTTCCATTTGGTAGATTTTACTTTTTCTACTCAAGCTGTGTTTGAAACTAGAGTCCAATAGCTACACAAAGTTCAGATATGTCTGACAAAAACCTTGAAGAGAGACATGGAGGGAAACAAGTAAGTTTAGAGCTAATATTTGTTTTTCATTAATCATTTGCTTTTCTCACTGACCCTGTCAGAGAGATAGGGCACATGCTCTGACTGCCTATAGAGAAGGAGACCAGTGCCTCCTTCATCCCCAGACTTCAGAAAAGAACTACATGAACTGACCTCTATACCTTCTTTATGCTCTTTCACAATCGTTTAATTTTTATCTTGAGAAATAGTTGAGAAGGTGAAAATGAATATGAGAAAATACTCTTTAGGAATATTAGGGTGCAGATACCCATTTTATGTTAAATATTTAAAATGTTGGGGACATCAATACATCTGTTCAACATAGTGTAGTGATGAAAAGGAAATTGTTTAGAGGCAGAAGGAACTGACCTCTAATTGTCTGGTTGCTCCTGAGCTAGTCACTTTTCTATGGTCTTGTTTTCTCAGTAAAATCAGAAGGGTAGATTGTATCACAAATTGCAGTTGACAGTCTGTAGGTGTTTAACATATGGATTGTAGTTTGGTTTTGGTTTTCTAATTGGAATTAGCTGCCAATACTTAGAAATTGAAGGATTTTCTATCTTTCCTGGACCCTCCTTTTACATGGTAAGAATCGGGGATCTTCTAATAGAGCTTCTACCCTCAGAGAGGATGGGTAGCCTATTATTCTCCCCATTCTTCATTACTTCTTATTGTTTCCCTGACACAGGCTGACAGTCAGGTGCCCTTTATCATTGTACTTGCAATGACTTGTGATGTATTTCACTCTTACATTCCCTGCCTGGGCCCTGGAGACATCTGCAATTGCAACCTGGATTTTTTGAACTCTAAGAGGTTCTATGGTTGTCTGGTAAAATATAACATCTCCAGTAGCTAAGGCTGCAATACATTGTCTAATTAAAGTTTTCCAGCAGTGGGAGCTTTGGCGTCTAAACTGCAGAACTCACCTTCTCACCCAGGTCACTGTAATTTCCAGAGGAAGTGCTGACTCCTGGATCTGGGAGTTGAGGTGAGCTTGTTGGATTCTGTTTAAGTACATCTCCTCTGCCTTCTCTTTGCCTTGGTATTCAGCATTCACTGACAGTTCCTTTAAACTTCTTGGGCATTGACATTCAAATCTGAACAATAGCCAACTCGATTATTCTGGCCACTTGCTTTATCATTGTCTGTCTGTATAGTGCTTTACAATTTTTAATTTTTTTTTCTAAATATTGTTTGCTTTTCACACTAACCCTGTCAGAGAAATAGAGCAGAAATTGCACCCACTGTATACAAGTAAGGGGAAACAAGATATTATTAACAGAAGTTTTTATTCTTCAGCCTTTCCTCTTAAAACCAGACCCTGGTACTTTGTTTTTAAAGCTATTTCCTAAATACAAAAATAAAAATGTGTTTATTTAATTAAAACATCATTCTCCAAGACCTAAAGACTTTTAGACTACATTATTCTCCTCCCCACTGCGACATAATTGAAGATTGATATGATACATTTTTTTAATTAGGCCCGTCTGGTTTTCCCACTGAGAAAAAAGGAATGTGTCATCTTTATGCCAGCTGACTTAAATAAAAATCCACTTGGATTTAGCCTTTTCATGCTGGTGCTACACCAAAACAACCAGAATGTGAAATGTGAAATATTTACCTTTATCTCATCCTAGAGAGAAACTGTGAATTATTATAGTGAAATATATTCTTTCTTGGAGCACTGAGTAAATGAATATTACTGCAGAATTTTTGTGTTTCCTTCCTTCTTAACTGCAAACCAATCAAAATGAGTTCAGAGAAATCTTTAGGAGGAAAACAGAGGGGAGAGTGCCATGTTCTTAATTTCAAAGGTACTGTGTTTGTGTGTGTGTGTGTGTGTGTGTGTTTGTGTGTGTGTGTGTGTGTGTTGGTTAATTTTATGTGTTAACTTGGCTAAGCCACAGTACCCCAATAATTTGTCAAACATGGGTCTAGATGTGTGTGTGAAGGTATTTTTTAGATGAGACTAACATTTTAAATGGTAGACTTTGAGTAAAGCAGATTAGGCACCATAATGTGAGTGGGCATCATCCAATCAATTGAAGGCCTTAATAGAAAAAGACTGAAGAGCAAATTCTGCCAAAAACTGCCTTCCAAATTGCATGGCAACTCTTCTCCAGTCCTGCTGAGTTTGGACTTGCCAGCCTCCATAATTGCATAAGCCAACTCCTTAAAATAAATCAACCTCTCTCGATAGATAGATAGATAGATAGATAGATGGATAGATAGATAGATAGATAGATAGATAGATAGATAGATAGATAGATAGATAGATAGATATCCTACTGGTTCTGTTTCCCTGAAGAACACTGATTATTAAAGCGTATGCATGTGGTGTGGGTGTGTTATATCCTATAACAATTAAGGCTCTACACCAGAAATTGACAAATTGCAAATTTCTGTAAACAGCAAGAAAGTAAGTATCTTAGGCTTTGAAGGACATATAATTTTTGCATCTACTCAGTTCTGTCATCTTTGTTGCTCCAAAGCAGTCATAGACAGTGGCTGTAACAAACAGCATAGCTGTGTTCCAATAAAACTTTATTTATAAACATAGGGGCTAAGAAGAATCCCATGTCTTCCTGACTTGGAGGAAGATGTCTGGTTTGTGTTCATCAGACTTGTCCATTCTCTTGAGATGAGCCACTGGTTTTAAGTATCAGTACCTGTTTTGTCAACATGAAACACTTGTGCTTTCTTTTTCTCAACCATGAGGCCTCTCAAGGCCTACCAGCCAATTCTTAGCCATTTACAACCTGTTCTGGGTACTTGGGAAATTCTAGGATGCCCCTCACCTTGAGACTCTGGAACTGTTCATGTGGGGTCAGGAGATTCGGGAATTATCTCCCTAGTTATGCCACTCAGTCGTTGCTACTCAGACACCAAGAAAGACCTGAGATTTGTCATTGAGACTTAGTTTCCAACTGTGAAGCTAAGCAGTGATTCATTGTTTTCTAGGAACTTTTCCCATGAATTAGGAGAAGTTCCAGTTGATGCTGCACTTCTCCATCCAGCATCCCAGAGTCCTGGGCCATAGGCAGGATCTACATTTTGAATATGTTCTTCCTCTTATTCTTCTCCTAAGAACTGTTTTGGCTATAGGAAAACTGTTCTTACATAAATATGTATGCTTGGAGTTTCAAAACTCTTTTGCTCTGACTATACCATGTTTGAGGGCTTAACAGAAAACAAAATCTTCTCTCAATGCTTGCAATTTAAATATTTTTGCTTTTTTTGAGGGTAAGTCTCACTCTGTTGCCCAGGCTGGAGTGCAGTGGCACAATCTTGGCTCACAGCAGAGGTTGCCTCCCAGCTTCAAGCGATTCTCCTGCCTCAGCCTCCTGAGTAGCTGGGATTACAGGCATGTAAGACCACACCTGGCTAATTTTTGTATTTTCAGTAGAGATGGGGTTTTGCCATGTTGACCAAGCTGGTCTGGAACTCCTGGCCTCAAGTGATCTTCCTGCCTTGGCCTCCCAAAGTGCTGGGATTACAGGTGTGAGCCACAGCAACCAGCCCAACTTCTGCTTTCAAAAGCATATTTTAGAGTTAAAATTGAAGAATCTGATCTATTATTCTAAGATCTCTTAGAACCCTCTTCTCTCCCCATCATCCTTACACACAACACACACACACACACACACACACACACACACACACACACACACACACTTCACCATAGAAAGACATCCTGGTTTCCAGACGCTTGAGTGTCTGGCTATTCTCTGGACCTATTAAACAGCACTTAACACTGACATCTTTTTTTTTTAACATCTGAAGGTCACTTGCATGTGTAAAACATATTGCCTTAGGGGGTAGCAGCTAAAGATTGTGGGGTTTCCTTTAGGGGTGATGAAAATGTTCTAAAAGTGATTATCGTAATGTTTGTACAACTTCATAAATATAATGAGTCACTGAATTGCACACTTTACATGGGCAAATTATATGCTATATAAATTATATCTCAATATAGTTGCTTCAGAAACAGTATTTAGCATTTGGTTGTTGTTGCTTTAATGGCGCAGCTCCCTTGGACCCCTGACTGTGTGTCTGAGGAGATGGACAAGAACTACTTAGAGACATTCTGCTCCCCACATGTGTACTTTTTTGTTCTTCTCACATATTTCCTATACTTCAAAACCCTCCCTAGTTCACTCCTTGCCCCTCTCCCCCAAATCTCATACATTTGTGCTTAATCTAGAGAATCCTGACTCCTCCTTTGGGAAACAGTTTAAACATGAGCTATTTCTGTGAAGTTCTCCTTCAGCAGCCAAATGTGAGTTAAGGAGCCCTGCCATGTGCTCATATACTACCTTGGAGTTTCTCTATCTCTGCCTGTTTCACACTCTATCATAATTGCCTCCTTACTGGTCTGTGAGCTTTGTGAAAGCAGGAATCACATTCATTATGTCCACTAGTATATACCCAGTTCCTGGAAGATAGTATTGGATGGACGGACGGATGGATGGATGGATGGATGGATGGATGGATGGATGGATGGATGAGTGGGTGGGTGGAAGGGTGGGCAGACAGACTGACGGATACATGCATGACCCACTCTCTAATATATAGTTTAGGATTTTATTTCCATGGGATAAAAACTGATGGAAGCAACAAAGAAGATGTTTCTCTCTCTCAAGTCAGGAGAAAGAGGGGAGGAAGTCACAACTCAGATTAGTCATTTTGTGTTTTCAGAATCTTAATTTTTTTGAGTAGTGTGTAATGAAGGTTTTCTCTGGGCATAGTGGCTCATCCACATTTGCTATTATAATTGACCTAGCTCTGCTGTCCTGCTGCTTTCCCTGCTTGTTTATAAATTGGAGAACAACTTTCAACTTGGTGGGAGAGCTGTAGTCTAATAGGAACAGTAAAATGGCAGTATGTGTAGGACAATTTAGAAACCTCATTTCAGCTCAGATGGAATGACCCACACTTTCTAGGCATGAAATCACTCATAAGAACAGAACCAAACAGAATAAGAACTTATTTACAGGACCAGCAGTCTCTAAGCAGGCTAGGGGCAGATATGACATGTTGAAAAAGTAAAGATTTCTCTGGCAACTGCCTCTTCTCTTTCTGTTTTCTCCCTCATGGTTCTCACAATGATCTCACCTTGCTACTAACTCAGTATCTCAAGCCCAGCTTTAAAATATTCCAACCCTTTAGCAAAGTGTAGCAATCAGCTGGAAGGAACCTCGGAGGCCACATGGCCCAACCTGCTGCTAATGCAGAACAGGAGTCCCTTCCACGGGTATTCTGAACAGATGGTATTCGGCTTGTGCTCTGTGCATCTCTAGCAATGATTATGCCTTACTGCAGGAGACAACTGATTTCCCTGTTGGAGGATGACTTGGAAAGTTTGCTTCAGAGAAGCAGAGTCTTAAAGTGCACAGCTCTGGAGACATACCAGCCCTGGAGTCCTGGTTCTGCTCCTAACCCATTGTGTGTCCTTGGGCAAGGTACTTAGCCTAGGTAAGCCTCATTTCTCTGTCTGTACAAGAGAAGTCAGTAATATCCGGCTTATTATATTTTGAAAACTAAATTAAAATACACACACACACACACACACACACACACACACACACACACAGCATTTAGTATGTTGCCTGGAACATAGGAAATATCCAAAAAGTAGTAGCTTAAAAATTAAACAAACCAAAGAGTTCTAAAAACATTGCTAAGATTGACATGACATTTGCAGACAGAGGTTAAGAACAGAATAAGCTCCAGCTACCATGACTGTTAAAGTCATCCCAGTATCTTATTCTGCTCTGTGTGGCATCCCGTGACTCTACCTGGATTTGAAATTAAACATTCTGAACACTTTCTTAGTGAAAGAGAGTTAAGGATCAAGACTTACTCAGCAGAGACACTTTTGTATGAGAAATTGCTTGATGGCTGTCTAGACACAGACAGGATTTTTCTTTTTTAATGGGAATCAGGTATAGAGTGGGGTATCTATTTTTTTAAGGGAAAAGTGGAGTAGAAGAAGGTAAAAACTCCTGAGGTCCTGTCTGTGCCTCTGAGTCATCTTGCTTTGGCAAGCCTGTGGTTAGTACCACCACTGCTAGTGAATACTACTTAACAACACAAAATCAAACAAATTAGTTTAGAAGGAAAGGCTGTTCCTTTACTATCAGTACCTGCATGCGGAGTTTGATGACTACAATTGTGATTTCAGTTCATTTTTTTTTTTCTATTTCTAAAGCTTGAAATTACCTAGCCAGTCAAGGTGATAATTGGAATCTCTGCCCAATCTCTAAAAGAAATTGACTTGTTCTTCTCAAACAAAGGACTATTGTTTTTGATTTTTCTAAATTTCCTTGAATTATAATCAAGAGGTATATTTACAAGTAAGAAGACCATGCATGACTTAGGACCTAGCTGTCAGTTCAGGAAACCAAAAAAGAAATAAGGTTTATAATGACGACAAGATCCACAATCACTCACTTGTACTTCCTGAAAGGTGAGACAGCACCAGACCCTGTTCTTTAGAGTAGCTCTGAGATATAGAGGAGAGAGCTCTTGAGAAATATTCAAGTGTACTTTGATGGGTGCAGGGGACAAACCCTTTTCAATGTTTACTGTAGTGGCATTGATCAAGATCCCAGGCACTCCCTACAAAAGTGGCATTTAAGAGAAGTAGTAGCTAAGTGAACAGTGGGGGAAAGTGTTTAGTGGGAGCAGAGGAGGATCAGAGACAAAAGAAGGCATGAAGAAAGAAGTCCAATCTGGTTGGAATGTGGAGGGTGGTCTTGACTATTGCCTGTCCCTACTCCATCATTCCCGCCCAACTAAACTCCATCCTCAGTCAATCTAATTCTTTGTCTACCCTCTGTCTTCACTGGGGCAGTAGACAATGGCCAAAGAACAACATACACTCATACTAACTAGTCTCTCTTTAACGTCATGATTCCTAACCTCAAGTGGGTTGACAGTACAGTCCAGAGATCCTCCAACATGTCTTCGGTCTGTTCTCTGTTGTACCCTCCAAGAAAGCTACTGCATACCTCTCCTTTCTCTTCAAACCTTCAATATTTTCTTGCTATACCTCCTTCTCTTCTTGGTAGCTTTGTTTCCTTTTTCATGGGGAAAATATAGGTGTGGTCAAAAGATAGCTTCCATACATTCCAACCACAACATCTACCTGTGTGACTACCATCTACTTTCCTCCAGTTACCAGGATAAACTGGCCATGTTCCTCTCTAAAACATCTTCTCAACTCCTGCAATGAATCTCATTCCTTTGCACCTATTCAAGGATGTTATTTCAACAGGCACCTACTGTCCCCTCACCTGTATCTTTGACTTTTCCCCCAGATCATTACCATCAGTTGTAAAATATATTCTCATCCCCTATAAAAAAAATAATGCTGGGCATGGTGGCTCACACCTGTAATCCCAGAACTTTGGGATACTGAGGCAAGAAGATTGCTTGAGGCTAGGACTTAGAGACCAGCTTGAACAACCTAGGGAGACTCCATCTCTACAAAAAATAGAAAATTAGCCAGGTGTAGTGGCACACCCCTGTGGTCCCAGCTTCTCAAGAGGCTGAGGCAGAAAGATCGCTTGAGCTTAGGAGGTCGAGCCTGCAGTGAGCCATGGTTGTGCCACTGCACTCCAGCCTGGGCAATGGAGTGAGACCTTGTCTCAAAAAAAAAAAAAAAAAGAGAGAGAGAGAAAGAAGAAACCTTCCTTAACTTGCATATCTCCCCTTGCAATCACCTCATTTATCTGTACAGATTAATTATCTCATCTGCTTTCATGGTTTTAAATACCATCCCTCTGCTGATGACTCTTCATTACTTACCTGTAGCCCAGGACTTCTCCTGTGGACTGCAGATTTGTATGTGTGGAGTCCATGGGAATTGGATTTCCAACAGGTAAATCAAATGCTAACTTAGAACTTCTGTTTTTTCTACCAAGCCTGATTTGCTACTGTCTTTGCTGTCTCAGTAAATGGCAATTATGTTCTTCCAGTTGCTCAGACATGCATAAATAAATAAATAAATAATATTCTTTTCATGCTTTACATTTTTTTGGTCAGAAAATCCTGTTATTTCCATCTTGAAAATAATATCCAGCATCTGACCACCTCTCATCATTGTCACTACTACTCTACTGTTCAAGCTGTCATTATCTCTTGCCTGGATTATTGTATTGTAAATCATCTTCCTTCTTCCACAATTGACTGTTTATGCTTTTTGTGTTTCAGTCAAAGTCAGATCTTATCAGTTCCTTGCTCAAAAGTATCTAATTGGGGATGGGGGACACTGGTGATAGAGAAGGGAAGAGAGGCAGGGGAGGGAAGACCAGAGGCAAAGAGACTAAGTGTTTTTAAAGAATTAGACCATCATTCTCAGTAAAACAGAAAGCCTCTGAAGAGATTTAACAAGAGACTCACCTAGATTTTCATTTTACAAGGGTGTTTTGATAATATGCGCAGACCTCAAAAAACAGTGTGAGGATTTTTAGTACCCTTTAAGATTTGAGAACTTGAAGATTCCCAATAACCAATATTATAATGTATGTTTACAAAAAAAAGCTAAAAGTGATAGCATCTGCATGAATTGACTATGGTTTTTCTTGAGGACATTAAATAGATTCAATCCTCAATTCTTAATGCTTTTATGAGAAGATATAACACACAAAAAATCAGATAGGTAGACTCAGAAAATCCATAGAACCAACTCAGTCTTATATTGTCAGATTATATTAGGGTTGCTTCTGTGATTTGAATCTCACAGACTTAAATGATGTTGCTCCCCTGTTTGCCTTGTATGTAAGAATGAGGCTTATGCAGGTAAAGTTCTTATCAATCAGTTGAAATTGCCTCATCCTTCTCTGGGTCTATATGCATTTATGCTGGTATTACAGGATGCAATTGATAATAAAATGTTGACTTAGTACTTTAACTATTGTTTACAACAGTGTTTAAGGGCTGGGTGACTAAAATTTGCTTCATTCATGCCACTGTGCCCTCTGCTTGGGGTTAATTTTCTACTCCTAAACATGGAGGCCTACATTTCTAGTCTTCCTTAACAAGTCCTTATTGCTCAGTTTAATATTCTTCTCTTTATGAACTCTTTTACCCTTTTATTATAAATTCTACCTGGGCATCAAGTTAATGGTACAGCCAAAATGTGGATACTTTTCCTCCCAAGCCATCCTCAAACATACTCAGGGCGGGGAAGCGTACTGAAACTCATCCTAATAAAACCAAAACCAAAAGAATCTAACTTTCTTTGGAAAATGAATCTCAATAAAAAGCAGTATGATTTTTGCTTTTTATTCATCAGGAAGCTGCCAAGTCAAATGGCTTTATACAGCTTCTTTTTCTTATGTGGCAATAGTTATATTTGAGGGGAAATTAAATATCCAAGTTTTAATAAAATGAGACTTTAATATTTTAATTTATATTTTTTGTTACCCTTCTTACTATGAGTGGGAGACAATTCTCATGGGCCTCTTGTATTTCTGCATGTCTTTTGAGTGAGGCATTAGCTGTCCTTTGTTTTAAACTATCTTCTCAATGATGTTGAAATGGTGAACAGCTTTAAAATATATAGTGTTTCCCTCCAGAGCAAAGTGCAGCCATGCTTATTGCCCAGTGTAATGAAAATTACTATCTCCCTCCAGAGCAAAAGCCAGTAAAGTTACTGCCCATTAAAAAAGATTTGGTCTCCCTAAGCTCTGGGTTCTGCTCCTATAATATAAGCCACTGCATTTTTAGGCATCCATCTGGGCACATTTGTGTTTACCCCCACCCATGGGATTGGGGCAAGGGAAATTGACTCTGACATGATGTTGCTTGCAATGCTTGCTATGCCGCCAGTAATAAAGTCCCTTGTTTCTGACCTGGAAGTCTCATGTCTCCTGCTAGCATCCATGAAACTGTGTCAGGCTACCTTGTTAGCTTGCAAGGAGGATGAAATCTTAGATTCTTCACAGTTATTGCTAACTATGAAAAACATACTTTTAAATACCGTTAAAACAAGAGAAAATAAAACAGATTTAGAATCTATAGTGGGTGCTTCTGGAACATGAAACATATGCCTCAGAGTTTGCCCATACTTTTCTTTTATTTATTTCTTTTTTTTTTTTTCTTTTTTACTTAAGCTATCCCTCTGCCTGGAATTTCCTTCCTACCACACGTTTATCTAAGTCATTCAACACTGGCATTTGGAAAGCTTTTTGAATAGCATTACTTTTAACATGCATTTAAAAGATCAATGGCTCATGATGTGAAAACTGATTGAAATAAAGGGATTTATCCTTAGTTACAATTTTATACCATGCTAGGCAACGCTTTTACTAAGAAATGAATCATTTATTCTTTTACTTGAACATTTATTATGTACCTAGCTTGTGCCAGGTAGTGTGTTGAACCTTGAGGATACAGAGATAAGAAATTCTCCATTTGATGAAGCCCAGGAGCAAATGAATATAAAATAACAATATAATTATGTGAAAAGTTCTGTGACAATATAGATCTTATAATTTTCTCCCACCATGTATTAATGCCTTCCAGAGAGCAAGAGGTGGAGCCCCACAAACCATGGCTTTGAGCTGCTTTTGTGGCTCAGTGTGTAATGTTGTGGTACCCTATGACTTTTAACCTGCCATACCTTCTTGTTTCATTGTCATATACCACTGAGGGAGGAATGAACCACCATATAGACACTTATCAGTGAGAACTCTGGTTGCAAGTGAAGGAACACTGAAATCAAGTGGACTCTTAAAAGGGTGGTGGAAGGTAACATTTGGCTCACATCACTGAAATATGATGTGAGAAGCAAATATTTTGATATTGAATGTCCAGACACTTTTGGATCCAGGCATTTAAATGATGTCATTGAAATTCCACTTTACTCTTTCCTTTCCCAAGTTCCGTTTTCCCTCCTGTGGCTTCCATTCTCAGGAAGGCTCTTGCATAGTTCTGTCCAGATATCCGCCAGGCTTCTATCCTATCATTTCATTCATCTCTGAAAGAAAGAGAAATAATCTCAACAATTCCAATAAAAATTCTGGTCATAAGTCCCAGTCACGTGACTTGGATCACATGCTTATTCCTAAATAAAAATGCCTAGCTAAGGGAGTCTAGTGCTTAGATTTGCCAAGGAAAGGTCATATGACTCTTCCTGGAGTTTGAGGGAAAAGTGGATCCACTCCAACCATGTAAGCTGAACATGTGGAAGAGGTGGAGCCCCACAGAAATTCAGTTTGCTATAGCTAGATGAATGGGAAATGAATACTGGGCAGGTAAAAACAACAGATGCCTATTTGCCTAAAGATACTTTTTATTCAAAATGTTCAAATATAGAAATTATATATAAAAATATCTTGAAATCACAAAATAGAAAAGTGGTTTATTCGAATATTTTAGTAAAGCAGGTATCAAGCAATGACAAGATACAAAATGGTATCTTCGTTTTATATTGCTTTAAATTTTGGTCTAAACTGTATAATATTAAAATACAGTGAAATATTAGCTGCACATTTTCCCTCATTTTATTATTTTTTAAATTCAGCTAATAATACCTATAGGATGCCTATGTGGTTATGCTCAAAATACTGCCATTCACCTGGTGGTAGCTTGCCTAGATTAAAAAAAAAAAAGAAAGACTTTCTAAAGTACTAACCAACCTCAAAACCCTACCCAACTATTTTTTTCCCTATTAACATCAACCCAAATAACCAAATCTGATGTGAAAGTTTGAGATAGTATGGAAGAAGAGAAATGACATCTTAGCTCTTCCTTGAAGGTCTGTAATTTACAACAATTCATGCATAATAATGATTCAGCAAATTTTATTAAAAACTTCTCTATATAATATACTGTTATAGGTATCCTTAATATAAAGTAGGTACTTTCTCAGATATTAAAGTTCTAATTTATAAATCGAGACATCTTTTTATTACAATTTTATAAGTAAATTGCTAAAGAAATTCACTTGTGATAATAGAAATAAGGATATCTTTGGCAAATTGTACTGTTGCAAAATATATTTGCTACATTTTCTGGGAGGAAATTTATACTGTCCTGTCCATGTCAGGGAATCACGTGATTTGCTTTGACTGATCAAGTATGAGCTAAAGTGGCACATGCAACTTCTAACCAGAAACTTTAACAGCCGTTGGTTGGTTTTGCCATTTTCTCTCTTCTCCTCTGCTGGAATATCAGCAATTGTCTTCATATGTCATTGAAATACTGGGTCCTTGTTATTATGACATAACAACCTAAACTGACTGATACAAATCCAAAGATTTTAGAAGATACTATATCATCTTAAATGTGATTACCCTTTTGATCTGCAAATGGAGAGCCCTTTTGCCACTCTCACCTGAAGGTCAGAGAGATATAGTCTGTACTGATTAAGAAGAACTCAATATCTTGGATATTGGTGATAAGCTGTGTGTGATTAGCTTGCACTGATTCTGCCTAGACATTGCATATATCTTAAAGAAGATGAGTTTCTTTGTCAGGACTCTGAGATCAAAGGAATTGAATAGTCCCTTACTAATTTACTTCAGAGAACGCTAATATTTGACTTTGTGTCTTGGCCAGTCCTTTAGTAGTGATGTGACTTACATCTTGTCCTTCGCTACTATTTTGTAGTTTCGTGTTTTCATTCATGGTGAGTTCAAATATGTTTACTAAAATACTTCAATCAACCACCTGGTATAATCATATTCAATTTTGTAAGAAATTCTAAGGTAAAAGTCACTTGAAAGATAAATTTAAACCCTTACTATTTTCTTGCTCATCTCTATGAACGATAGAGAAGTTTAGCATATTATCTACCTTCTGGATATATAATTTCAAATTATGTGTATCAATAGCAGGTACAAATTCCAACCCATAAGGATTATTATTTTTAAGGACTTAAAAAAAATTCATGTAGATCACCCATTCTTCTAGATAGCATAAACTTATTATCAGTTAATTCAAGACATCACTGTCTTGTCATCTCACTCTGATTGTTTATCTCAATTACAGTGGGATTACTAATGTCATGAAAGGCTTTTGGACAGTAAAAGTTGGGTCCTTGTCATTCTCCACATACACTGTTATCTGCCACAATGCTTGTATTTCCCCTGATTTTTGATCATTGGTCTTTGATCATGATCAGTGTGTAGCTGTATCTCCTTAACCCCGCCTTAAGACCCCACACTACATCCATTTTCAATGTCACATTTCTGCCACCCTTAGGTGGTGGGAAACATTTTGCTCCTTCCTGTGTCATACTCAGAGGCACACTGAAACGTACTCCATCAGTTCTCTCTTCCAGGGAGCCATTTCTTCTTGAAATCTTGACACTTTGCTGGCCTTTCCTGGGAAGAGGGTAGAGAATATATGTTCCCTCAGCAATCAGAGTCCCCAGAATTACCTGGAGGAATCAATAGTCTGCTCCTCCCTGCACTGGGAATTTTCAGGGAAATTGGAAATAGGGACTAAGGCCCATTCTCAGGAACTCCTTATTCTCTAAACTTTCCTCTGCTGTTCTAAGGTATCCTTTATCTGCAGATTGTTGATTCAGTCTGGTATGTTACTCTGACTCTTCCACTGATCTTTCAGAACCCATTGTTTATACCCTAATCCAGCCTTTTTGAGATGCAAAAGCCAAGAACTTGAAGTCTTACTGACTTCATCCTTCTGTCATTTCTTACTTAAAGTAATTTGCATAGAATATAGTATTTGTTACCTGAACAGGGGAAAGAACAGAATAACAGAAAGTGACATGTATTCCAAAAAACACAACCACTTTTATATCAAAATATTATTCTATCACAGATGCATACATAAAAATGCATAGTCATAGATTAAACAAAACTCACAAACTTTGGGCTCTTGGCATAGCATGTTTTCATAAAAGGCCAGACATTTTTATATATAAATTAATATTTGTTTTCATTGGCCTTTCCATCTATTCCTGTCTGTATACCAGGGTGGCATTTTAGTACATATTAGAAATCTATGCCAACCAGCATGTCATGGAACACATTAACTGGATTCATGCCTATTCTATTCAATAAAGTTATCTCTTTAGACTGACATCTTCTTCATCTATTATAATTATTACTCTCAGTAAAGAGTGCTAGAATGTGCTTCAATTTTACACATTTTAATGCACTATCAGATCTTACTACCAGACCCAGTCTTTTCTCTTTTAATAAGGGAAGTTTTATGGTGATTCTAGACAGTAACTAACATGAAAGAGCCAAAATGAACAAAATCAAATGAAGGATACAAGAAAATAGAAATAAATTTGAAATAATGTGTTCCTTGTTTATGAAAACTAGTCTGTATATTTTTAATAAACAATGAATTATTCCTTTCCTTTTAGGGGTAATTTTGAGAAAAATGTTGGAGTAGATCACTGGACAAGCCATTAATAATGTAAATTGAATCAATAATGATAGACACTCATTACAGGGAAACTGAAAAATAACTTTTAAACGCCATTTTTCTTTTTTCCCAAATGAGAATTCTGTGTACCTGAGAAAGCACTTGATTAAGGGTTTAAAAGAGGTACTAAGTTTGGCTCTGCTAGTAATAAGTAATTCACTTTATTTCTGTGAGCTGTATTTTCTTCAACAATAACAGAAGAGATTGGACTATGTCAGTGTTTCCCAAAGTGTGGAGAGCATACCACTGGTGTCACTCAGGATAATTTTAGGTTGTATATCAAATAACAGAGTGAGAGAGCCATTCTTTTTTGAATTCTACCATCCTGATCCTGATTAAGCCAAAGATTAAGTCTTGTGGTGCTAGTTTTGGGGTTACTTGGTGTTACTTGTTCTGCTTTTTGAGGATAAGAACGGACTTTGAAATCAGAGCCTTTTGGTATGTAATAGCTTCTAGATAAAGCATTGTGTGTTTATTGTATTAATTTTTTGGTTATCTTCTTTGGGACAAGGGATGTTGATTTCCCATGTATGATAATAGAACAAAGTTGCCTTTTAGTTTTAAGAAAAGCATTCTATTAAAAAAAAAAAAAAAAGGAAATGAAAATGCAGGTAGAATGTCCATGACTAAATTTTTGATACTGCTGGAGAGGTGATCTATAAGGACATTTCATAGAGTTCAATATCATTTTGTTTTATTTTGGTTTTGGTCAAGGTGAAAGACAGCATGGTATAAGTTAAATTGTCCTCCCTTTGACTTATTAAGCAGAGTGCATAGTGGTAAAATGAAGTTCAGAATGTAAATTCAGAATATAAATAATACACATCTTCTGGAGCATCAGTCTTACTTGAAGACTTCAACAGCTGAATTCACAGACACATAACGAACATACAAACAGATGTATTGAGGAATAGATGCTAAATTTGTTTGAATTTGCAGGATAAAGCACTACTCTTCAAATACATTGTAAATTCTGCTTATTGCAGAATTGAGCAAAGAGAAAGTGCACTATTTTGAAGGAGGGAATGTAAATACGTGTGTGTGCGTGTGTGAGAGAGGGACCTCACAGAAATGAAGTGAAAACCCCAAAGAGACAGTCAGATCCAGAGGTTTATATACCATTTTTAAAAACAGCAATAAATTCTTAGAGAAGTGACAAGACAAAGGAAGACAAAGGAAAGGGTTTTGAGCCTCTAGGGCAGTGAATTCTAGGAAAGTAAACATATGGGGAACCTAATGGAAGGCAGGGGTTATTTTAGCAGGGCTTGTTACATATATTCCTCTCCTCTCGGTACCATCTATCAGCTAATAAGAGCCTAGAGTCTTGCTGAGAGCAGGTAGGGGGAACACATTCACAAAGGGAAATTTATACCCCTCTTTTAGACAAAAAAGGTGAAGATAGAGAGCTGCTTTCTGTGTCTGATGTTTCTCAGTTGCCTTCAACTCAAAATAATCCTTATGGCAGAGTGACGTTTTGGATGGCATACTCTGATCCCCTTCAAGGACAATATGCAGAGGTCATGAAGACCATCTGGTGCCAAAAATAGAGACCCTGAAATTACAGAGTATTTCCACTGTGAGCACAGAAGTGATCCAGTCATGAATATATCTTGGAGTTTGACTAAAAGGAGCAGGGTCTGAATGAGGTCAAATTGCTCCCACTCCCTTCCTTGTTCACCTCCTCTCCATACTAACACTGTTGTAATGAGAGTAACTACATGCAAGTGAAGTACTTGCACAGAGTCACAATGGCTTGAGGCCTAGCCAGCTCCACCTTGGGAGAAAATCTGGGAAGAAAATCAGGAAAAAAGGGTTTGTGCTGAAGACAAAAACTGAAGAGAATAAGGGCTGGAGGGAAGAATTCAGAGTGATATGAAAAGGATTAAAATAATCCTATATACTTGAGAGTGTCTGGGGAACTGCTTTTATATCCCTGCAAGCCACCACTTGTATAAACAATGAATTATACTCTTGCACACTTGCTTTTTCTCCTTTCTTTGACCCATTAGTAATATTGCCAGGAAAGAAACGTGGGTTTGAAAAGAGCAGAAATTCATTCTCCAGGTGATCTGTATTGTGTGCTTAGAATGGGGCAGTTGAAACTTCTTGGTACTTATGTTCCTGCCGCCCCCTCCCCCCCGACGCCGCCACCCTCCCGCCCCCTACTCTGGGGAAATGGGAAGGGAATCAACAAGAAAAGCATACTGCATCTCTAAACTCCAACTTCACAGTCTTCTAGCCATAAAGGACTTTTGATAGAAGAGTTTGAAAAGCACCGAGAAAGAGACCAGGCTTAGAAAGTCTTGAAGCCCTTGTTTAGCATTGCAGCTGTGGGATCTTGGGAGAGTTTTCTTGCGTCCTGAGCCTCCTTTCCTTATTAGTCTTATCCACCAAAGGTTGCAGGAGGTATTCCATGCCTGATAGAATAGTGGTAGACAAAAAGGAAACTAGGAGCTTTTTAAAAATTCAGAAAATGCATATATTTATACATAAACCAAGGCTTGATGGAGAAGAGGTGCTCAGTAAATACTTAGTGAATGATTGGATGCCAGTGCCAATTCTGACACTCTCAGAAAAACCAGCCAAAATGTGCCTCTTTGAGAAAACAATATTTTTATACCCTGTGGCAGTATTACTTGGTTACACCAGGTACTTTGAAAAATACTTCCATTTTTCAAATCCAGAGCAACATTCTGAGGTGTGCTATGAAAAAGCCAAACTCTGCAAAATATTCGAAGAGATTTATGTTGAGCCAAATGTGAGGACTATGACCCATAACGCAGCCCCAGGCGGTCCTGAGAACACGTGCCCAAGGTGGTTGGGTTATGGCTTGGTTTTACACATTTTAGGGAGACATGAGACATTAATACATGTAAGATGTGCAATTGGTTTGATCTGGAAAGGCAGGACAACTCAAAGCAGGTAAAGGTGGATTCAAAGATATTCTGATTGGCAGTTGGTTAAAAGAGTTAAGTTATTATCTAAAGATCTGGAGTCAATAGAGTGTCTCGGTTTAGATAAGGGATTGTGAAGACCAAAGTTCTTACAATGTAGATGAAGTCTCATAGGTGGTCATCTTTAGAGGCAATAGATGGCAAATGTTTTCTATGCAGACCTTCAAAAGGTGCTGGACTCTCAGCTAATCTCTTCAGGATCAAAAAAGACCTGGAAAGGGAAGAAGATTCTCTACAGAATGTAAATTTACTCCATAAGAGATAGCCTTGTCAAAGAGATATATTTTGGTGTAAAATACTTTTCTTTCTTTCAGGACCTGCTATTTGTCATGTGATACTATACTAGAGTCAGGTTAGAATTTGGTATCTTATTGCCACAAAGGGTCTGTTTGGTCAGTCTTAAGATCTCTGTTTTAATGTTAATACTGGTCAGTTGTCCCTGAATTACCAAGGGAGAAGCATATAATGAGGCAAGTTTGATGCCCCCTTCCCATCATGGCCTGAACCAGTGTTTCAGGGTTTTTTGGAATCCCCTTGGTCAAGAGGGGGGGTCCATTCAGTTCTTTGGGGGGCTTAGAATTTTATTTTTGGTTTGCAGGTGCTTTACAGTGTTTTCCCCATAGAGGCAGAGTTCTAGAATTTCCTACTTTAGTAACATTTAGTAAACATTGTGTGTCCACATGGCCACCATTGATGTAGCTTCGATGGCTTACTACTAAGTTCCTGCAAATGTATCTCTCAATATATTCCTTAGAGAGCAAGCACAGATAAGAAGGAAAGTGAAGATGGGTAAAAACTAACTTTTTGATGCAAGCATCCCTGGCACCCTTCAGTATCAACGTAAGTACTTTTTAATCAATTGTATTTTGCCAGAGGATGGGCCTCTGTTAGGAGCAGTAATTGCTGCACTTCACTTCTTGCCGTGACTTCAGGGAAAGGTTGACCCCAGGCACTGACCTGAGTTTACTTGGCAAGAGATCCCTGAGGGCTTTCATCTAGTACAATTTTTGAAATCAGCTTTTATATTTTGTTGACTTTCTGAAATTCTCCAAAGCAAAATAAATCTCTCTGTAGAGGTGTTATAGGAAAAGGGTCCTGATCCAGACCCCAAGAGAGGGTTCTTGGATCTCATGCAAGAAAGAACTCAGGGCAAGTCCATAGGCTAAAGTGAAAGCAAGTTTATTAAGAAAGTAGAGAGACAAAAGAATGGCTACTCCATAGACGGAGCAGCCCTGAGGACTGCTGGTTTTTATGGTTATTTCTTGATCATATGCTTAACAAGGGGTGGATTATTCATGCCTCCCCTTTTTAGACCACATAGGCTAACTTCCTGATGTTGCCATGGCATTTGTAAACTATCATAGTTTGGTGGGAGTGTAGCAGTGATGCCAACCAGAGGTCACTTTCCTTGCCATCTTGGTTTTGGTGGGTTTTGGCTGGCTTCTTTACTGCAACCTGTTTTATTAGCAAGGGCTTTGTGACCTCTATCTTGTGCTGACCTCCCATCTCATCCTGTGACTTAGAATGCCTTACCCATCTGGGAACAGGTCTCAGCCTTATTTTATCCAGCCCCTATTCAGAATGAAGTTGCTCTGGTTTAAATGCCTCAGACAGAGTCATGACAGCCTTATGTATTTCTCTGGCCAGTGGTTCCAGGATGGGGTAAGGTATGCCGCAAGCTTGGCAGATCTTTGGAAAACTTGTTCAAATGAGCTGTTGGTATAGAGAGTGTTGTGGCAGTCACAAAACACTGTCTTCATCTTATGAAGTCATATTCAAAAAATTAAAGTTTATTTTCCCAAACAAGGTAATGTTTCCATTTAACTATACCAATCGACTTCTGTATTAGGTAGGAACCGTTGTTTGCAAATATTAGAGACTAGACAGATGTGTGTTAAGAAAAGGTAGAGATAAATGTATCAGCTTGCCAGGTTTCTCACAGAATCCAAGGACCAACATCCAGTTTCTCAGGAAACACTAGAGGCAAGGTCTGGGCTTGACTCCATCTCCTCTTTTTGCTCCCCAGTTCACGCAGCGGAGCAAACCCAGGTCTTTGTGGTACACACCAAGCCCTTGTGCTCCACCCTCGGACTTGTGTGCCATTCCACAGGCCCCTCTTCCTTCAGAGCAGCATTCCCCAACCCCTTTTCCAGGACAGCCTGGCTTCCCACCCACTGTCTATCAATCAATCACCTCACTTTTCCTTTCATTGCACTTAAACCAGTGGGAAACTGATGAGTTTACTTGTTATCTATCCCCCATACTTGAATGTAAGCTTCATGAGAAGCTTATTCATGTCTCTCTTGCCATCATCTAGAGAGACAAATGCTTCCCACATGGTAGGGTCTGAATAAATATTGACTGAATTAATATATAAATACAGGTTCAGCTGTGAGGGACCCAACAATCAACTTTCCTCTCAGGTAGAAATCCCCTATGATTAGGGGTAGCCGGGCAGGTACAGGAGACTATTATGAGTGAGGAGATACTCCCCAAAATGTCCACTACGACTTGGCTAGGTAGGACAGACAAGAATTTCCTTCCCTACCCATCAGTGAATGTTTGATAATTTGAGTTTATAAAATAAACTGGCAATAGACCAGTTAACAGGAAAGAAGGTATACATATTTATTAACACATGTATGGACATGGGAGTTAGTTATACACGAAGAGTGAGACTCAGAAGAGGGGCTAAGATGACTGAAGTTTTTATATTATCCTGGGGGGACAGGAAGAATATGGACTTTGAACATGTCGGGGGGGGCGTTATAGGAGGGAGAGAGGAGGAAAGGCCTGGGAGTGAAGGGGTCCTGTTAGGCAGATGAAACCTCTCAGGTAGCAGCTCTCAGAAGGAACAGACAGGAGCTTGTGGTAAACGCTTCTCTGTCAGAACCTTATATTGTCAGACTTCAGCCTCCTTTTCCTGTGAGTTAATCTTTCCTAGATCCAGATAAGAGGTCCTCAGAGAAAGTCTGTTTGCATCTGTTGTTTACTTCATTTTACTAATGTGGATTTCCTCTCCAGATGCAAATCTCCCGAACAAAAGGGCAGCTTTTCAAGGCTAGTTTTGTGATCTGCAGCCCCTCAGAACAGGCATCTCAAAATATGCCAAAGGAGTTGAGATATTCTGGTTTCTTTCAGCTAGGTTAGCCAACTTCTAGTATTTTCCCAACTAAACAAGGAGTTACGTATTACACAGTGGCCTTGCCTTTGAGCTGCTTAATCCTAATCCCTTCACCAATCCAGTGATTTCACCAGCTCAAAGAGCTAATTGTGGCATTCACAGAGGATCCTGGTATGAGTCCCAATTGTGTCAACTAAATGCTCTAGTTTCCTATTCACTCCAGCATACGTGAAAGGAATTGCAAATTATAAGCTTGGGATTCATATTTATAATTGACCTTCATTATTCACAAATTCCATACTTGTGAATTTGCCTGTTTCTAAACTTTATTTGTAACCCAGAATCCACATTCACTGTGTTTACACATTTATTTATGGACATGTGTAGAGCAGTAAGAAATTGGAGTCATCCAACATACACACTCCCAGCTGAGGTGGAACCAGGTGATGTTCTGCCACTTTGTTTCAGCTCTTCTTGTAAACAAGCATCTTTCTTCATGGTCTATTGATTGCCACATTTTTTGCACTTTTGTCCTTTGATTTTGCTGTTTAAAATGGCCCCCAACTATAGTCCTGAAGTGCTGTCTAGTGTTTTTAAGCACAAGAAGGCTGACATGTGCCTTATAGAGAAAAATATGTGTTAGATAAGCTTCATCAAACATGAGGTACAGTCCTGTTGGCTATGAGATCAATATTAATAAATCAATACTATTTATTAAATAAGGTATCTTTAAACAGAAACACACATAAAACAAAGTTATGTATTGATCAGTTGACAAAAATGTCATGACCAGAGGCTCACAGAAACCTAAGCCTATGTTTCCCCTAGGAGCAGTGGCTCAAAGGAAAAAGGACTTAGTACCCGTGATTCCAGCATTCGAAGTGCCTTGATAAAACATAACTGTTGTGATTAATGAGAATTGATCGGACGTGTTAATCCAGTGAAATTTAGTTCAAGGGATTTTCATACCTGTTTTTATTTGCTACATCATGTAGATCTCAGTTGAAGCATATCTTTTTCTCAAAACAAGCCATTCAGAACACAAATCTTTTATTTTTTTTAATATGCATCCTTTCAGAGAATCATTCTGTTTTTCTTTACCACTTGTCTACATTGATCCCAGGCCATTGGTGTCAGGTTTGTGAGAATTGTATAAATATATCCATAAATATCGGGAGTGCAAGCACTGTTCTACCGTTGACTGGAGAAACAGAGATTGTATTTCTTTAGTTCACTGTTGACAGGCTCAGGAAAGGGCTCATTGAGCCATAGAAGTTGACATTTGGCACAATTCATTCCACCTCCAGAGTAGCGAAGCTTCAGGAAACCATCTTCCATTCTTTCTAATGTTTCTGGTCAGTCATCATATGGCTTGCCACTTGTCTTGGTCCTGAAATTAATTAAGAAATAATAACGGAAAGGGGAAAGTAGGAAATAGGTAAGATGAATAATGATTAAATTCAATGCAATTATTATGAATTGACTCTAGAGTAAATGGAAAGGACAGGAGATGATAGCCTTTAAGACTGGTGGAAACTCATCAGCAAAGGGTAATTTGGTTGCTGAAGTCAGACTTCAAACTCAGTGAGGATTATGCAGGGCACAACTGAAAAGAAAGGTGGACTTGTTACACTTGCACAATTAGGGCTTGCAAATGGTCTTTTTCGGTCAGCTTTGGCTTGCTCATTATGTTGGCTTTCCCCCATCCTGAGTGACTAATCCATGCCGCCATTTCATCATCATCAATCTTTCCTTCATTCATTGTGCATTTACTTGGAGCTGCTATGAGTTTCTAGACAAGATGAGACTGAGAGATGCTATATTGTGTAAAGTTTAACTGTTTGGACTGTAATTCAAGAGTGCCTGGATTTGAATTGCAGCTTGCCACTTATTAACTATGTCATTTCAGTCTGGTTAATTAACCTGCCTGGGCCTCAATTTCCACAACTGTGAAGTACAGATAAACACCAGGCCCCATAAGGCTGTTATGAGGATTAAAAGAGATCATCCTCATATTGATGCTCTGTGCAGTGCCTGGCATAGAGCAAGTACTTTTCTGAGAAACAGAAGAGTGACCACTGTGCCAAGGTGTTCTTAGAAAGGAAGAGTGGTGCAAGACAAGGTAAGCAGGTCAGAATCCTGCGGGGCCTCACAGGGAGCCAAGGCAAAGATGTTTAAACAAATTCTTAAATGTCTTTGCATGGTTTGAAGCAGGGCACTGACAGCATTGTTTGCAAGAAAAGAACGTGTATTGCCGAAACTATATTTAGTATAAATGATTTTTTTAACTAGAAAAATTTGCAAGACAGCCTTACTACTCCACTTTTGTTCAGCCTGATCAGCCTCTGAGCTACCCCACAGTGCTCCTAAATACCCTGACATAAAATTCTGCTAGGATGCACTAACTTTGATGTTGATGATAAAAGCACTGGTGAAAGAAGCATTAAGATCTGATATCCATGATGTGCTTACCCTTGTCAGTTTAACAGGCATTATTTTACTCAAACCTCACCACTTCCTGCCACTGTCTTATTATCCCATTTTATGGATGAGGAACTGAGGCTAGAAATCTCACAGTTAGGAAGCACCTGGATTTCCACTGCACATTTTCTGCTCCAGGGCTCACTGGTTTCTCACTGATTTCCAGAGGGGACTTGAATGTGATGGAGACACAGCCCTGTGGTCAGACAAGCTGTCTTAGCTCTGCCTCTTGCCTCTGTGCCCTCAGTTTTCCTATTTGAAAAATGTGCGTAATACCACCTACTTCAGAGTGGTTGTGAGGAATCACTGTATACAAAGCAGTCAGCATAGTGCTAGGCATATAGTAACCACTTCTTAAATGTTCTACTATGGTCATTATTTTGCTGCATTGCCAGTTCACTATGGTGTTTTCCGGATCTAATGCACAGAAGGATTAGAATGCTTTGTTTCCTTAAAAGGCTTCTCCTTCCCATTAACCAGCTCCCTTGTCTCTGAGACAGCGTGTCATGCATGATAGAAACACAGCCCATCCCCTGTAAAGGACTGCTATGTCATTTACACATCTGTTCCTCCTCCCTCGATAGGGGTGGAACAGAGAAGCTCTTTAGGCACACATTCAGGAAGCTAAGCCCCAATTCTTTCTAAACTAGTTTTCTCCATATTATGCTTTTTAATTAAACCTTTCAAGGTTTAATTAGGAAACAACATGAGTCATCTTTGTTTCTGAAAATGTATTTGTGGTTTGGCTAATTATGTAGTGAGATTTAATATGATTTCTCCTCATGTGTGAAATTAATACATTGAATATTTTTAAAAGGAAAACATCTAAAGCATTTACCTGGGCACCAGATGGTGAGCAAATAATCAGTTCAAAGGAATTCCTCTTAAAGTAATGCTAAGAAAAGCTGTGCTGGCTTTAACTGGGTCACTTTACATAGGATGCCTCAAAGAGAGAGAAACACTGTCTCTTAACCAATACATCCATTCCTGCAGCCTTTAGTGTCACTCCATTGCTTGGAGATAAGATCTAGCTTTCTTTACAAGGTGCTTCACTCTAATACTGACTCCCACCCAACTCGTGAATGCTCTTCTCCAACTACATCCTACACTGTCATTCTTCAAAACCATGACGCTCCCTCATGCCTTGGTGGTCTTGTACATGGTGTGGTTCTCCCTGCAGTGCCTTGTCTCATTGTTTTTGGATAAACTTATCTGCATTTGAGTTAACAATATCTTTATTTTCTGTATTCTGATGCTTTGACATCATGGGGGAATTGCTGACGCTGGAGGAACTGCCTCTTGCAGGGTTGGTGAATTCCTAGACACAGCAAACAGCTGCCTACCTGCAAACCTCCTTATTTCATATGCAAACCATCTAATCTAGGGAACATATCCAACCACCTCCATGATCAGGCTCTCACTTTCTGGACCACTGTCTCCCTCCCCTAATCACTCCAGGGTCAGGTGCCAGACAACTGGGGACAGCCCCTCCACCCAACACCACTGAAAAATTCCTCAAACTAGCCCATCCTAAGCTTGCTATGTCTTTGCTTGGTCTCTCCATGGAACCCACAATAGAGGCTCCTGCCCACATTTTCCCTTCACTCCCTGTGCCTCCTGACCAACCCCCAAGGCTTTCCTATGTGACCCCTCTTGAGTGGCATGATATGCCTCTGCCTCTAGGGATCTGTAGGCATAAGGTTCTTCCATCCTGACAGTACTTTCTATGTCTGCTTGTTTTAACTGTAACCAAGATTTGTCATAATTGGTTATAGTAAAACATCTTTCCAAGTGCAGCTCAAAAGCTACTTTCTCTGTGTTGGCCTCTCCATTTCTCTTCCAAAGATGCTTACTGTTCACAAGCTGCATTGTAATACAAACATGTCTGTCTTCCTCATTAGGCTAAGCTTTCCTAAATTCCATGCCATGTTCTTCTCTGAATTCCCAACCTTTAGCATGAGGCCTGACATAAGTACTATGCAGTACACATGAGGAGTACGTGAATGAAATGAAAATAATACACCCTTTCAAGCTGAATCCATTAGTAGCAGATGAGTCAGAAAATAGTAGGGTATGAATGTTTCCCTAATTCTCCCAATATGAATGGGCACTGTAACTTGTTGGTTCAAAGTACAAGTCCCTCAATTTCAACTATGCCATGTCCCAAGTATGTGGCTTTGGAAAAGGTGTTTCTTCTCAATGTGCTTTGGTTTTTTTATCTTAAATATAGGGATAATAGGCCAGGCTCAGTGGCTCACACCTGTAATCCCAGTACTTTGGGAGGCCGAGGTGGGTGGATCACTGGAGCCCAGGAGTTTGAGACCAGCCTGGGCAACATAGCAAGACCCAGTCTCATAAAAAGAAAAAAATATAAATTATTTTATATAGGGATAATAGTAGTATCTATCTCCAAGTGCTTTAAAGATGAAATGGGCATGGTGGCTCACATCTATAATACCAGCACTTTGGGAGGTTGAGGCAGGAGGATCGCTTGAAGCCATGAGTTCAAGACCAGCCTGGCAACAAAGTGAGACCCTATTTCTACCAAAAAAAAAAAAAAAATGAAAGAAAAAAATTAGCCAGGTATGTTGGTACATGCCTGTAGTCCCAGCTACGTATTATATTATATATATATAAAGATGAAAAGAAATAAGGCCACAGGTCTTTTGACAAACTCTTTGCTCTACCTGTAATACTCTTTTCTTCTCCTCCTCTACTGCCTAACCCCTCCTTACCCTTGATGTCACAGCCCCAGGGCCACTTTATTAGAGAAACCTTCTCTTATGTTTATGTATACAAATATGCACACACACATACAGAGAGAGAGAAGTGGAAGGTGGGGAAAATAGAAAAAGATTTATTTTAAGGAATTGGGTCACACACTTGTAGAGGCTTGGCACACAAAATTTTCAGGGTAGGCCAGCAGGTGGAGACCCAAGAAAAGGTTGCAGTTTTTTTGCCAAAAGACTGCCTTTTGATACAACTGTTGTTCTTCCAGGGAAGTCAGTCTTGTTCTATTGAGACTTTCAACTGATTGGATGAGGCCCACCCACATTCTGGAGCCTAATCTGCTTTACTCGAAGTCCACTGATATAAATGTTAATCTCATCATATATTATAGATATATATATGATGTATATATACACACACACACACAGAGAAACATCTAGAATAATGTTTGACCAAATATCTGGACACCGTGTCCTAGCCAAGTTTACACATATAATTAACCATTAGAGATTGTAACCTGAATGAGGGCAAGATTCAGTTTAATATGCCTAACTGCTGTATCTAGCACATTAATAATTATTTTTCGAGTGGACATACAGTACTGCAGAGTACATACCTAAATGCATAGTCTGTGGTGGATGGTGTTGCACTATACAATAGAAACTTAGGAAACAGCCAGGACCCAGCAATTTAAACGGCTGTCATATGATGAAAGGAAAGTTCCCAGAACATCCACTAGTGAAGGTCTGTAAGAGGGGTGATAGGTAGAGGGAACCAACAAGATGACCCTTTAGCCTAGGCCCTAAGCACAGAGGGTGACGGCAGTCAAAGAAACTTTTTTTTTTTTTTTTGGCTATCTGTCAGTTTTTGTTTCCAAACCCCAATGTAGACTTTAATAAGCAGAGCTGGATCACACTTGGGTCACAAGGATTACACAGTTCTCCTTAATCTCCTTTTACCAAAGACTGACCCAGAGAGAAACACTCTCTAACAGAGGCCCACCTCAAATGCCTTACTGCTCCTTCCAGGTACTTAGCTCCTACCCTGGTAGTCCCAGAAGCTCTACCCCTGCCTTCTCTGCAGGAGGGAATGAGGACTGGCAGAACTTTCAGATGCCACAAGGAGCCAAAAGAGACCACGTTTGTGTACATCACTTTTTATCTAAGTGTTTCAATGAACAGTCACCGAGCATCAATTCAACAAATGGATATTGAGCACCAATTATGGGGAAAGGAGATGCAACAGGCCATATAACTAATAAGCAAAGGTCAGGCAGGAATAAATATTAGGGAGAAAAAAGAAAGTAGGACCAGTAGGAAGGTGAGCATCTGGGGAGGATTCTGTTATAAATGGGTGGTCAGGAACGACCTTTCTAATCAGCTGACATTTAAGCATACACCTGAAGGGACTGAGCCAAGTATATATTTGGGGAAATGTGTTTGTGCAAAGGTCCTGAGGATGTATCATGCTTTGTTCGGGGAAGAGCACAGTAACTGATGTATCTAGAACAGGGTGAAAAAGGGGAAGAATATTCAGACAGGAGGATGGAGAAGCAGCACGGAGCCAGATGCAATGAAGCATTCTGGATGATGTAAAGACTGGACCTCTCTCCCTGTCTGAGGTGGCTACCACCTGTGGGTTTTGAGCAAAGGCCTGAAATCAGGGTCATGAAGAATCAATGGGTGCCCAGCAGAGGGCCTGTACTCTGAAACAAAAGGCAATCTCCCAAAGAAATCTTTATTTTCTAATTCACTCAAAGTTACCTTTTGCTCATAAAGTTTGCTTTCTAAGGATTACTACTTTGGTCCAGATGTGCCACCTTTATTACATTCTGGCTTCTGTGAGGAGAAATGACTGTGGGGGCAGGGAGGAAAGCCAGGAGATCAGTTAAAGAGGCTTTTGCAAAACCCAGGGAAGATAGGATGGTGCCTTGGACTAGGATGGCAGCAGTAGACATTTCGAAAAGTGCTTAGATTTTGAATATATATTGAATGCAGAGATAATGGGATTTCCTGGCATGTTAGTGTGTGGATGTGAGAGAAAAGGATCAGTGATAGCCTCAATGATTGTAGCCTGAGCAACTGGAAAATGAGGCTGCACACAGCGGAAACGGGGAAGGCTCTGGTGGGGCCTAGGCCTGGAGAGTTGGGGAGGGGAAGAAATCAGAAGTTTAGTGTACATGTGTTAAGTTTGAGATGTTTTAAGTTGGATATACAAGTATGGAGTTCAAGGCAGAAGATGTCAGTATAGGAGTAATCTGTGTAGAGATGGTAACCAGGCCAGGATACTGGTTAAGATCACCTAGGAGGTAAGTATTGATTAAGGTCAGGAAGATGAGGAGGAACCAGTATATAAGTCTAATAAAGAACTGCCAGTGAGATAAGAGGATAATTGAAAGAGATGTTCCAGAAGGCCAGTGTTGATAGTTTCAAGAAGGAAGGAACAATGAATGGTGTCACATGCTGCTGGAAGATTGACTAATGAAACTGGCACTGGACCGTTCAGTTTTTTCTCATCATGGAAATGGAGAGAGCTAAAATCACCAAATATTTAAAGGAGTTTTGATATCAAAGGGAGAGAAATTAGGCAGTAGTTGAAGGGGAATTTGGGATCAATGGATCTAATGGAGCACATCTGCATGCAGATTAGAGTGAAGCAAGAGAGAAAGAAAAATTGATGATACAGAAGAGAGGCTAGCAAGATGGTATGCTCAAGTGGGGAAGAGAAGACCCAGAGTGTGAGCAAGGGCTGAACCCTAGCAGCATGGAGAGTCCATGTAGAGCAACAGGGTGGGAGACAAGGTGAGGACTGATGCAGAGTGAGTGGGTGTTGGGAATATATGGAAGTCCTCTTCTGATGGTTGTCTTTTTCTTAGTGAAATAGGAAGCAAGGTCATTAGAAAAGAAAAGGAAGACTGTCACATCTATATCACCTTCTCTTTTGATTCCAGTGTCTCCCAATTGGAATCCCAAAGAACCAGAGCAATTGATTACAAAAGTACTTGGCAACTGAAAAGCATGATCAGTCGCAGAAATAATGATTATTTCTTGAATGACTGTGATCTCTATAAGCCTTGAGTGCCCTATAGTTTATTCCTAGAGCGAAATCATATTTCACTGGCGAAGTAATTTAGGAAGGAACGCCATTCTGCTGACTAACTCAGAAGCCCACAGTGTAGTCGATTCTCCTTTTGCCTCCCCCTTGTCTCTTTTTTATTAAGTAGATCAAATTAGCCTCTCCTCTCAAATTGCATCTCCCAATACTGAAAGCTCTAAAGAAAAACAACACACAAACAGAGTAGCAAAGACAAATTCTGCAAATGAAGGGAACAGAACAGAGAAGATAATCTGAGCAGGCAAGACCAAGTTTGATTCTTGGCAGACATAGGAGGAAAGAAAGCTGTGAATACTCACACATTAATGATTTTTATATTGTCACAACTACAATCAAAGCCCTGATGACAGTGTTGTCATAAAGTCTATACAGCCACTACTCTTGGCTTGGGTTTACTGTGTATCCTGGGCTACAGGTTCAGAATTCACCATGATAAATTATTCCAAGACTGTTCAAGCTCCCCTTATCACACTGTGTTTTAGTATCTCTTCCCAAGCCTAAAATACAATGTGTACTTTTACACCAAATATAGAATCTCAGAGAAAGAAGCTTGGAGTTTATCTTATCCAATGCTTCTTCCAGTTCCAGAATTATTCTTATACATTCCCTGGCAGCCAGCCATTTGTACTTTATAAACAGCCTCAGTTATAGGTCGACCATTCCACTTATGGGATGTTTTGTATTATAACAAGCTGAAATCTCTCCCTTCTACTTCTAACTTTTGAATCTTTGACTACTCTCTGGGGCCACACAAGACAACACACATCCTATCACCTTTTTGTGGGGACCCAGCCACCATCTTTCCTCCATCTTGCCCAATAAAGGTGCAATCACTTTCTGAATCACAAATATGTCTTCATTTAGGGTAAAAGCTTTTTGTATAATCTTTGCTTGCTAGTAAATTAGACATTTAAAAAACGAATATGCCTACTGGAAGTGAAGTTCTGAGTAGTCCTTTGCCTAGAGAGGGTTAAAAGCTTCTGTAATGCCAGCACTACCAAATTTAACGGAAAGGACAGAACTGGATGAAATTATATTTTAAATGATATATCTGCCAGGATTACTACAAGGAATGAAAGGGAAGGAGCACCAAGTTATCTGAGATTGAAAGGTAAAATGAGGGAGAGTTGCTCACCCTGCATCCCACTGAACTGTCACCTCCATCCTGCTCCTGAACATCTTTCCTCTGTCACACATTCATTCAGTGGCTGCAGGCTCCAATCTTTGAGCTAGGTGCCAGAGTTTCAACGGTGAGCATTCTTTCACTTACTCATTCAACACCTATTTATTATAGACTTAAACGTTGCCAGCATCATCCTACCAATGGGATTAGCAGTGAACAAAACAATAGGAAAAAACATTCCTCTCTTTGTGCAGTTAATATTCTAGTGAGGAGAATAAATGAATCCAGCAATACCGTAAATATATGCAAAATTGCAGCAGTTAACCATGCTATGAAGGGAAGATTCAGGATGCTACAAAAGCATGTAATAGAAGGAACCTGAGCTAGTTCAAATGAGGAGGAAAGCCTCCCCTGAGGGGGTGATGCTTGACTTGCGCTCTTGAGGATGAGCAGGAGAAGGACTGGCACGGGAGTGGCATGTATGAGAGGTGAAAGGAAGGCATGATCAAGGTTAGAGATCAGAGGTAAGGAAAATCCAGACAACGCAGGGCTTGTGGGCCATGTTAAGTTTTTTCACTTGTTAGCTGATGAGCAGTGAGAGTCCACTGAAGTGTTTTAAGCCAAGTGTGTGTGTGTGTGTGTGTGTGTGTGTATGCATGCATGCATAATATGAGCAAATTTGTATTTATAAGAGATCACTCTTTCTGCAATGTACAGAATGGATGGGAAGGGAGCACGGTGAAAATAGAGTTAGGAAATTATTCTCATGTTCCAGAGGAGAGATGGCAGTGACTTGGATCAAGGTGATGACAGTGGGTGTAAAAACACAGTGACAGATTAACAAGAGTTTGAGGAGGTAAACCCAAATTGTGATGATTTGAATCTGGGAGGCAAGGGAGAGCACGAAGACTGTAGAAATCTCTGGCCAGGCCTGTCATGTGCACAGTTCAGTTATCTGGCATGGAAGATAATGCACTGCACCAGGGTAGGCACTGGACATTGTTGGTTTAATATGATGTTCACATAGGACACCTAGTTACTGTTATGTAACCAATGGAGCAAGATGTAACTGTGGCATAAGAAAATATAACTAGATACCCGGGCGTGGTGGCTCACGCCTGTAATCCCAGCACTTTGGGAGGCCGAGGCAGGCAGATCACGAGGTCAGGAGATAGAGACCATCCTGGCTAACACGGTGAAACCCCGCCTCTATTAAAAATACAAAAAAACATTAGCTAGGCATGGTGGCGGGCACCTGCAGTCCCAGCTACTCAGGAGGCTGAAGCAGGAGAATGGGGTGAACCCAGGAGGTGGAGCTTGCAGTGAGCCAAGATCTCGCCTCTGCACTCCAGCCTGGGTGACAGAGCGAGACTCCATCTCCAAAAAAAAAAAAGAAAGAAAATATAACTAGATATTATTCTAGTGGTTCAGCTTTCTAAAGACTTATTATGGTGGTTGTTTACAAGTATGTGAGTTAATTGTGCTAGAGTTTCAGAATGATATGTTTAAGGGGTATAAATATCTATAAGCCCCCAGTTAGGTCTTCCTGCAAACTGGCAAGACTACACACTGAAGAGACAGAATCCCATAGCCATCAATCCATGCCAATCTGGAGAGACTTGAGAAATTTCTCCTCTTATATATCCTCCAGCTTGAGATCTCTTACTTTGCTAAGAATGTGTTTGTTTTTTTGTACTTATGGCAGTAAAATATAATGTAAGATGATTGAAATTCCAGCATGCTCATTTTTCTGAGGTTTCACATAGTGCTCTGTTGGACTTCCACAGCATCAGAAATGGAATCCTAGGTAGTGACTAAGGGTGGCGATGCCACTCACTGGGAAAGGAAGTTCTGTAAGAGGGTCAGACTTGGGGAGGAAATGCCCCAGTTAATTTGGGGCATATTGAGTTTGGGTGTCTAAGATGAAACACAGTCATGGAGACGTTGATCAACAATATGAGTCTGGAGTTCCAAGGAGTTGTCTAGAATGATGGCTCTAAGAATGACTTACACTGTCTCAGGGGAGAACCATGCTTGATCAAGAAGCGTTGCATATCAGAAATGCTGTAGAGAGCCATTTCTGCAAGGAAGGTTGGGCCAGGGCCTCCTTACTCTGAGGTTCTATGATTTATTAATAGATATTATTAAAACCACTTGAGCATCTGAGTAAAGCTGTGTTAGCCCTGGATGAACTGGTTAGAAAGAAACAAGACTACTTCAGCCAGCTTATGGAAATGTATGAGGAGGAAACAGGAATGTGAGATGGAGTCCAGAGCCAGCTGGGTCTGATGGGTTCCATAAATAAGAACTGGACTCCATCTGTAAGACAGATGATCCCTTTCTCTGGAGGGAAAGGTCCTTGCTTTTGCTGGTGATAAAACAAAATAGCCACCCCAACCCTAGCCAGAGTGGCCAACAGAGATTGGCCAATTCCACACTCTTGCCCCAGGTAAAATATCCTGCCAGCCCATTTCCAAGTATCTCAGTCCAGGGAGTCTGCCCACTGCCTGCTCAGCAGGGGTTATGGGAACAGAGTTTCTCAGAAAGGGCATTGGCAGGCTTGATAAATTGACTAACGTGTCTGCACACAATATAATGAATGATCTTCCCATCTTTGAAGAAAAAAACAAACTTTCTGCTTTCCAATCAACAACTCTTAATTATCTTTATGGTTATTAATTCGTACATCCATATTTCTCCTTGATAGTTTATTACTCTTATGCTTTCTGTCAACTATTTTCTATCTGTCACTTTCCAGTACTGGATATTAACGTTTCCTTTCTCAAATTCTAGTCATCTCCAAAGCATTTTGCACTTCTCAATTGTATTTATGTCACTGTTTGATCTTGTTTTGTGTCTAAGTAAGTGGTTATCTTCTTGTAATCCATCTTGAAGATGGCCGTACTGAAACATTCTGAAATTCCTGAAATATTTTAGAACTATTTGCATCTTGTTTTCTTTTCAGAGACCTTGCCTATTACAATAATTATGAGGAGGGTCAGCCTCAGACCCTAAATAAAACTGCCCCCTAAGAATGTTTGTCTCTCCTGAAAATAGCACGGGCATCTGGACATGTCCAAAACCTAACCCCTTAGCTTCTTCCCTGTTCCTTGTGCTGTGTTGTCAGACTTAAGATATAAATCTGGTTGTCATCCCTCTGCGCATTAACCTCTATCCTACATAATTACTTTCTAACTTGTGTACCACACTCTGCAATCTTCTCTATCCTGAAGCCAGATGGTCTCTCTAAACACAGTTTTACCATGCCTACCATGAAATTCACTGTTTAACTGCCTTTAAAGGAAAGACCCCATACTCCTTTCTTCAGCCAACAAGGTTCTAATGGCCTATTCACCCCTCTCCAACTCCCTGGGCTTTAACAAACTCTTTATGCTCCTTCAGCCTGACGAAGTCTTTTTTCCATCTCCTGTTTCTTTCTCCTTAAGGTCCCCTCCTCAAGCATGGGTTAGCCGCGCCAGGCCCAGCTCAGATTCTCCATCTCATTCTAATTCTCTTACAATAACTGCTTTTTGTTATATTTCAATGGTCAGGTTTGTCTTCCACAGGAGAGGAAGTGTAATCAGTGCTGATGTTAGGGCCAGAATGGTTGGGTTCAAAACCAAGTTTTGCTGCTACATATCTGTATGATTGTGGTCAAGTTACTTAACCTCTCTGTGCCTCAGTTTTCTGGATGCAAAACAGGGATAGTAATAGAATCTGTTAAACAGTACATTGTCCTATTCTCTACATTTAGTACTATGGTAACACATAACCAAGCCTCAAATATCTATAGGATAGTGTTCAAAATGAAGGTAATGTTTATTCAGGACCATTGCAATAGGTTCAGGGACCACTGCACCTGCGGTTTTGCAGCCAGGGAGAGAAATTGGGCTCAACTCTAAACACTGCAAGTTGGGAATGTACAGCCAAGTAGCAGGGTGAGGGTCAATGGATAGAAAATAACTAAGAGGAAGCATCAGGGGTGAGGGAGATCCTGACTCAACTGACCCAACAGGATTCTTGCAGAGAAAGACCAGGTGATCAGACCCAGGGGGATGGTGGAGGATGAGGAACTCAAACTGATAACAAGGGTAGCAGGGGGAGTTATTTCTAAAGCTGGATTTTACAAGGAGTGGGGAAAAGAGGCATAAGGAGAAAGTTCAGAAGCCCAACTAAAATTTGGTCAAGCAAAGAATCTTTGTCAATGGACAGCCAGTGTTCAATATTTGATTGGAGATAGACCAAGTACTACCTTCTGGTCAATTGTTAAAAACATATAGAACTGAAGAATACCTAGGTTCTTAAAATGATTCAAAATATTAGCAAAAACTCAGCAGAAGTTGGCAAAAATAATGTTAGAATAGCAGTGTTTCCAAGTATATGCTAGAAACTAAATTCTTAAGCACTCTGGAAATAATACAAAACTGTGAAGTTAGATCTGGGTTTTTTTCTGTCTATCTTGGTTTCTTCATAAATGAGAATAATAATGCCAATATTACATGAGTCATGAACTAAATAAGATTATATGCATAAATTACCTATCATAGGACTTAATAGAGAAGGTAATTAATACACTGGGTTTCCCTTGATAAATCACCTTCCATCTTTCATACAAATTTATTTTCAATGTAAAGTACAAAAGGCAGTTGGAAGAGATAAGAACAGGTAAAACTTTCCTGTTTACCCTGTGAATGTTAAATAGTTCAATCCATAAACAATACAACAGCTAACATTTTGAAATAGCAAAGTGTGCTGGACACTGTTCTAAGTATCTTACATTAAATACCTCAATTATCCTCCCCACAATCCTGTGAGGTCACTACTAGTGTTATCCTCTTGTAACAGTTGGGTAAACTGAAGCTTGGAGAAGTTTTCAAAGAAGACCAAAAGATAATCAGAAACAGAGAAGAATAACTTCGTGACAAATCTCAGAGTCCATTCTGAAACCCATGGTAGCATTGAACAGGGAAGGAAGCAATCTCAAAATGATAGATTTTCCTTTGCTCAGAAACTGGAATTCTCATAGTAATGGTACCTTCTTCCTCTCTCTCCTCCCATGTTCAGAAAAAAGTTACTGCATGAGGTAGAGCAACCTGGCCAACATGGCAAAATCCCGTCTCTACCAAATTTCCAAAACTAGCCGAGTGTGGTGGCAATGCCTGTAATCCCAGCTACCTGAGAGGCTGAGGCAGGAGAATTACTTGAACCCAGGAGGTGGAGGTTGCAGTGAGCCGAGTTTGCGCCACTGCACTCCAGCCTGGGTGACAGAGCGAGACTCTGTCAAAAAAAAAAAAAAAAAAAAAAAAAAAAGGTAGAGTCACTGCACATGCTTAGAACTGATAGAAGCTTGATTCTTTTTTATCAGCAGTGCCCCCCCACCACCACCCCAAGATAAGACTTTTTAAAATAGTGGCTAACATTTTTCTGTCATAATTATTTATTTCTTAGCCAAAAGATAAGCCAACAGTTGCTTAGAGTAGCATTTTTTTCAACTTCACCGTGCACAATGGTCTGTGTGACTTTTTCCCTCACTACCCCAGGATTCAAACACATTCATAAACATGCTCCAAAATCACCTGAGTTGCAAAAACATCACTTGTATAAAAGAGTTGCACCATAACTGATGATTGATGTTGTCTAACCCAGAGAACTATATTGCAATGAAGTTGAGGATTAATCGTTAAATGTGATAATAATCCTCTATCTTTGTTTACATCTGTAATTAATGCAGTTCAGGAAGAAGCCCTTGAAACCTTATGTAAACAAGGTCTATCCTTACTGGAATAGATTACAGCCATATGTCACCGTTCAAAAGGTAATTGGTACATTTCATTAGAAAGTAATTGAAAAAAATTATTTTAATGCCTCATAATAAATAATCCTGATAAACATTATTAGCAGAGATATCTGTACCATGTAGAGAATTTGCTTTGCATCAAAAGATGGCATATGCTATATATCATTCTTGGATTTTTCTGAGGAGCTTTTACTTGCCTTGTGATTGAATAAAGACTAGTACACAATTACATGCGAAGCTTTCCTTTGAGAACAAGTCCTTCTTATAGCCACATGCCTTTACCATCCCCCTGACTGGCATTGACAGTAAGGCCTTAGTTTACTCTCTATCTCTCCGGTGAAAATCTCCCACGTGTATTAACAGAAATACTTCTAACAGTGGCTTAACGCAAAGGCCTCAGAGGCAGTGAGACTAGGCTGTGAGCTCTCATGCTTTAGCTACGTGGAATTGATGATGGGATCTATCTCTCAGGGTTGTAGCAAGCATGAAATGGGATGATACACATAAAGGATTTAAGTAATTCTTGGAATACAAGAAGCACTCAATGAATATTACTAAATGATATCATCATTATCTTTTCTATCAGTGTCTTACTGCCTGATCTTTTAAGATTAGCCATCCCAGGCTGACCTTTTATTTAAATTACATTATAAAATCAAGGTTAGTATATATAAGTAATTTTTCTCCATTCAGTAAAATGTGCAATATTCTCGTTACCAGCCATAGGCAGAACTAAAAATAACTTCTAACATCCCATGTCCCCCTCTCCTCAGCAAGGCCCTGAAGTGAAAACAGAACAATTCTTTTTAGAGTTTCATAACTTTGTGAGCTACTATGTAGATTAAAGCCATTCCATTTAGTTCTTCAACAAAGGAAGTGCAAAAATCCCAAGAGGCCAAGTAAAATGAAATTATACTTCTGACAGGGAACCACCTGAAATATCAAAACAATGGCCAAAAAGAGGCAAGTTAAAAATTTTTCATTGTGCATCTCCAATACTTCAGCAGCATTTGAGAGGTTTTCTCCACCTCCTTTCACAATTGTACCACAATATAGTCCAGACCTACACTAAAGACAATATACACATTTATTACAAGTATATAATTAGAATTTTTATTACCTTTAAGATTCAGATAAGTGAACACTTATCCAAAATCACAGGTCTACTAAGTAAAATGTCAGACCCTAGATTCTGTGCAGTTTTTTTTAGCTTTTATGTGAAGTTCAGGAGTACAAGTACAGGTTTGTTACATAGGTAAACTTGTGACATGGGTGTTTGTTATACAGATTATTTCATCACCCAGATATTAAGCTTAGTAACCATTCGTTATTTTCCCTGATCCTCTCTATCCTCTCACCCTGCCAAAATGCCCCAGTGCATGTTGTTCCCCTGTATGTATCCATGTGTTCTCATAATTTAGCTCCCATTTATAAGTGAGAACATGCAATATTTGGTTTTCTGTTTTGTGTTTGTTAGTTTGTTAAGGATAATGACCTCCAGCTCCATCCATATTCCTGCAAAGGATATGATTTCATTTTTTTATGGCTGCATAGTATTCCATGGTGTATATGTTCCACGTTTTCTTTATCCATGCTATCATTAATGGGCATTTAGGTTGATTCCATGTCTTTGTTATGGTGAATAATGCTGTAATGAACATATGCATCCATGTGTCTTTATAATAGAATAATTTATATTCCTGTGGGTATATACCCTGTAATGGGATTCCTGGGTCAAATGGTAGTTCTGTCTTTAGGTCTTTAAGTTCTGTCTTTAGGTCTTTAAGGAATTGCCGCACTGTCTTCCACAGTGACTAAACTTATTTACACTCCCACCAACAGTGTATAAGCATTCCTTTTTCTCCACAACCTCACCAGTATCTATTATTTATTTTTTGACTTTTTAGTAATAGCCATTCCGACTGGTGTGAGGTATCTCATTGTGGTTTGGATTTGCATTTCTCTGATGATTACTGATTTTGAGCTTTTTTTCATGTGTTTCTTGGCCACATGTATGTCTTCTTTTTGAAAAGTATCTGTTCATGTCCTTTGCCTACTTTTAACGAGGTTTTTTTGCATCTGACAAAGGTCTATAATATCTAGCTTCTAGAAGGAACTTAAACAAATTTACAAGAAAAAAACAAGCAAATTTTGCAAAAATGTTCTCCCATTCTGTAGGTTGTCTATTTACTCTGTTGATAGTTTGTTTCTTTGGCTGTGCAGAAGCTCTTTAATTAGATCTCATTTGTCAATTTTTGCTTTTGGTGTTTCATCATTAAATCTTTGCCCATGCCTATGTCCTGAATAGCATGTCCTAGGTTGTTTTCCAGGGTTTTCAGAGTTTTGGGTTTCACATTTAAGTCTTTAATCCATCTTGAGTGAATTTTTGTGTATGATGTAAGGAACAGGTTCGGTGTCAGTCTTCTGCATATGGCTAGCCAGTTATCTGAGCACCATTTATTGAATAGGGAGTCCTTTTTCCATTGCTTGTTTTTGTCAGGTTTATCAAAGATCAGATAGTTGTAGGTGTGTGGTCTTATTTCTGGGTTTTCTATTTTGTTCCATTGGTCTGTGTCTGCTCTTCTACCAGTAGCATGCTGCCTCCAGCTTTGTTCTTTTTGTTTAGGCTATTCGGGCTCTTTTTTGGTTCCACATGATTTTTAAAATAGTTCTCTAGGTCTGTGAAGAATGTCAATGGTAGTTTAATAGGCATAGCATTGAATCTATAAATTGCTTTGGGCAGTATGGCTATTTTCACAATATTGATTCTTCCATGAGCATGGAATGTTTTTCCATTTGTGCCATCTCATTGAGCAGTGGTTTGTAGTTCTTTAGAGACATTTCACTTCCCTGGTTAGCTGTATTCCTGGGTATTTTATTATTTTTGTGGCAGTTGTGTATGGGAGTTCACTCTTGATTTGGCTCTGGGCTTGACTGTTGTTGGTACATAGGAATCCTAGTGATTTTTGCACACTGATTTTGTATTCTGAAGTTGCTTCTCAGCTTAAGAAGCTTTTGGGCTAAGACCATGGGGTTTTCTAGCTATAGAGTCATGTCATTTGTAAACAGGGATAGTTTGACTTCCTGTCTTCCTATTTGAATGCCCTTTATTTCTTTCTCACCTGAATACCCAGGTGAGAACTTCCAATACTGTGTTGAATAGGAGTGGTGAGAGAAGGCATCCTTGTCTTGTACTGGTTTTCAAGGGGAAATACTTCCAGCTTTTGCCCATTCAGTATGATACTGGCTATGGGTCTAATACTTAGTTTATCGTGTTTTTAACATGAATGGATGTTGAATTTTATCAAAAGCCTTTTCTGCATCTATTGAGATAATCATGTTGTTTTTGTCTTTAGTTCTGTTTATGTGATGAATCACATTTGATTTGTATATGTTGAACCAGCCTTGCATCCTGGGATTAAGCCTACTTATTTGTGGTGGATAAGCTTTTTGATGTGCTGCTGGATTCAGTTTGCCAGTATTTTATTGAGGATTTTTGCATCAATGTTCATCAAAGATATTGGCCTGAAGGTTTCTGTTTTTTTCTATCTTTGCCAGGTTTTGGTATCAGGATGATGCCTCATAGAATGAGTTAGGGCAGAGTCCCTCCCTTCTCAATTTTTTGTCACAGTTTCAGTAGGAATGGTAGCTCTTCTTCATACATTTGGTAGAATTCAGCTGTGAATCTGTCTGGTCCTGGGCTCTTTTTGGTTGGTAGGCTATTTATTACTGCCTCAATTTCAGAACTCGTTATTGGTCTATTCAGGGAGTCAGTGTCTTCCTGGTTCTGTCTAGGGAAGGTGTATGTGTCTACAAATTTATCTATTCTAGTTCATGAGCACAGAGGTGTTCATAATATTCTGTGATGGTTGTATTTCTTTGGGGTCAGTGGTAACATCTCCCTTGTCGTTTCTGATTGTGTTTATTTGAATCTTCTCTTTTCTTCTTTGTCTGCCTAGCAGTCTACCTATGTTATTAATTCTTTCAAAAAACCAGCTCCTGGATTCATTTATTTTTTTGAAGGGTTTTTCATGTCTCTCTTTCAGTTCAGCTCTGATCTTGCTTTGAGATTTGCTAGCTTTGAGGTTTGTTTGCTCTTGGTTCTCTACTTCTTTTTGGTGTTGGATTGTTAACTAGAGAGCTTTCTAACTTGTCCATGTGAGCATTTAGCGCTATCAATTTCCCTCTTAACACTTCCTTAGCTGTGTCCCCGAGATTCTGATACATTGTTCTTAATAATTTCAAAGAACTTATTGATTTTTGCCTTAATTTCATTATTTACCCAAGAGTCATTCAGGAGTATGTTGTTCAATTTCCATGTAGTTGTGTGGTTTTGAGTGATTGTGCTTTGGTTTGAGAGACTGTTATTATTTCAGTCATTTTGCGTCTGCTGAGGAGTGTTTTACTTCTGCTTGTGTGATCAATTTTAGAGTAACTGCCATGTGGCAATGAGAAGAATGTATATTCTGTTGTTTTGGGGTGGAGAGATCTGTAGATAACTATCAGGTCCGTGTAATTTAGAGCTGAGTTCATGTCTTGAATATCTGTCTCAATGATCTAATATTGTCAGTGGGGTGTTAAAGTCTCCCACTAATATAGTATAGGAGTCTGAGTCTCTTTGAAGGTCTCTAAGAACTTGCTTTATGAATCTGGGTGCATATTTATTTAGGAGAGTTAGCTCTTCTTGTTAAGTTGAACCTTTTACCATTATGTAATGCCCTTCTTTGTATTTTTTAATCTTTATTGGCTTAAAGTCTGTTTTGGCAGAAACTAAGATTACAACCCCTGCTTTTTAATGTTTTCCATTTCCTTAGTAGACTTTCCTCCATCCCTTTATTTTGAGCCTATGTGTGTCACTACATGTGCGAGGGTCTCTTGAAGATAGCATACAAATGGATCTTGGTTCTGTATTCATACATGTGTATTTGATCCTCTCATCATGATCTTAGCGGGTTATTTTGGAGACTTTATGTGGTTGCTTTATATTGTCATCAGTGTGTTTTTGTAGTGGCTGGTAATGATCTTTCTTTTCCATATTTAGTGCTTCTTTCAGAGCTCTTGTAAGGCAGATTGATGGTAACAAATTCTCTCAGCATTTGTTTGTCTGAAAATGATCTTATTTCTCCTTGTCTTATGAAGAATTCTAGGTTGGAATTTATTTTAAAGAATGTTGAATACTGTCCCCCAATCTCTTCTGGCTCATAGGGTTTCTGCTGAAAGGTCTTCTGTTAGTCTGATGGGTTTCCTTTTGTAGGTGACCTGTCCTTTCCCTCCAGCTGCCTTTAACTTTTTTTTTTTCCTTTCCACCTTGTAGAATCTGATGATTATGTGTCTTAGGGATGATTTTCTCATGGAAAATCTTACTGGAGTTCTCTGCATTTCCTGAATTTGAATGTTGGCCTCTCTACCTAGGTTGGGGAAGTTCTCATGGATGATATCCTGGAACATGTTTTCTAAATTGGCTCCATTCTCCTCATCTTTTTCAGGTACAACAATCAGTCGTAGATTTGGTCTCTTTACATTATCCCATATTTCTCAGAGGTTTTCATCATTCCATTTCATTATTTTTTCTCTAGTCAGAAAGGCAGTTTTCAAGCTCTGAAATTCTTTCCTCTGCTTGGTCTTTTCTGCTGTTAATACTTGTTATTGCATTATAAAATTCTTGTAGTCTGTTTTTTACCTCTATCAGTTTGGTTGCATTCCTCTCTATACTGGCTATTTTGGCTGTCAGTTCCTGCAATGTTTTATCATGATTTTTAGCTTCCTTGCATTGGGTTACAATGTACTCTTTTATTTAGCTCAGTCAACTTTGTTCTGATCCATATTCTGAATTCTACTTCTGTCATTTCAAACCCTTGCTGGTGAGGTAGTATGGTCATTTGATAGGAATAGGGCACTTTAGCTTTTTGAGTTTTCAGTGGTTTTGCACTGATTCTTTCTCATTTTGGTAGGCTTATCTACCTTCAGTCTTTGAGGTTGCTGACCTCTGGATGGTTTTTTTGTTTTGTTTTAAACAGTCTGGCCACTTTTCTTAAGGCCTGCTGCAGTTTGCTGGGGATCCACTCCAGTCCCTAATCACCTCAGATTTTCCAGTACCTGGAGGTATCACCAGTGAAGGCTGTGAACAGCAAAGATGGCAGCCTCCTTCTTTCTCTGGGAGCTCCATCCCAGAGAGGCCTGAAACCTCTGTCAGCCAGAGACCCTGGTTGGGAGGCTCCACCCAGTGATGAGGAATGGGGTCAGGGACCTTCTGTGCTGGGGTACTACTTTCACCCGCAGTCAGCTTGGACTCTCCAAAGCCCAAAGGCTGGAACTACTAAGCCACCCAAACAGCACAGATGGCAGCCTGCCCCCCACTGCCTCTGGGAGCTCTGTCCCAGGGAGTTTTCAAATCTCTGTCAGCTGGAGAGCACTGGCAGGGGTGGCTGGAGGCCCCAGTTGTGAGGTTCTTCCCTGTGAAGAGGAACAGGATCAGGCATCTGCTTAAAGAAACAGTCTTGCTATGTTTTTGTAGAGCAGCTGTGTTGTGCTAGGGGGTATCCCTTCTGCCCCAGTCAGATTGGACTCTCCAAACAGTAAAGATGACAGCCTGCCCCTCCCCTCAGGAGCTCTGTCCCGGGTAGGTGCAACACTGCTACTGGTGGCTGGCTGGAATTCCAACCCAGTGGGTCTTATCCTGTGAGGTGCCATAAAAGCAGGGCCCGCAGACCATCGCTGCTTTGCCCCCTGGATTCAGCCACTTTCCTAGGGGTATCTATGGTGGTCTAACCTCCTGCTTTGCCAGAGTTGCAGCTACTTGTGCTGGGAAGCCTGGAAAACCAGAGTATCTAAAGTTCCCAGGTCTCCTGTGTGCCTGAGAAGCTGCTGTGCCAAGACTCCATGTAGCTCTGTGTGTCAGACTGAAGGCCCTGGTGGAGTGGGTTTATGAAGGGATCTACTGATCTGAGGGTTGCAAAGATCCATGGGAGAAGAGTTTTCCTGGGATCACACAATCACTCGCTGCTTACCTTGGCAAGGGAGGTTCCCTTGGCTCCACATTCTGCTCCCAGATGGGCCGTCGTCCTGCCTTGCTCTTCTCCATTCTCTGTGGGTCGAGTTGTTTCCTTGATTAGTCCCAGTGTTGACTGTCTGGATGTGTCAGTTGGCAGTGCTGTATTTACTTGCCCCTTCCTTCCTTTCCTCTCTGTGAGAGCCACGCATCCTATCTGCTTTTAGTTGGCCATCTTGGCCACTCTTTGTGTTTACTTACTCTGCTTTATTGCAGTTTTGTTCATCCTGAATTAGAGCACAGAAAGCCATAGGATAAACTTGACACATCTTCCTGGAGAATATTTTACCCAAAGATTTGGATACAAATCAAATAACTCACAAATGATAAACTATTATTTTTCATTAAATAGGGATATTGTATATGGTACAACACCAAATTTGTATAACTTTTGAAGCTGAACAGAAGAGATTTCCATAAAAAACACTTACCTTTTAGTGAGTCTGTGTGTCTGTGTCCCAGACCCCCAGAGGAATGCACTAATCCTCTATGAGAGCTGGCAATTCAATGGAAAGTTTTAAGAAGGCTACTTTGAAGCCAGATAGTCCTGGTTACCTGAGCCCCATCTCCAAGTGAATGACAGGGTGGACTTGGGCAAGTCATTCCACCTTACTGAGCCTCATCTGTTCAATAGGGATTCTACCACATACTGCATAGGATGTATTGAGAACTCGCGGGACCATATGAAAGTCTGAAAGCATCGTTGGTGTTCACTACATAGTGATTATTATTATTGAATGTAATCACTTTAATCACTTTCCAAATATGCCTTCTGACTTGTTCAGCCCTCAGCTTTCACATAATCCCCCAGCTAACCCTACTGAGACCAACACCAGAACGACCTCCATATCGCTTTTAAATACCATTTCAGGCTTCTCATGTTACCATTTTCACTAACAGAGGATCCTGAAATGGGTAATATAAAATTGCAAAGTAGGTAAGCTAGTTACTAACCAAAATATTTATTTAATGGCTGGACCAAAGATAGAAGTTTTTCAATTTGTATCCAATAGATAACCATTTAAAATGATATATATTATTTTAAATGTATACATTCACATCACCCAGAGTCTCTTGACACAAATTAAGTACTTCCTCAATTTTAGCTGATTACAATGTACTTTTTCCCAGAGCCCTAAAACTCAGTCTATTACTGTAGCATTTGTTCATTCCAGTAAATAGTGGCAGTTTTCAGGTAACATTTAAAAGCATGGGTTCTAGTGATAGAGTTGCAGTGGGAACATCTACTCTGCTGCTAGCTGAGTTACCTTAGGCTTAACTTCCCCCAACTAACTGTAAGGTGGGGATAATAATATTAATGTGACTTCTTCCTACAATGTTTTATTTAGCACATTGCCTACTGTATAGTAAGTATGCAATAATTTTTAGGTATAAATTTTAGTAAGTGGCTTTTAAAAAATTAAGCTTGAGTGAGGTATAGTTATTTACATATAAGACACTAATATTGTTTTCAGCCTTCCTAGAGCTATGTGGATCACCTACTTTGCTCCCCACAGAGAGGGATTCCTGTACAATATATCAGTAAGTGGACACAGAATACTCTTGAGGATGTCTACTGAAGGCTAGCATGGGGGATGAAGAGAGCACAGGGTGACCACTTGACTCAGTGCAGGAGATCTCTTACATTATAATCATATGGCAGGCAGTATACTTACATTGACTATTAATCTTCCAGAATCTATTTGCTGCTAAGAAACATGAAGTGTGTTTCAGGGCTGAGAGATGGACCCTTTCAATTGCTAGTCCAACCCTCTCATTGTATACAGGAGAATGGGTCCCCATCGCGAGTTAGTGGCTAACTCAATGACAGGCATCTCCTCCTAATCCAGAGCTCCTTCTATGATGCACTGCCCCATAGGCTGAACCGATTTTCAATCCTGATCAAAGCTAGAGATTTCATTTAAATGAAAAATCCAAATAACATTTGTGAATGTATTACTTTTAATTGCTAATTAAAATAATCAACAGCCTAGCTGTCTGTTACACATGGAGTCAAGTTAGTTGCATGGGTCATTAGATGTTCTGAGAGCATTAGGTCTTATTGGGAAGACTTGAAAAATCAGTACTCTAATGAAAATTGAGAAGATGGAAATGTACATCTTTTCTTTGATATTCAAATCAATTATTTAGTTTCTATCTCACTTTAGAAAGAATCACAGTGTAAAGAATGTAATAGTTTGGGGATGGAGGGTATGGGGAGGACCATAAAGAGAGTCCCTCTGGAAACTGCTATTGTGATGTTTGTAGTTTCATATGCAGTCACCTTGGAAACCTCGAGTTCTGAGGAACACCATTTGCTACAAAATCCCAGCTTCTATTCACAGTTCAGAAGCCATGTTAGGCTACTAAGGCACAGTATTTATGATCAGTTTTGACCTCTGGCAAAAGTAGTTGACAAATTCTACAGAGAATCTGTCAAGCTTTTCCTCTCTCATAGTTGTTAAAGTTTTAGCATGGAAGAAGAATGGACTATTTTTAGCCACTTACCTTTGAACATTTTGGATTAAAATTACTCTGCGTTCCAGTTCTTTGCAGTCTGTTATGTGGCCACTACATACAACAGGATGCCTCTTGTGGATAAGGAACACCAGAGAGGGGATTAGAGTTAGGAACAAAAGAAATCATCAGTTCTAACCAGTTTGAGGGGGGAATGACTACACTAACACCAATCACTGCCATATCGTAAGGCTTCACCTACATTTCCACATTTCGTCTTTATAACAGTGCTACAAAGAAGACACCAATATCTCTTTTGAACATGAGAAATAGCTCAGCCTCAAAAAGCCTTCTCCAAGGTGAAACATCCAGCAGACATCCAGCAGATGAGGTGCTTGGGCTCAAAATCCTGAGTCTGAAGCTCAAGCTTTAAAGAAATATCCTACATTCCCTTCTAAGAAATTTGGAATAAAAAATTGTAGGTGGCATGAAATTGCTAATAAGTTAGAAGTAAGAATAAGGTATTTAAGATATATTAAGAGGGGGAAACATCTAAAAGGTAACATAACAAAATATGGCCCTAGCATCATATTTTTTTTTCTAAGTTCAGTGAAAGATAACACTAATGAGACTGCCAATTCTAATGCAACTAGACTGCAATAATAATCTTAAGTTGTTCAGAATCATACCAAGAAGGGAAAGAAAGGAAAGTGTGCTCATTTGGCCCTAGACCTTGCTCAGAACATAGCAAGAGCATTGCATTCAACACGAGGCAGCAGGTTCTAAGAGGGAAGTCAATTCAAACAAATATTTCCTGCACGCCTTGATGCTGGGCATAAACCAAGTAGAATTATCACATTTACAGAGCTTAATCTAGAAGAAGAGATAAATTAAAACAAGTAAAGAGACAAATAAATAATTGCAAATTGCGTCCAGTGGCATGAAGGAAATGGATATATTAAGAGTAAGAACAGAAGGTGGGCCTCCCATTTCCTGCAGGGTAGGATGACCAAGAAGATCACTCTAGTCTACTTGCTGGAGGATCTGTCAAATATCCTCTTCAGCCTGGATAAAAAAACTTCAAAATAGCCAGAATGCTTGTCTTTATAAACTGTGTGTATTTACCTATGGAAGCTGCAGATGACATATGTTACAGGAAGATATTTCTACCCAATAAATATAAAAGCTACTTTTAAACAGTCAGAACCATGGATTATTACGAAAACATACTAGTGAGGAATCAGAGACCTGGGTTTAATCTACAAGTCTCTAAGCACATGGTCTTGGCCACAATGTTTGTTTAACCGCTCTGAACCTCCCTTGCCTCCTGCCACAAATGGAACTGGTACTAGATACCAGCTAGAATGCCCAACTCAAAAAGCACATCCATGGTATATAATATGGATTCACTTATGGTTTATGAATCTAAATCTGTCAGTGATACTTGCCATGGACTTTAATTAGAAAACCCTAGGCCTCTGCAGTTCCTTTGAATCAGACTCTGAAAAAGCTTAACTCAAAAATAGAAGATGAGTCACAAGTGTTGCAGGAAAATGATGTCATAATTTTATTGTCAAAATTATTAATATCCAGGCAGAAAACTAATTGGACCATGGAGTTGAACATGATGGTAGCCAATATCATGTTCTTAAAGTTGCCTGGCATTAAAATCTCACTCACCGTTACTTCAAATGTCCCATTACATTGATACAGACCAGGCTCTTCAATATGGCTGTTGGTTCATTAGTGTTGATCAAACAGCACAGCTAAAATATGGGAACAATTTTTAAAGTGGTTTTCTGGAAGTAGAAATTAAACTGAGCTCTTGAAGATTCAACGAGTGCTAATGAACTTCAGGTCAATGAAGAAATTGTTTGAAAAATATATACACTTTAAAGATTGCAATGAATTATGTCACCTTCTTAGAGACACACAACTTTTGAATTAAAGAATCCTACTGATTTGCTCAAGTTTTATATAGACAGTAGCATTAGAGTGGCAACACAGAAGTATAATGGGCCCACACAGTGGGCACTGTAGATCTTTATTTTATCAAGTATGTTAATTTAGCTATTGGGGTTTTAACTTGGGTTACCTCTTCTCAGAAGCAATATCCTAAGCATGCTGTTCTCATCAGTGGAATGGCAGGATTCCCTATTCACATTTGAAGATCTGCTAAGTCAGTCTACGTCAATGGTTCTCAACCACCTCCTTAAAGAAAAAAATTCAAATCAATAAATGCCCTGGCATTCCGATTTAATTTGTGTGGGTTGTGACCCACGTTTCAAAAGCTCCCCTTGTGATTCTGACCACAATGAAATTTCCCACCCAATCTGAGAACTCCCCAAGTGCAGCTGCTTTAATTGACCAAAAATACACCAACTTTATACCTTCCCACCAGTTTTTTCTAAGTTATTTCCCTTTCAGTCATAACTTTCTCTGATTATTATTTTTCTCAAACTTGTAACACACAGAGTAATCCTAGGTGTTGGTGTGAAACTGCTGTTTCCTGGGAAAGACCAGAGCTAACCTCTTCTATTTCAGCTACCACATATATTATTTGGCTTTTATGATGTTCTGAAGGTCGCTCCCCAAAGTAACAAAAGCCATTGTCTCCATTCTCTAAGGATGGAAACACAATATGATCTAAAAGCTTGTCTAGGTTTGGAAGTGATTAATGTAGATTCTTATGATGAAGGAAATGAAAACGAGAAATCTGGATAAGTAATCACTGTTTCAACAAAAACAATTTCAACAAAAAATGAGCCTGAGACAGAGAACAAACTGATAATGCCAACAGCTAATAAATTATTCTCTTAGTTTTCAAAACAGACTTTGTGATAACATTTAAAGTTTTGTAGGGTTTTTTGATTCATGAGACTTCCAAGTACAGCCAGGAAGGAAAGGGACCCAGTTTCCCATGTTTCACAGGTACATTAAGTGGAATTTGAGCTGAGCAGAAGTTTTAACTGAATGCAGAAATGTGCCACGAAAGGAAGGTTTGATAGAGAAAAATCTCAGAGCTTCGTAAACCTGGGAGAGATGACCAATTTTCTCCTTGTCATATTCCCTGGGCCGAAAACTACACATCTTCAAACACGAGCTGTGAAACCATCTCAGAGGGTAACAGAGGCTGGACACTTTGGAACTCTGGTCAGGGCTTTGCCTCGTGTCTAACTATAGAAATGACAGCATTTCAGAGGAAATGTTTACCCTGGGAGGATGCAATCTACATGGTGAATTGGCTAGACAATCAGTTCCTCAATTGCACCTTCCTAGTCTTACCAGCCAAAAAGAGACAGTGAGACAGTGGATGCTCCATGGAATCCAATTATGTTTTCAGGTTTTTTTTTTTTTCTTTTTTTGAGACAGAGTCTTGCTTTGTTGCCCAGGCTGGAGCACAGTGGCACTATCTCAGCTCACTGAAAGCTCCACCTCCCAGCTTCATGCCATTCTCCTGCCTCAGCCTCCTGAGTAGCTGGGACAACAGGCACCCACCACCACGCCTGGCTAATTTTTTGTATTTTTAGTAGAGACGGGGTTTCACCCATGTTAGCCAAGATGGTCTCGATCTCCTGACCTCGTGATCCACCCGCCTCGGCCTCCCAAAGTGCTGGGATTACAGGCGTGAGCCACCGTGCCCGGCCTCAGGTTTCTTTTTCTTGAGGTTTTATACACAAAGTACCATTAACTCAGCGATACGGAAATACTCCACCAACCACAATCAAATACACCTCCCACTTTACTATCTCTAGCCCCACATGTCCACATTTCTGCTTGATGACTCAAACATCTTCAAGTCGACATATTTCAAACAAACTCATGATGTTCTATCCACTATCCATATACTCTATAAGCATTCTGCTTATTCTCTTCCCTCTCTCAGTGGCTGACCTCCACCATCTACTGGTAATAAAATCTACAACACTAGAAATCAGCCTTGGTCCAGTCCATCACCAAATCCAAATCACCATCTTCTTCCACCTGGATAATAACAGACTCCTAGCTACTTTCCTTGCAGTCCTCTTGCTACCTCTTATGCACTTTCCACTCTGTTAGAGAAACAGAAAAAACTGGACATAGATTTACTATAAGAAATTGACTCACACAATTACAGAAGCTGAAAAGTCCCATGATCTGCTGTCTGCAAGCTGGAGATCCGGGAGAGCTGATGGTGTTGTTCCAGTTCATGTCAGAAGGACTGAGAACCAAGGAGTAGATGGTATTAATATAAATTCCAATCTGAAGGCAGAAGACTAATGTCTCAAGTAGGCAGGCAGGCAGGCAACGTTATCTCTTGCTCAGTTTTTTGTTCTATACAGGTTATCAATAGATTAGATGAAACTCACTCGCATTAAGGAGGAACCTGTTTTATTCTTCAGATTCAAATGTTAATCTCATCCAGAAACACCCTCACAGACACACCTAGAATAATGTTTGACCAAATGTATGGGTACCTGTGGTTTAGTCAAGTTGAAAAATAAAATTAACCATCACAGGAATATTTTTTGCCCGCTTATACCACCAATCCATTTAAAATCCTTATTCTGCAAAGCCATACCTCACTTGCTTCCTACATCTTTTTTTTTTTTTTTTTTTTGAGATGAAGTTTTTGCTCTGGTGCCCAGACTGGAGTGCAGTGGCACAATCTCGGCTCACTGCAACCTCCGCCTCCTGGGTTCAAGCGATTCTCCTGCCTCAGCCTCCCCAGTAGCTGGGATTACAGGCACCCACCATCACACCTGGCTAGTTTTTGCATTTTTAGTAGAGACAGGGTTTCACCATGTTGGCCAGGCTGATTTCAAACTCTTAACCTCAGGTGATCAACCTGCCTTGGCCTCCCAAAGTGCTGGAATTACAGGCATGAACCACCGCGCCCAGCCTTGCCTCTTATTAATACCACATTATCTACTTTGTTTAAATTTCTTTTAACTCATAAAATTACTTTCTTTCTAAAAGTCTTTATGCTGAATGCTGGTCCTTCTGCGTCTCTGTGCCCCTTAAGCCCAGTATAATCCATGTTTATTAACTAAATCAACTAGCTCTACACTGGGAAAGAAGAGCTGATTCAAAATGATGTTTTGTAATGGCCAAGCTTGCCTTTCATAGAAGCAAATCTCAAAATGGTTTTGCTCTAGAGGACATATCACTGCTTTCTGAGAGAAATAGTCTTCAAATGAGACTATCCAATACATTTCTTAAGTCTTTAGAGTAGAAGCCTAGAATATTATGAATAGATTTTTCTTTCAACAGATCTCTACAAACTCAGCAGATTCATTGGTAAAACTTAAATACCTGTTTCAGATAAGAAGGAGCTTGAGTTTCAAAGTGACCCTTATTTGACTTAAAAGTAGAACTTATATAATTAGAGAAGATTATGTTCCTTCTTCCTATTTTCTGGTGCTTATTTTATTTAAGCCAATCTCTATAATGCAAGTTGAAACTGGTTGAAATTGGTTCCCCTGAGTACAATGTGTTCAAGCCAAAGCAGGCAGTTAAAACAGGGATACCTGAGCCAGACACAGTGGTGCACACCTGTAATCCCAGCTATTCTGGAGGCTGAGGCAAGATTGCTCGAGCCCAGGAGTTCAAAACCAGGGCAACATAGTGAGACCCCTGTCTCTATAAATCCACCCCTCATTGTTATCCCTGTTTTATTTTTATTTTTAATGTATCAACCTACCTGAGCTGGAACAACATTTCCCAAAATCCTTCCCTGAGTTAGCATGGCTGCATGAGGTTTGGAAGGTGAGAATGCAGCATCTGCCATACTCTTTTTGTGCTGGAAAATCAGTGCAGAGCCACAGGCACTGTTGGAGATCACCTGCTCGATCACCTTGTTAGTGTGGGGCAGCAGCCGAGACTTTAGTCTTTTGGCTCCCACCAATTTTCTTCTAGCTTCTCCAACTCCTGGGCTAGGTACATGCTGAGTTTCAGGAAGAAAGACAGAAGTGGTGGGAGATTGTCGTGGGTTCCAGTTCATCATCATTCTCCCCCACTTCACATCCATCTTTTTTTCCTGATTCCCATCCCACTGACTTCAAGCTCCAGCATCAGACACAAAGACAACCTTACCTAGATTGTTTAACCAGGTCTCCCAAATGTGTAAGGACAAATTCCTATAATAAACGAAATTATATATCTGTCTCATTCATAGATGTTATCTTTCTCTAATGGAGCCATGATCAACAAACTTCCATGGAGCTTTCTAGCCAATTGACAACTCTTCAGCCAGATGTGATTCTCAGAAAGTTGGCACATCCATAATTTAAAAAGAAGCTGCCAACTTTTAAAGTTGAGCTGATTTTATCATACCATGTCAAGTTCCGTAATCTTTTGAAAAATTGGAAACCTGGACCTCCAGTGCAACACAGATGGTAGTTTTAAGTTCCCTAACCAGTCCACCCTCTGAAAACTATTAAGATTATTCAACATTCAAGCCCTAAAGGAGCGTGAGAACACAGAGACATCAGCTGATCATTGAGGCCCCTTTAACGTTATAGATTTTGCTAACCTAGATGAAATTTAGCTTCAGTTTTCATGGCCTCCTGGGTTATGGGAACAAAACAAATCTTGGGGTTCACTGAGGTGGGGAGTCTTAGAGATTTCACAGATGAAACTGGGACCCCCCCAGTTACCAAAGCCTCAGTGTAAGGGTGAAATAGAATCTAATCTGCCTAGTCTTCCCTACCTGGCCCTTCCACTCAGAGGACTACAAGGGAAATTGCCTGTCTTGAACCTCAGCACTGAATGAAAGGGGAAAAAATAAATTTCTCTACCACTTGATAACTTCAAACTGGCCTTCACTCTGGTTTGTAGCCTGGCTGAATTCATATCACCTGGATGGGCCTGAAATCTCAAGCAGAGAAATTAGTTTACGGTGGGTCCAAGTTCACGGTGGCACCAGTGAGTGATGGAAACAAATGCAAATCCTCTCTAGAGAAAACATCTTAAATGCAGGCTTCAAATAATTCCTGCAGATAAAAATCCAAGCAATGTGAACTCACAGTCAAGAAGGACAAAATACACTCGGAAACAAGGCACCATGAGCAAGAGAGCAGGCAGGAAAACAAGGCAGCCAATGTAGACCCACAGAGGCTTCAGTTATGAGAATTAGCAGAGGAACAAACAAGTATGTTTACTATGCATAAAAAAACACAGGAATAAATTAACAGAGTAAAAAATAAAGACATATAAAAATAACACATTAGAAAAGAAATGAAACAGAATTTCTAGAAATGAAAATACAATCTCAAAAAGCAAAATTCCAATGAATATGAGAAATAGAGAAAAATAAATCAATATGAACATATATCTGAAGAATTACCTCAAAAGCAGAGAGACAGAAGAATAGGAATGCTAGAGTAAGAACATCTAATCCAAATTGCAGAATCAATGAGGAAAGAGAGACTAGGGCAAGAACAGTTTTCAAAGACATATCAGGTGAGTATTATCCTAAAGTGAAGAAAGACACAAAACCACAAGTTTAAAGGGTAAAAAAAAAAAATTAAATTAAAATTAAAATACTGCAAATAAAGCGAAATTTACATGCAGACATATCAGAATGACACTATAGACCATCAGAGATAAAAAAGGAGTAGGCGAGAAAAAAAAAACCAAGTAGAAGTTCTGGGATTGAGATTAGACTGACAGCTGACTTCTTCATCACAACAGTGAGAAGCAGAATGTGAAAGAATAGTAACTTTAATACCTGAGAGAAAATGATTGTCAATGCAGTGTTGTGGATATAGCCAAAATCTCTCTCACAAAAGGAGGGCAAATTAAAGATCTATTCCAGAAAAACAAAACTGGGGGCTTACCCCAGAAGGCATCTACTAAAGGAAAATATCAAGGATTCTTTTGATATTGGAAAGCCTAAGGTAACAGAAGGAATATGTAAAGAGTTAAATACGTAGACATAAATAAATGTTGATTGTATAAACAGTAGTCTTGCAGGATTAAAGAATACAGAACTAAGAGAATTAAGACAGCCAGGTAGTATCCTGAGGCCAGATAAATACACCAGAGAGTTTAGAAATAGATCCACACATATATGCTTAATTGATTTTCAACAAAAACATCAGTGCTGTTCAATGGGGAAAGGATTATCTTTTCAACTAATGGAGCTGGAACAACTGGATAAACCTATTAGAAAAAATGAACACTATTCTTAAAAATTAATTCAAGATGGATCATAAATTTAAGCATAAATGCTAAAACTATAAAGATTCTAGAAGAAAACATGGGAAGAATATCTTTGTGACCTTGGGGTAGTCAATGGTTTATTAGACAAGGCACAAAAGTACTAAAAATTACAAATATTAATAAATTGAAATTTATCAAAATTAAAATAAAAATTTTAAGCTACTCATTAAGAGACACTGCTTAAAAAATGATAAAGAAACTCATAGATTGGGAGAAAATACTTGAAATATATATGAAAAAGAATTTTTACTTAGGATATATACAAAGTCAATAACAAAAATGCAAGTACCCTAATTGTAAAAAGTTGGGGGAGAGATTTAAATAGACCCCTTCCAAATAAACATATTTGAACACCCAGTAAAACACATGAAAAGGTGCCTAACAACATTAGTCATCAAAAAAGTGAAAATCATAATAAAGTACTATTATGTAGCCACCAAAATTTCTATAATTAAAAAGACCCTCAACATCAATGGTGATAGGAATGTAAAACTGCAAAACTATCCTGGAAAACAGTTTGACAATTTCTAATTGTATTATTAATCTATTGCTGTGTAACGCATTACCCCAAAACTTAGCAGTTTAAAACCACAGACATTTATTACCTTTCATTTTCTGTAGGTCAGGAATCAGGTGCAGCTTAGCTGATGGATCTGATTCAAGACTTTTTTATGAGGATGCTGTTAAGCTATTGGACAGGGCAGTGATCTTACCAAACGCTGGACTAGGGGAGGGTCCATTTCCAAAAACACTCTAGTGGTCATTTGTAGGATTAAGTTCTCTGTAGACTGTTGGACTGAACACCTTAGTTTTTCTTGGGCTCATGGCCTCCCCTCCCTCAGTTTCTTGGGCCTCTCCACAGGGCAGCTATCAACATGGTAGCCGGCTTCCCTCAAATTGAAAGAGTGAGAACAAGAGCCTAAGATGGAAGCCACGGTCTTTTTACATCTTAAGCTCATAAGTGATATCCCACTAATTTTGCCATATTCTACTTGTGTAGAAGGAAGTCATTACGTCCAGCCCACGTTGAGGGGAGAGAATAACATAAGGGCATGAAAACCAGGAGACAAGGATTCCTGGGGACCATCTTAGATGCTGCCTCACCACACACATTAAAGACATGCCTGTCTTATAACCTAGTCATTCCACTCGAAGCTGCCTGTTCAAGAGAAATGAAAACTTTTCCTCAAAAAGACTTGTGTAAGAATGTTCATAGTACTTTCTACAAAATAGCCACAAACTGTTAACAACCAGATGTCAATTAACAGTAGAGTGGGTAAACAAATCATGGTCTATTCATGCAATCAACCACTACTAAGCAATAAAAAGAATGAACAACTGATGAACAGAGCCACACGGAAGAATCTCTAGTTTCAAAAATCATAAAAGAGTAAAAATCTATTATTCTCATTATATGAAGTTCAAAAACAAGCAAGATTTATCTGTGGTGCTAGAAATCAGAAGAATGCGTGCCTCTGGAGGGTGGTGGGTGTGAATGCAGAGAAGCATGAGGTAACTTTCTGGGGTACTGGTGTTGGATGCGATGGTGATTACCTGAAACTATACATCTATCAAAATTCATCAAAGTATATAAGTAAGATTAGTGCAATTTACTGTATATAAGTTCTACCTCAATAAAAAGTCATCTGAAATTTTAAAAATTTCGGTTATATTAAAGACCTCTAAAAACATAATAGAATAGTTGATATTTAAAATGACAGAAAAATGTGTCCAAGGCAAATAACAGAAGCATAGTGGAAAAACTATACTAATAGGAAAATAAATTTTAAGGCAGAAAGCATTACAAGAAATAAAGAGAATCACTATATATTAAGATAAAGAGGATAAACCAATTCCAAGCTGGTATGCATCTAATAACATGCCTCTTTTAGTAAATGATAAAACAGATAAAAATAGATATGAATATTCAAAAAATTTGAGTGGAACAACTAAATAACTTGAGTTAATAAGACATATAATATGGCACCAACAACTGAAGAACACATTCTCTTCAGGTAGGCATGCAAGATTTATACATACTGAGACAAAAAGGTAGTTTCAATTTTTTCTTTTTTTTGAGATGGAGTCTCGCTCTGTTGCCCAGCCTGGAGTGCAGTGGTGTGATTTCAGCTCATTGCAGCCTCCTTTTCCCTCTGGGGTAGCTGGGATTACAGGCGTGTACCACCATGCTCAGCTAATTTTTGTATTTTCAGTAGAGATGGGGTTTTACTATGTTGGCCAGGCTGGTCTCGAAATGCTGACTTCAGATGATCTGCCCACCTCAGCTTCCCAAAGTGCTAGGATTATAGGCGTGAGCCATTGAGCCCGGGCTCAATTTTTAAGGAACTGATGTTATACAGAAAATGTTCTCTATTATAAGATTGTCAGTTCAAAAACAATGTTCAAAAGTTCAAAATTTAAAAATACTAGAAATCTATACTAATAAATCTTATGTATTTCTAAAACTAAAGAACGCCCTTCTATAAACCTCATAGGCCAAAAAGAGAAGTCATACTAAAATTAGAAAATATTTACACCTATATTATAAATACTCCTTTGGGATGCCGTCAAAGAAAAATTCATAACTTAAATGCATATATTAAAATTTGGAAAGGCAAAAATTAACAAAACAGCACATTTTAGAACTTGAAACAACTGGAGAATTATCTGGGACAAGACAGATAAATTTATGAACTAAACATAAAAATAGATCAGATTGACAAACCCAAAAGTTAGCTCCTTGAAAGGACTAATAATAAACCTCTGGCAGTACTGTTCAAGGCAAAAAGAAGACGTGAAAAAAATATGTGGGACAAAAAAAAGACAGACAGCTACAAACGCAGGGGGCATCTTATTTTTTATTTTTAAAAATCTTCTTTATCAGTGCAAAGGAGAATAGCAGGGGACATTTTAAAAATGAGGATATTATTTTAAAAAGACTTTGTCAACAAATTTAACCTTTATATGAAATGGAAAAAAAAAGCTAACTTACAAAAAAAACTGGAGAAGAAACACAAAACCTCTATGAGGCTGTAATTATTTTTTGGTGGAAAAACATGTATTTTTCATGCCCAGAGGGTTTATCAATGTGTTTAAACATACAAGGCACAAATAATTCTAATCTTTCATAAACAATTCTGGATTATAGAAAAGTGATAGAACCCGACATTGGTATTACAAGAAAGAAAAATTATAGAACACACTCTTTTATGAATACAGATGCAAATTACCAAAAAAAATGAAATATTTTCAGAAATATATAGAAAAGATAATACATAATGACAAAGTTGGGCTCAAGCCAAAAACACAGGAGTAGATAGTTATTGGAAAATTAATATAATTCACCACATTAATATATTAAGGAGAAATATATTATCTTAATAGATATTCCATTATATAAAATAGCATTTGATAAAATTCACATTAATTAATGATAGAAACTTTTGGCAAAATGAGAATAGAAGAGAACTATCTTATTAAAAGGCATTAGGGGAGAAAAATCCTAGAATAAAAAACATACTTAATGGTAAATTTGGTAAATTGTTGAAAAATTTCCTCTTTAAGGTGAGGAAGAAGCAAGGTTCTCATTTCTTTACTTCTAATCAACACTGTATTGTATGGTTCTAGACAGTATAGTAAAAAAAGAAAAAGAATTAGTATAAGAAATGACAGTCGCGCGCAGTGGCTCATGCCTCTAATCTCAGCACTTTAGGAGGCCCAGGCAGGCAGATCACTTGAGTTCAAGATCAGGCTGGCCAACATGGTGAAACCCTGTCTCTACTAAAAATACAAAAATTAGCCAGGTGTGGTGGTGGGCACCTGTAGTCCCAGCTACTTGGGAGGCTGAGGCTGTAGTAAGCCAAGATTGCGCCACCGCACTTCAGCCTGGGCAACAAGAGTGAAACTCTGTCTCAGAAAAAAAAAAAAAAGAAAAATATAAAACTTTCACAAATTAACATAATTTATAGTTGCAATGAAAACCTAAAATAACCTACAGATAGATTATGAAAAACAGCTTACCTAGGTGTTGATTTTTAAGATCAACATACCAAAAAAGTCAATTAGATATCTATATTTCAGGAAAATAGGATATCTATATTCCAGGGAATAGGAGAATGAGAAATACTTTTTTAAAAAACACCATTTTCAATAGCTACAAAAGATAGGTTAAACTATTGAAATACATCAAATAAAACATAAGTAATTGGAGATAGCTACAGTGTCCATGGATTGAATTTGAATCCCATCCAAATTCCAAAAGAATTTCCTTATGAAACTTAAGTTCATTCCAAAATGTATGTGGAAGACCCAAGAATCGCTAAGACATTCTTGAACAAGAATAAGGTAAGAGGATTTGCCTTATGAAGTATAAAGAATTTTAAAACTCAAGTAAGCTACAATATTTAATTAAACAATATTTTGCAGGGATAGACAAATAGAATAATAGACTAGAAAACCCCAAAAGAGAGCCATAAAGGTATGGGAATATTATTTATGATGGACCTAAATATTGGCTTTTTCAACATATGTTGAGATAATCTCCATCTCTTTTGACCCCAACCTCAGACTATACACAAAAATTAATACCTGATGAATTAGAGACATAATGAAAAAAGAAAACATAAAACCTTTGAAAACAATATAGAAGAGCTTCATGACCTCAGTGTAGGGAAGGATTGCTCAGGTAAGACACAGAAAGTGCAATCCCTATTCCAAAAGACCATAAATTTGTCTGCATTAAAATGTAAAACCTCTGTTCATCCACAGATGGTAAATATAAAAGACAAACCACAAACGGAAAGAAGAAATTGTCAATACATAGAACGGCTGAATATTTTTCAGATTATATAAAAGTATTCCACAAATCACACAAAAAATAAAAAATAGACAAAAATAGAAATAAACAAAATAGATGAAAACATTTCACTGACAAAAATCCCAAATGGCTTACAAATGACAAGATGCTTAACTCCATTAATAATTAGGTAAATGCAGTTTTAAAAGACAATGGCATCCCATTTCACAGTCATTTCATACTTAGCTGTATCAAATGTCAGCAAGAAAGTGAACAACTGGAACATTATACACTAGTGGGAAAGTCAGTTGGAGCAATCACTTTGGAAAGCTATTTGCCATTATCTAATAAAGCTGTAGATATGCAGATCCTTAGGAGTAGCAAGTCTACTCTCCCACATTAGTCTGAAAGAGACTTTTGCATTCAGGCATCAGGAGCCACACACAAGAATGTTCATGGTTGCACCATTTGTAAAAACAAAAACCCAAAACCAACCCAGTGTTCGACAGTAGAATGGACAAATAAATCATGGTATATGGTAACACTAGGGAAATGGAATAAATTACAGCTATGTGCTGAAATGTAGAATAACCTCAGAAACATCATATTGAGGAGGGAAAACAAAAGTCATTAAAGAATTATAAAGTGGAATTATTCTGCGTGTGAAGTATGCAATAGTAGTGTATTGTTTAAGGATGCAAATTTAGTCATAAAGAAAAGCAGGAAAACAGCAAACACAAAATTCCTAATAGTTGTTACTCCCGGGGGGAAGGAAATAGAAGGGATCAGGAAGAGGAGCTCAGGTTGCTACAAAATTTGTTTTTTCTTAAAAAAGATGATAATTATACAAAACCATTGTCATTCTTTCTTTTTTTCCCCCCCAAGATGGAGTCTTGCTCTGTCTCCCAGGCTAGAGTGCAGTGGCACAACCTCAGCTCACTGCAACCTCTGCCTCTCGGGTTCAAGCAATTCTCTTGCCTCAGCTTCCCAAGTAGCTGGGATTACAGGCACCTGCCACCACACCCGGCTAATTTTTTTCCATTTAGTAGAGACGGGGTTATCACCATGTTGGCCAGGCTGGTCTCGAACTCCTGACCTCAGGTGATCCACCCGCCTTGGCCTCCCAAAGTGCTGGGATTCCAGGCGTGAGCTACCGTGCCGGCCAGCATTATCATTCTTTATACCATATTTATAATTTTATATTATTTTGTGTCTATTCATAAAATTTAATAATTCAGATCAAAATTCAAAACATTTTAAATTAGAAAACACTAAAATCAGAAGCCCTGGCAACCACTGGCCAGGTTAGATAGAAGAGCAGCTGTCCCCGTAGACAGCATCTCCATCGCCTCATTCACATTTAGGCCAGTGCCACATACCATGTTACTGTTCTGGGAATGTCATTTTACTTACAGCTTTCTCATGGGTTACTCACTGTCATCACCTATTTAGTCTTGGTGGGGGCACCTGAGTTTATGACCCTTGGACTAGAGCCGTGCTTCTCAAAGTGTGGCCCGCCGAAACAAGCAGCATCAGCATCACCTGGGAACTTGTTACAAATGTGGATGTGTGGGCACCCCTCTAGACTTACTGAATCAGTAACTCTAGGGGTGGACCCAGCACTGTTTTCACAAGCCCACCAGGTGATTCTGATGCTCACATTTGAGAACCATTCTTCTTGAAGATATGGCACAGCCTGGCCCGGCCCAGCTCCGGCCCCCACCCTTCCTGGCCACTCCTCCTTTCTGCATCTCTTCAGTGAGGCTCTTCTTTCTCCTCTGAGAGGGTTGCAGTTTCTCCTAATGGAAGTAGTGTTCATTTCCAAGAGTCAGCAGGACCCTTAACTGCCACTCCCATCAGGAGGAAACCTTCCATTTTTCCTTACTACATGCCATCTAAACAATTGTGTTGTGGTCATTAATTTATGGGCAGAGGTTGACGGACATCACTTCAGGAGTGATGCTCTCTGCAGTTTCCACAGGGTTTTGGTAGGAGTGTACTAGTCCATTTTATTACTGCTATAAAGAACTGCCCGAGGCTGGGTAATTTATAAAGGAAAGATGTTTAATTGATTCACAGTTCCCCATGGCTGGGGAGGCCTCAGGAAACTTACAATCATGGTGGAAGGTTAAGGGGAAGCAAGGAACCTTCTTCACAAGGTGGCAGGAAGGAGAAGTGCCAAGCGAAGGGGGAAAGCCTCTTATAAAACCATCAGATCTCATGAGAACTCACCATCATGAGAACAGCATGGGGGTAACCACCCCCATGATTCAATTACCTCCCACCAAGTCCCTCCCATGACACGTGGGGATTATGGGAACTACAATTCAAGATGAGATTTGGGTGGGACACAGCCAAACCATATCAAGGAGCTTTATCTCAGTGGAAAGACTAGCGTGTGAACAACTTCTGTTAAGTCTGCTTGAACATCAAAGGACATTAAGCTGGGCTGTAAAACAGAAAGCCAGTTACCTTTTTTGTCACTGCTTCCAGGAAATCATCATCTCTATTTTGTTGCAGCCTTTCACAATAGGACACTTTCAGAGTAGTGCCCTTTCTCACCACCCTGGTTCTTTCATGGCTGAGATGTGGGGAAAGGCAGGAGTCATTTCTGAGTCTACCTCTCCGGCCTGGGTCCCTCCTGCTAATCTCAGAGGCCTAGGCAGTGGGCAAGAATAAAGCGAATTCTAATGCCTGTCTGAAATGCCAGTCCTGCATCTGATAAAGCTCTGTAAGCTCCATACTTTTTTTCTATTTCAAGCTTTCTTTTTCACCAAACTATTCTGTTTATATTGAATCATTCACTTTGAACTCTATGTACCAAGTTTGAACACATTCCAAATATCCTAAATTTGATATTGCTGAAGTAGACCGTTTAAATAAGTTATAAGAAATACTGTATAACCATGAAGTATGCATCACCCAGCCATATATACTACTATTACCTCACTATTGTTTACATAGATTGGTTTTAGAAATTTAAGCATTAACTTCTTGAAGAAAGGATTACAGAAAATAGGGGTAAAGATACAATAGATGGAAAGAAATACAGTTATTCTGGAACTAATATGGTATAAACAAATATTAGCTTTGGAGTCCACTAAATTGAATTCAAATCTTGGCTCTGCCATTTTACTAGGAGTATAACCATGAGCAAGTCACTGTACCATAGATTCCTTGTTTGTATAATCAGGACTATAGAAACACCAGATTGATAGGTTTTGGTGAGGATTAAATGAGATAACACATTAGCAGTGTCACCACCTAGTAACAAACCCCCCAATAACACATAGCTGATGTTTAAGGCAAGAAATAAGACCAGCAAAACAGATCAGAACAAATTCTAAATGGAGTTCAGATCTCTTCTAAGGAAATTGTAGAACATATTCTACAAGTTTTGATAAGTAACATATTCAAAACTTATTTCGGGAAGATATATTTTTGTGTGAAGTTCATTGGGAAAAAGGAAAAACTAGAGACAAAACTTGAGACACAGTTACAATAGTCCGGGTTACAGGCAACCCTTTCATAACCCCCTCCTGGTGATTCTCATGCTCACATTTGAGAATGCTTCTAAGAAATTTTAGGAAGAAAAGAGGAGGGAAAGGAAGAAAGATTTGTCCATGGTCATTTAGTGGCCACTCCATGGCTTGATTCTGAAAACGGAGAAGTTCTGAGTTAAAAGACGTGTTAACTGAGGGAAGAAGGAAGAAAGAGAAAAGATGACAGGAGGACTCTCACCTTGGCAAGGGGGATGATGGCAGTGACACTGGTAAGAGGTGAGCAGGAAGTATAGTAAAAGCACAAACTCATCCTACAAGGAGAAAGGTATCGACATTAGTGGAAACAGAAGCAGTTAGAAAACTTAGGATAAACTGTGTGCATCAATCAGACTGTATAGGAGAGAAAACACAGAGAATGGCAAAAAAAACCATCTTCATATCTCAAAAGTGAGAGGGAGTCAAGAGCACAGGGGCAGCTCCAGTTAGTTGGATTAAGGTTCTAGACCAGGCCGTACTGCACAGACATCACTTTCTGTTGTCCTGCTACTGAGTCCCTCTCCCTGTTGCACTGACATTATCAAACCAAATGCAAATGAGATGAACCACAATAATGGGCAGAACTGCACCTGGTTCAGCACAACCTGGTGAAGGTCTTAAGAGGAGGGGAGGTGGGGAGTGGAGGATTTTTGCCACACCCAAAGGGGTGAGACCACAGAAGAAAAAATTATTTACATAGAAACTCAGGCCAATCCTTTCGTAAGTACTCCAGGACTATTGCTTCTCTTGATGATTTTAGTTGAGTCATTGTAGGGGGGGACAATTCAAGGGAGAAGGCTGCTGCCTGGAAGCAATCCTCAGGAACCTAGACCTGAAAAATGTGGATGAGCTCTCTCTTGGCATTTGTGCAATGTGGCTGGGGGTTGCTCCGTAGTGGATCTTACTGGTCAGCTTGCTCTGTTTGCCACTTACTGAGGCCCAAGAGGCTTTACCCTACTCAGAGGCAGTGGCAAAAACAGAACAAAGAATCAATAGTGGGCAAGGAGAATGAGGTTCCTTTTTAACATGTTTAAGGTGTCTGAAAGTTAGAAGCACTGAAATTAAATTCAGGAAATTGGTCTGGATCAGAGTGTTTTGAGAACCATTGCTGAGGTCTCCGTTCCTACGTTAGGATACTTTCTTTGTAACAGAGAGGAGGATCTTCATACATTCCTATCTGGTAATAGTATTAAAATCAATTGGGTATGATGGTTCACGCTTGTAATCCCAGCACTTTGAAAGGCCAAAGAGAGAAGATCACTTGAGCCCAGGAATTTGAGACCAGCCTGGGCAAACATAGCAAGACGCTATCTCTACAAAAAATTTAAAAATTAGCTGCCCGTGGTGGCACATACCCAGCTACTCAGGAGGCTGAGGCCAGAGGATCACTTAAGCACAGGAATTTGAAATGGCAGTGAGCTATAATTGTGCCACTGCACTCCAGCCTGAGCAACAGGGTGAGACCCTGTTTCTAAGAAAAAGAAAAATAAAATTAGAATATTTAGGGGATGGTTGAGTTTCAGTTAATGTTTTTCTCATTATATGAATTAGGCAAAAAGCTTCCTCCTAAGGAGTATTATCCTGTTTTGCCATCATAATTAGCATAGAATGTGGCTGATTCTCTTGATTTATTTTTTATCTTACATACCATAAAATTCACTCATCTGCAAGTTTTCACAAATACATAGAGACCTGTAACCACCACTGCAATCAAGTTCCGTCACACAAAACATGTTTTCCTTATGCTGTCCCTTTGCAGTCAGACCACCTCCCCTCCCAGCCCCTGGCAACCACTGACCCTCTCTGCAGTGCAGAAATGACAGCTGCATTGAAGGTTAAGGCCTGAGGCTTTCTTATGATTGGTTGGTATTGTAACAATAGTAACAGCAGTAATAGTAATATATAATACATATTTGCATTTCTATTGTGTCAGGCACTATTTGAAGCACTTTATAGATGAGGAAACTGAGGCTTTAAGAGATTTTAGAAAGGAAAGAGGAGGTAAAGAAAGACTTACCCATGGTCATTTAGTGGCCACCCCATGGCTTCACTCCAAGCATGTCAGACTCCTAGACCCATTTTTTTAACCTCTATCTGATTCTGCCTCCATGGAAGATACAGAAGCAGGACAAAGTAGAAAGGATACCTACCAATTCCAGGAAGCTCGGTTTAGATCCGGGATTGACTTACTTTTACAAAAAAAAAAAAAAAAAAAAAAAAAAAGCTTATATGAGTTTGATTAATTATACCAATAAAACAACACTTGGATATAAGATCAAGTGAAACCAGGATCCTAGAACACTTTCCTTACAGCCTTTGTAAAATGCAATGAAGATAAAGCCTAGACTTATTATGCTCCCTGTCATAAACTTGACCAGGTTGTAAAGCAAAACTTTAAAAAATTCTCTGATCAAATACTGGAATGCTTTGTTAATGTCCTTGAGCATGAACTTCCTTTTGTATTTATTAAAAAGAAAAAGGGATCTTTATTGACGATCTTGGGTGTTTTTCAGGTTGGAGTCCCCAACCCGGTCTCTAGTGATGGAGGCCCCAAAAGGAGTGGAAATCAATGCAGAAGCTGGCAATATGGAAGCCACCTGCAGGACAGAGCTGAGACTGGAATCCAAAGATGGAGAGGTGAGGGATGAGAAGGACAGAAGTTCAAAGAGCTACAGCTTCAACAGGCCAACCCTTCCCATAACTGGTTGACCTCGGAGTTGGATCCTACAGTGTATCAACAAAAGGAGCCAAGCAGGTTTTATTTCTGAAACAATTAATTGAGCAGCATGATTATAAGCCAAACCCACAATCCATCAAAGTGATGATTTCTTATTTGTAAAATGCAGAGATAATGGCATGTATTCCAAGTACAGAATTATATGACCATGAAAATGAATGCTATTTTCAAATTCTCTCTTGTCACCTTAAAATAAGATTTTGTTAGCCAACATAATTAAGCTGTATATATTATACACATCTGGCTCAAGATGAACTTAATTTACTTGTCATTACTTTGTGTCACATGTTTCTGTTTTCACTGAAAATGGGGAGGCAGATTGAACAGCTGTCCCAACCAGAACAAGCCAAAACTTTATAGGGTAAGACTAGGCAGCAAGGGAATGAAACACTGCAGATATTCATTCTCTTATGCCAACACAGTCCCAGCTGGGTGAACAGAAATGCTGCTTGTGTTTTTGCTAGCAAGACAAGCCAATTACTACCCACACCCAAAATGTGATTTGTCTGTAAACTTTTAAAAATGCCTTCAAAGTGCTCATAAGTGAACTTTGCTATTTAATCATAGAGTTAAAAAATCTGTGTGTTTTTTTTTTTTTAAGAAAAATGCTATTCCACCTGACTATTCAATGAGAGAGGTTATCAGTCTCTACCTGCTTCTATACATCCACTCGATGGATATAAAAGTCCCCCTTTTGATTGGTATGGCATTTCCTATTTTGTTTTAGAAGAGATAGTCAGAACATTCAGTTATCACAACTGCCTCTTCAAGCAGCTACAAACTGCAAACCACACACATATAAAAATAGTGGCTACCTCACATATGCAGTTTATAGCTATCAGAATTTGAACTCTGGAGGAATCAGTTATAATCGTAAATCTAATGGCAGCTTCCACAACTGCTTATTTTTATAGGCATATTTTTATAGGCATGTTTTTCTCAAAGTATATTCTATAGACCATCAGCCCCATAAATTGTTAGAAAAAAAAAAAGCAGAAAGGCTCACTAGCATTTAAAAGTTGGAAAATGTTACATACTCTATTCTCTTCTTGAACACTCACCTTGCACACAGTCATAGTAGGATCTGGGAAGTCCCATAGTAAAGAAAATTGTTAAATGTCACATTTTCACATTTATTTGACTCTAGGACTCTATTTACATTCTGTATGACATTTTTTTGCAAAATGCTAACATAGATCAATGCAGCATTATCTTGCTAGAATCTAAGCTTCTGTGAAGGTAGAGACTTTCCATCTTGTTGGTATCCAAATCCCCAGTACCAAAAATAATCAACACATAGTAGGTGCTCATTAGATTTCAGTTGAATTGAACATTCACTTGCTGTTTCTGAATGTCAAGAGAAGAGACGACAGCCTCTGACCAATGCTTTCCTTCCTATTCTCTGTCTTTAGATTAAGTTAGATGCTGCGAAAATCAGGCTACCTAGACTGCCTCATGGATCCTACACGCCTACAGGAACGAGGCAGAAGGTCTTCGAGATCTGCGTCTGCGCCAATGGGAGATTATTCCTGTCTCAGGCAGGAGCTGGGTCCACTTGTCAGATAAACACAAGTGTCTGCCTCTGAAAGACTATCCATAGTGGACATTGTTGGCAGCATAAAGGCCTTTTTTGGCTTTAGACACTGGCTGCCAGCTATTTTTACTAGAACACAGAAAGCCTATCAAAGACCTTGTGTGTATGTGTACGTGTGTGTGCGTGCTTGAGTGTGTTCGCGTGTGTGGGTGGATATAAATATATATAAATATATATAAATAAATATATATATCCTCTGTATAAAATGAGGTTTCAGTACAAAAGGAACCATGGGTGACCCTGCGATATCCACTGTCATTTTCCATCCCATCCCCACCACCTGAGTGACAGAAATCTAAACACACATCCGTCCCAACATTCCCCAGACCATTCAGAATCACACAGCGTATTAAACACTGACAGAATCTTCATCTAGATATTCGAGTAGCAGCATATCTTCTCTTTTAGTGTCATTACGAGGGAGTGATGGCGGGAATCTCAGTCGCACTCAAGCTCTGAGACCTTTGTATCAAAAATAGGCATTTGATTTCCTGTTTTAGCTTTAGTAAGGCTGGCTAACTTCCCCCTCTTCAAGCTAGGAACTGGCAATGCTGTAGAAGTCAGCCGTAGGAATTCAAAATGGCTGGCCTACCTTGGCTACCAGACATATTGGGGTTTTTGTAGTTGAATGAATGAGGAGGATGAATTTCAGCAAATTTTGAACTGCTCACCCAACTTCTGCTATCTTGCTCCCTCCAAACTCACAGATTCTCCTACAGTCAAATTAGGAGCTGTAAATCAGCACAAAATAAGATAACAGCTGTTCCTCAGTGAGCTGGAAGCTACTTAATGGCCTGATGGGCAATGAACAAACGGGTGATATGTCTCTGTTTAAGGGAAAAATGGCTTAAAAGCTGTTCTGTTCTCACTTCTGACTTTAACCAAAAGATTTCAACCCACAATGATCAGGTCAATCAAAATCCCTAAGAGCAGAACTCCTACCCCAAAAGAAGCCTGGAAGTCTAATTAAGAGTAGCATAAGGAACCTAATTATGTTTACCATGTTTCTTGGGATTGGTGGGAAATGTCAAAACATGCCCTTTATTTTTAAAGGCATTCACAAACTCTCTGACTTTGTTCTTCTTATATATTTTTTCAGTGCCGGGATATTCATATTCCTAAAGCCACTATTGTGTTTTCTCTAAGAAGCACTACATGCCACCAGAATTGTGCACTGAAAGATAATACAAACTGAGTGTCTTTATGAGAATCACTGTGTCCCCTGAGGCCCAGCAGTACCTGCTTCCCTGTATGTGGAAGCAGCACCTCATTCCCGCCATCAGCTACCTCTCATCACCCCACCTTCATCATCATGCTCCAGGGTCACCCTGGCCAGCTCTTGTGCTGGGACAGGGGATTACACCATCTCTGTTCAAAGAGGGGGAAATGTGCCTATGCCTTAAGTCAATGCACTCAGCAAGGAGAAGCACATCTTATTTATCTTGTTACCTATAGTTTACTTTGGGTGATTGGAGGGGAATGACTTAGTTATGACTGGACATCTTAAAAGCTGATAGACAAGCCAAATGGCTGGCAGATGATGTGGATTTCAAAGAGCCCAGAATGAACTCATCACTGGCTTAGACAGTCCTGGATGCCATTTGGAAAGTAGTGGCCCTGCAAGCCTAAATGAAGTAGTATTTGTAGGCCTGGGTGGCATTTGGATTTTTCTTTTCCCTCAACAAGGTTTTACTTTTTCTTACTTTACAAGCAAGGGAAGTTTTGTGATAGGAGAGAAATAAAAGATTTGATATTTTTTGAGATGACACTCAAGCATCAGGCTGAGATTTGCACACATGGGATGTAAAAGCAAGCTGTGTGTTGCTTAGTCACTTACTTAGAAGTAGATGGTGGGGGACAGCGGCGTGGGTCCTAGCCTGGCCAGTGATGCTGCTGGCGTCCAGACCCCAGACTCACTCCAAGCACTCTTGTTCAATATCTCATGCAGAAGAGTTGGGCTGGTCACTCTTAGGGGTGAGACCCCGTGATTGGTTGGTTTGTAGCACTAAGGTCTAAAAAGGAAAACCATAAAAGACATCAGATTACGCTGGATCAGTATAATTAATATTCCATAGGGCCATGTTGCCAGAATCTGTATGTATCAATACAGGGTTTTTCCAAGCCAGGAAACGCCCTCCTTGGCTACTAGGAGCACCTATCCCATATCATTCAGATAAACAATGATAGCTACAAAGTCATTTGTGGCTAGATAGGTTAAGACAGGTGATTTTTTAAAGTAGACTGTCTTTGCATTTTGCCATCTGAAGTTCATTAATCTTTAGATGACAAAAAAGCAAAAAGTTCCCAGAACGTTTTTGCTTAGATTTTGTTCTAATCACCACGTGAAGGAATGAGATTAGCACCACAAGTTTCATGCCAATAAAAGAGACTGGTGTGATCCCACATGCAAAATTTAATCCTAAGGGTAGTGAGATCACAAACAGAATAAAAATAAGAGCAATCAACCATATAAATCAAGTACCTATTGGGAACAGACATAACATTCAATTTTTCATTTATGCTAAGTGACCACAGTATACAAAGTAATAAGCAGGAAATTTGATATGGGTTAAATTATGCATTTTGTTCAGATTTTGGAAATTGGTATGCATTATAAGTTTCTCAATGTACATCTTTTTATCCCAACACCCTCAAACTAGAATATTTGTCAGTGGTCAAGAGAAAAAATTTTACCTGAATTCTTGGGGGCCGGCGGGGAGCTTTTACATTAAAAATCTACTAACGCCTACTTTTTAAAAAATGAGATTCTTTCTAATCTTTATATATGACATTTTCTAGACAATCGCACCTTTGGGTATATTAAACAGCTGGTATCATAACAAAGAATCCAAATGAACCTTCAATATACTAGAAGTTCTAGTAGGTTAATATTGTTCAGAAGATTTTTACAAATTAAAAACTGATTTCCAAATATGTTCAACATTTACTTCTATTTGATATCTGCTCAAGAAGTCATAGAAGTCTTGGGAAACTATTCGAGTATCACAGAGGTTTTCAAAAGCCCTTATGGTGACATCTACCTAGGTAAAAGCCTGACATGTGGCTTTATAATTGTTATGTTACCCAAGGGATAAACTTGAACTGGCTTTGAACATCCTTTAGGTCATTTTCTCTTTGGATAATTTTCATCGCATATCCAGCAACTATAGACCAAAGTTTGCTTAAGGTTTGACCCTAGAGCAGAGGTGGGCAAACTATGACCTGGAAACCAAATCTGACTTACCACCTTTTCCTGTAGTTAAAGTTTTATTGTCACATAGCCACATACATTCATTTACATGTTTTCTGATTTTACACTACAGCAGCAGGATGGAGTAGTTGTGTCAGAGACTATGTATCCCACAAAGCATAGATTACTTACTATTTAGTCCTTTACAGGCAAAGTTTCCTCACCCCTGACCTAGAGGTTTTTGTGGTATGCATTGGATATAGCAGGAAAGAAAGCACATTTCCAAACAGCAGGGAGTAAGCTTACATTTCTGTGTAGGTTTGGGAATATAGTTACTTGGCAAAGTCTTTCAGGAAGGAAGCCCTTCCTTATGTTACATGTGGAAAGCCTGCCTTCCAAGACATGTGGAAGTAATTGATCCACCTGCCAGAGAAACACAGGCTCAGAGGATGCCTGGGAACAGGGAGGATGGGATTAGTGGAAGCTTAATGGAAAAGGAAAGTTATGATCCTCCAAGACCCTTAATTGATAGACCATACCAGGTTCTGCAGGTCAGCATCATTGTGTAATGAGAGTGAAGTAGGGGACCCTGTGGTTCAACCTTAGAATCTGTTTCCTGTAGGCTCTTTCTGCTGTCTATATTCATTAAAGTTTTCCACTTCACCCTCCCATAGTCTAGAGGGATGCCCATTCCATGGTCCTCCAGAGAATAGTTTTGACTTAACATGTCTGTTTAGCCCACATCACGTCAGTTATCAACACCGCCACTGTGCTTACTGTTCCTACAGCCACACCAGGCTTGAAGAGTTAGTGAGACCAACAAATAATTGGAAGTATTGGAAAAAGCAAAATACATGGGGACAAAAAAAATACAGTGAAATTCTTTTTATCAAACTGATGCTGTGAGAAACCAGATGAATGCCAGTTTGGCTTTATTTCTAAGAATCTGGGTCTTCATTCTCTGGTGTAGAAGGAATGCAAAAAACTATAACAACAACAACAAAAACATATTTTGAAAAGACATATTCTGACATCTCTGCTTGTGTGTGGTAAGGCAGGTTCCTATCAGACATTTATCCCTTTGGTCAAGATCCCTTTTGCTCATCCAGGGTTTCATACTCAATATCGCTTAAAAAAAAAAAAGTATCAGCTAGGGATGACTCTGGAAGTATGAGTATCATGGTGGGGAGGAAGGAATTTTTTTTAAATGTAAATGACCCCCATTTACCAGACCCTAATCAAAGTCACTTAAGGGAATCCCTCAGCCTTTTATTTGGAAACAGTTGAAATAAACTGGCAGCAGCTAGATCAGAGTATCTTGCTTTATTTTATAAAGGCCAAAGGTAGTATGAAGTTTGGACCAAAAAGGTAAATAGATCCATTCCAGCACCTGATACTGATTTTTCAAGGCTCTATGAAAGGTCAAAAATTTCATTAAACAAGACCAGTTCTCCCTCTTCCCCCTGTCCCAAGAAATCTTAGGCATGAAAAGGATAAGGAAACAGCTCCTGGAATGATACATTTGCATAGTGCCCTAGTAGCAGGTTGGGAAAAAGTTATAATATAAGAAACAACCTTCGAAAACAGGCCTTTTATCTCAAAGATAAAATGTCTTTCTTGTGGTCTTTCATCACTATCTCCGTGGTGGAAGGTTCCCCTAGTTCCAACATATTTCCATTAAAATAGTCAAAGCCACGGCATTGGGATGTCAGATGCCTCTCTTTCTTTGTGGTAATCGGAATTTAAAATTATACAGTTGCCTCTGAATTTCTCATGCACAAAGCCAAACCACTGATAAGAGATAAAGCAGTCTGAAGCCTGCTGCTTCAGCCAGCACAGCACACCACACACGCTCGCACTTTCAAAAGCAATGTGATTTCTATGGTTCTTAAAAGCTTTCTTCATAAGGGAGTCCCTGAAATTTCTCAAGGCAGGTTTGAATGGCAAAGGGAAAATAATTACTTGTGGGAGGTCCTCCTTTTGAGTATTGTTAGAGCATACATGTAAAAGAAAATAACCTTTTTGGGGCAACTCATGCTCACACATGCTGTTTTCTTTGGTTCTCCCCCTACCTTCCTTTTGTAGATATTGACAGAATAGGAGGAAATGAGCATCCTTATTTGAGAAAGAGCAAGAATGTCATGAGCCCTTGATGCAATAGTAAGTGTGATGTCATCATACAGTGTTAATGATGCTATCAAATCCATCAATAAACAGTCTCAAACCTTCCAACAACAGTGCTCACTGCTGCTCCTCAACTTCAGCCCAGCAAGCAGTAATATCATCACCCATTTTGAGATATGCAGGTGGAATAGAACAAAGAAACAGCCACTGTAATCGAGAAGCATGTTTACTGTCTAAATCCACCTGTTGCAGTAGGAAGCCAGAGTGGGGTTCCAAATGCCTCATTAAGTATGTGGACAGCCTCACTAGTAAGTGAGTGAATTTGGCTTCATCACTGAACATTAGCTAAGGTCAGCTTAATAACACAAATATGAGGCCGACTTCTTTGCGAGAAGAGAAAAGAAAACATCTGCTTGATTTAAAATCCACCCCACATGCCTAGAGTTGTCTAATAGTCCCTCACTTTCCAATGGCTTCACATCCTACTTCTACATTTGGGGTTTTTTGGTGAAATCAGAGATAGCTCAGGATTTCATAAAACGAGAAACTCCAAACTGGTCTATTAGGTTCCATGGGAACACTTGTAGCCAAAGGATTGTCTGAGGGCAGGAAGACGACACTTGTCAACAAGGAAGACAGTGTTTCTTTAGTTCCCATATTCATCTAATTCATGGGGTTCTAACATTTTGGGGGGCCATAGATTCTTTTGACAATCTGAGCCAATCTATGAAACTTCTCCCCAAAAAGAACCACCCCACAAAATCTTGCAAAACGTAAGAGATTTTCCTGGATCTGAAGCTACCCGAAGACATGGGAAGAGTTGTATTCTATTATTCAATTTTAAGAATATTTATTAATATTCACTGAGCTATTGCTAGCCACTGTGCTAAACATTTTACATACATTCTCCTATTTCATCCTCAAAACAATCCTTTGAGTTGGGTTTTAATATAGTTCCAATATTCGGATGTGAAAACTGAGGCTTATAGTGGCTAAGAAACTTGCCCAAAGCCACTACCTAGAAAATGGCAGAGCTGGAATGTAGGTTTAACTCCTGACCACTATGCTATAAAGTCACCACATGTCAAACTAATTTTCAAGTTGTTGGGACATGTCCCCTACTAGGTTTTAAACTAGATCTTCCTTGGTAGATGAAGCTATAGAACTTCTATTTTCCCTGCTTTCTGTAGTCTCTCACAGTGACAGCATCTATACTAAAGTATAGATACCTAAGGGGAAAATATAGAAAGCCTGCCTGAATAATAGAATCTAGAACAACAACAAAAATATTAATTTTTTCTGTGTATGCTTAGGTCAAGCTTAAAAAAAAAAAAAAAAGACCGGAAAATACCTGGGTTGTTAGCCTCACATTTAGGAAAAAATTGTAATACTCAGTTATCTGTGTGTGTGGCTAAACAAGTCAGCATTTCTGCACACATACATCTCTTTCCTTTATACTTCCCTTCAAAAGACAAATATCTTACTTTTGATCTTTGACACTATTTGGTCAGTATTCTTCTTTACCTTTACTTGTGGCAAAACTCAAGGAAGCGATCAAATAGAGGGAAGCTCATTTCTATCATTGTCTCTGTTTCCCTATAAGAAAGAACTACCAGGGACTCACTGACTGCATTAGGCATACAATGTCAGAGCTGAGCTGACCACTCTGGTCCTGTAATGTCTTTGGCCTCACACCTTGGCAGCCATCATTAATGGGCCATACCCTTCCCCAGGTGCAGAATTCTCCTCCCCAGAGCACTCAGGCCGTTACTACCAATTTATCTGAGTTGGAAATAAGACTCATTTGCCAGTTCTTATTTTTAAAGTGGCACCCTTTAACTTTGAACCTGTGTATTTTACACTGGCATCCTAGATTCAGCAATGAGGTTTGGTGGTGTTTCAACTAGGAAGGGAGAAAATGAGTGCATCTGAAGTTCCTTACAGCTTGGTTTCTTTGGAATGCTTTCATCTTCTAAGCAAAGGGATCAGGGTTTGATCTGTAAGAGTTAAAAAGACAAAGTCATTTTGAAGAATTAACTCAGCCAGGGATCATGCAAAAAGATTAGAAACCATAATGCCCTTGTTAAAGCCCTGCTGTCAACCTGCCTTCACCCAGAGCTTAGAGGGCCACAGCAGCAAAGAGGTTGGGGTCCATCCCTCTCTGATGTGCTTTTTCCACAACACATATCTGGTCCTCTGGCAGGATTGTGGATAGAGCTCCTCACCATACCCAAAAGACTCAGCCCCAGTGCCAGTGCTTTCCTGGTTCAACAACCCACCACAAAACCTTAGTAAAAGGATGAGCCAAAAATGAAAAAGACTCGACTCTACAGTAAGTCAGTCAGGGATTTCCTTTTTAATGGTTTAAGACATCCAAATGGCAAGCCAGGAATAGATACCATTAAAGGGTCTCATAGGACTAACCTTACCAGAGCCAGAAATCTAGCTCTCTGGAAGAGATGCAAGATTCTAGAAAAGTAAAGGGAAGTGTCGGCACATCTAAATTTAGTGAACACAAAATTAATTTTTATCTAGTCTGTGACGGAGGGAATAAAGTTTTTCATGTATCAACCACCTCCCCCAGTCAGGTTTCTCCCTTTTTGAGATTATGAAGAAGCTGAGACATACTTCTTAAGGAGGTCGTGTTTTAGAAGGAAAAGGCAGAGGCTATCCATCATTATGCTGGCTAGATGCGCTTCTGAAGAAGCCGGATTCTGATGTTCTTAACCAAAATGGTGAGGTCATGGAAGTCCCATTTGCTTGGAGATTTTGAAAAAAAAAAAAAAAAAAAACCCATTCCCATAAAGTAATTGAGTTCAGCCTTTGGATTATTTTTGGTTTGGTTTTTCTCTGGTTTTGGGTGTGATGTAAGAAGAGCTTTTTAGTTTTGTTTTGAATAACATCAATCCTTGCACACTCTATGCAAAAATTTTGTAAGCATTTCAATAATGCTATGAATTACAAGGAACTATTTTAACTTTATTACACTTTCTGTATAAAAAATTTGTATTTAATATTATTTCGACCACAGTCTTGTAAAATATATTAATAAAAATAATGATTGGTAAGAAGGAAAGCACCCTTGTCCACTTCTTTAGGGAATTCCTCTCTCACAGCTAATAAATCAGTCACTCCTATTGACTCTACCTCAGGAATAAATTTTCAGATTAACATCTCTTCCATATCCCTTTGATCAGTTGGGTAAGCCATTTTGACTCTCGGGAAGAAATTCACACAGGTTGCCTTATGAAAAGAGAGCTTACTATAAGGTAAAACATGGCCTGGAATTTGGGAGTCCCCAGGATTTGGAGCATGTCAAGGGAACAGCCATCCTCAATTTCTCTTCTAATGACCTACATAGGCTTCTCTGGCCACAGTTTACTACTGCCCTCTCCACTGCTCCCTTCTCTGTCTTTCAAGAAGCAAGCCAGATTGGTTCCTAATAGGTAAAACCTTTACAACCAAGCTGCTTTAGTGCTCCTGGTTAGCCTACAAATAAGCCATCTTTGAGTCAGGTGCTTATCCCTCATGCTCCCTTAGATGGGGCCATGGGTGAGACAATCGATGAGAGAAGGCATTGTGGCAGAACCACTTGGATCCACTCACCACAATTAATTCTTCATTTTGAGCATCTCATCTCTCCTGGTCTTCCACAACGACAGGTCAGTGGACATGCTAGAATCTGCCTAGAATTTATTCCCATCCAGCACCACCCACCCCAGGATATCATCCTTCATGATCTCATCCACATATCATCTTCTCTCTGTGGCCCTCGTCATTCTTCCTTGATTCCCTCATTTGTTCTAATTTCTTATATAACCCTACATTGTACTATGATTTACCCATTTACCTACCTATCTGGGACCCCAGAAATGCTTATATACATTCCTAAAGTTTATATAGAATCAAATATATATCTAAATTGATCTTCACAACATTATAAGGTAGATAGGTAATTTCCTTATCTAGAATATCTAAACAAATTTTACATATCTAACATGTGACAGAACCAATGTCTTTTCCCAATTGGATTTTCATCTAAGGCCACATCTTATTTCTTACATCCTGACTCCAAATATCACTGAAGCAACATTACAGAACTCCTAAGATAAAAGGATTTGATAAAAATATTATTCCCAGGCAGAGCACAATTTATTTCCAAAGATGCAGTAATTTTATTATGTAGCTTCTGTTTGGGAAAAATTTACCAAAAAACAAACAAACAAACAAACAAAAATCGAAATCAAAGGTAATGAAATCACAATTCAAGAGACTTGGTGAGAAAAACCACTGAATCTTAGCTAAAAAGATAAACTCTAATAAGAGACAGAAAGGCTGTTACTGACATGTCAAACTAATTGACATCATTGTTGAAACAAAATTAGAAAGCAGATAAAATACCAGGAAGCTAAAAAAAGCTCTTTGCCTTGTCTTCCAAGGAAGGAAGGTTTAAAAAGTAGCAAATAGGTATAAATCAGCAACTTTTGAGATTTCTTCTGATCATTACCCCTTTAAAAGAGATATAAGATTCTATGGCTCACTTTACCCTACGAAAAGAACCCAGGGTAGGGCAGGGGTCGGAATAGGGATCAGAGTGTAAAGGAATAAGCCAAGTGCATTTCAGAAAAACTTGTGAGCAATGTGTATGCATTAGCATCTCCAGTTAAGTCCAGTGATAGGGTAATTTTAATTTGTGAATGTCAATTGTTAATTATTCTCGATAACACCGAACTCTTGCAGCTGAGGCTCAATATACAGCCCCCAAGAAAGACCCTTATGACCCATCAATGGACAGACGATGGATGAAGCTGTAAGACTCTCTGGCAGAAGTAATTAAACATAAATTTAAAAAACACTTGTGAGATTTTTCCAGACAACTCACACTAGAATCTAAAATGGGTACATAAAATGTGAGAATAGAATCTTCCAAATTATATTTTAATAGGAAGTAAGTATTTGGAACAGCCAAATTTAGGATAATAGATATTAAATCAAGGGTAGAAATTATAAGAGTATATAATTGATTTTAATCTATTAGAAGATGAAGTCAAACATTGCATTTAAAAACATTTGGTGCAAAAAATTAACCTATTAAACAAGTAAAAGGAAAATCAATATTTTAAAGTAGACACTATGGCAAAAAGTATAGGAGAGATTCAGATTAACAAATTTATAATAATAAAATGCCCTGTCTAATTGATTATACATGATTAAACCACTGTGCTGAGCAGGCAAGTAACCAAAAACAAAAATCCAAAATTTTGAAAAATAAACAGAAGGAGCTTGACAAATTTAATTGTAAGGGAAAATTTTTAACTACTCCCCTGTCTTATAACTTACAATATGGCAAAGCAAAAAATTAACTCATAAACACACACACAAACACCTCTCTGCACATGGCAGGAAAGAAAAAAACTTCTTTTTGTCAATAATCATATAAATGAAATAAATATCATCTCAAAATGAAAACGTTAAACTTTTCAGACTATATTCTCTGAAAGTAAAAACAGACAATATATTTTATATTTACATAAAATCCCAAGAATTTAAAAACATTTCCCTAACTGGTGATTTGAGAAAGAAACAAGCCTATTTAAAGAATAACAGTTAAAAATGCTACAAATGATGAAATTTAGCCAAAGCAGTCTTTGACATAGTAAGAGCATTTAAACTTGTCAATAGAGAAATGAATAAATAAAGCATTCAACTAAGATTCCAGAAGAATCAAGAAAAGAACAAAAATCAACAAAACTAAGATGGAATAAGTAATTCTAGATTTTACATCATAAAAAAACTAAAAATCTAAAAAACAAAACTGCTGATAAATCTTTTAAAATATTAAAATAAGCTTAATAACACATAAAATAAAAATGTGTTACACCAACATAATTCCTTGTAAGAAAAATAGAAAACCTTGATGAAATGTACAATTTTGAAAAAATAACCATAATAAAAATTGGTAAAAATTAGTAAAATTAGTAAAAATTAGTGCTTGTTTCATAAGCAAAAGTGAAACAATTTTTGTTTAGGAAATTCTACAAAAATATACCTTTTCTGACATAAATAACATTACATATATATATAATGTACATACCTATATACATTCGTAAATTAACATGTGAAAAAAATTGCCATAATTGATCTGCTGTAACCTAGGCCAGATAAAAATTTTAAAATTTTGAGAGAGATAAATATTAAATACAGAGACCAACTCTCAACTGTATAGGCTAAAATTGATAAAGACTGTCTTGTTTTCCTTTAAGTTAATTTTCACACTTAACAAAATGCCAATACTTTTAAATCTCAACAGAAATTTTCTGAGAAGTAAACAAAATAATTCTAAAATTTACCAGGCAAAATAAAAGAGAAAAAAAAAAGGTAAACATATTGTCTAAGAAAAATCATTAGAATTACAAAAATCTAACAGACTGTCTAAAAATTACAAAATAGCAATAATGAAGATAATAACATTTCCAAATCAGAGACATAGATCAATTGCATTTGATACTATTTTCCTACCTGGAAAATACCCCTCACCTTTCTTTGCCTGGCTTTCCCCTGCTCACTTTCTAAGATTTTGCTGAGATATGTCCCTTCAAGAAGGCTTCTCTGGCCCGGCGCTGTGGCTCACGCCAGTAATCCCAGCACTTTGGGAGGCCGAGGCGGGTGGATCACGAGGTCAGGAGATTGAGACCATCCTGGCTAACACGGTGAAACCCCGTCTGTACTAAAAATACAAAAAATTAGCCGGGCGTCGTGGCGGGCGCCTGTAGTCCCAGCTACTCGGGAGGCTGAGGCAGGAGAATGGCGTGAACCCAGGAGGCGGAGCTTGCAGTGAGCCCAGATCGCGCCACTGCACTCCAGCCTGGGCGACAGAGCGAGACTCTATCTCAAAAAAAAAAAAAGAAGGCTTCTCTGACTTGTTCCGTTAATAGATCAAGTAAAACTTTCCCTGTACTTTGAGGGCACACTGGACAACCATGATAGAGGGCAACCTCTATCACGGTTGACATCGTACTGAAGCAACCTATTCATTCTTCTGTTTAGCCTACTAGAATACGGCTCAAGATCAGATGCACGGCTTCCTCACTATTTTATCACTCAAGCCTAGCAGAGTGCAAGGCGTCTAAACTGAAATCGTTGAATTGAAGAGACCAGAAAACCCAGAAATAGACTCAAGTGAATATAAGAATTCATCATCTATCAATTTATCAGTTCAATCTACCGCTTATTCTTAAACACTCCAAGACAGAGAGCAAGAACAAGATGGTGGTCTCTGTACTCAGCTTACAAACGGGCAATCTCACAAAGAAACAAACAGTTGCAAGTGTGAAATAAGCAGTGATCCAGGAGAACATAGTTCTCCAGGGAAGCTGATAGCTGGAACACCATTACAAACCAAGGGAAGAGGTAGTGATTACTTGATTGTTATTAGGAAAACCGATCCGCAGCGTCCTTGGTGAGGTTGAGGAGGCTTCAGAGTCACCCCTTAAATTAACTCCAGTGGACCAGAGTCAAATGTTTGTTCATCTGGCATCTATTGAATGCCTATTCCCTTATAAATAAATAACACACTCTCTTTACTCTTGAATAAATATCTCAGAGCCTAATGAGGTAAACAAGGACCTAAAATGATCACTTATAACATAGTATGAGCTGTGAATAAAAGACAAAATAATAGGCCATGGAATAACAACCTACTTAGGATCTGTGGAAGAATGACAAGGAAAATCTCAAAAAGGAAAAACTGGCACATTCATGCATATGCAATTCCTTTTCTCTCTTTTTTTGAGACAGAGTCTCGCTCTGTCGCCCAGGCTGGAGAGCAGTGGAAGGATCTTGGCTCAATGCAACCTCCACCTCCCAGGTTCAAGCAATTGTCAAGCCTCAGCCTCTCGAGAGAGTAGCTGAAGCTACAGGCATGTACCACCACACTCAGCTAAACTATTGTATTTTTAGTAGAGATAGAGTTTCATCATGTTGGCCAGGCTGGTCTTGAACTCCTGACTTCAGGTGATTCGCCCGCCTTGACCTCCCAAAATGCTGGGATTACAGGCATGAGCCATGGCACCCAGCCCATATGCAATTCTTAAGTTCTTTCATCACTCGTCCCACTCCCACAAATAAGAGAACCTTAAATAATAATAATCAAGTAAATAGGAGAAATGGTTAGAAATTACGAACTTTGATGAGTTAATGCAAATTAATTCTTATTAACCCATCAAGATATCAATACATATATGAACAAAGGAGATAAGCACATAATGCACACAAGTGAAAATGTACATTGTTTCCATTCTAGAGCACTGGAAGATAGCACAATTAATAACCACTTTTCAAGAAAAACAATATTTTCTTGATTTTAAGATGCAATATGATTTTACGAATGGTAAAAAACCCAACTTCGACTCTACCAAATAAAATGTGGTTAAATCTATCAAATAAATGTGGTGAAACCATGGTCATACCCTTGCAGAAAAAAACAATAGGATTTAAGTGAGCTGTTTTTCCTCAACCTATCAGACTGTTTAAATAGTGACTTTATGGAGGGCAACGTAATAAGGCCGTTTTATACCATATGTTTAGACCTGAAAAGAACCTGTAAGGTAGGCAGCATTTTCCCCGTCTTAGAGAAATCGTGCTCAAAGAAATTAAGAAACTTGCCTAAAGTAATTCTACTAGCAAATGGCAGAGCTTAGTATTAACTTCAAAATAATTCCTCCCATTATTTGAAGTTGTCTACCTTTCCTGTCAAAATGCAGTAAGACAAACATTTGCCCACTGATGCAATGGGCACTGGTATATTCTTTCAGAAAGTAATTGGTCAGTATTTTTAAATAGTCATAAAAATGTTTATACAACTTCACCTAGTAAACCTATTTTCAAAATTCATCCGGGCAACAATATTTAAATAGGAAAATGTTGTTAGTAGTAGCAGTGTGCACTGTAGCAGAATTTAAAGATGGGAAAACTTAGCAATGCTTCCTAATCAGACGAAGGAGAAGGCCAACTAGATTATGGTTATTTTAAATTTATGGAATATCACGCTGCCTTTAAAAAAGATTTGTGAGGATTTAATTTCAGTATGGCAAAATTTGATGTTAAATATGTAAAAGTGATGTGCACACATGAATCAAGACTGCTAGGGAAACTGAAAGATGAAGCAAGTTGATTTGGATGGTGATATTGTAGGTATTTCTTATCATTTTTGTGTTTATAATATTTGTATAATAAAACATTTTCAAAAAAGACTAGTATCTTTTATTTTTCTACAAAATGGAATTAGTGGCACATACTTTGACCCTACAAATAATCCTCATGAAGAAAAATTCATAAACCTAAAATTGTTTAACACAGTATAAAAAAATTGGAATTTTCCTTTTTTTCCCCAACAACAGTAACAATAAGTAAACAAATTATGGTACACCCAATCAATGAAATAAATATTAAAGTAATTTTGGAACTCATGGAAAAATGTCATGTTTAAATAAGTTTAAAATACCTAGAATTACATGAAAGATCATTACATTTATGTTTTAGTCAGTTTGATATCCTGTAATAAAGTACTGAAGAACAGGTAGCTTAAAAGCAACACAAATTTATTTCTCACAGTTCTGGAGACTGGAAGTCACAGATCAGGGTCACGTTCTGGTGAGGGCCCTATCCAGGTAGCAGGCTGACAACTTATTGTATCCTCCCATGGCAGAAAGAGAGCAAATGATTTCTCTGTGGTCCCACTTAAAAGAGCACTAATCCTATTCACGAGGGCCCTACCCACATGACTTAATCATTTCTCAAAGACACCACTTCCTACTACCACCACATTGGGGCTTAGATTTCAACATACAAATTTGGGGGGAACACAAACTTTCAGTACCTTGCAAGCTATGTGAAAAAATATATATATTTAAGGATAAGGATCACTGATCATTTTAAATGATGGCATTAATATGAATCAGGCTGTTTATTTTTGTTTTTCTAAGTAGAGTTAGTTTATTACCATTAATTTTATAAAATGGATGAACAAAAATCATTTTTAACCTTGGCTTTAAAAATTATTTAATTTGTAATTTTCAGTTCTTTTATTCAAGTCTACCAATGAGTCAAATTTGAAAAGACTTCTGAACACAGAGAATACCTGGGGATTTAAGGTTGCTTCTCCTTCTATTCCACAGAAGAATAAAACCTTTGAAAATGTTCTGCTGGCCTCTGTGATGGCTACAAAGCTCTACTACAGATTTGACATCAAAGGACAAGCCACACATCTAAACTAAGTTTGGGCAACAAGGTGGTAGGAGCTTAGCTCCCCTACTGGATTTCAGGCAAGGGCTAGGTGAGAAAGGCCCCAACCCTTCCCCCTTTTAAGAGACATGAAGAGAAACCAAAGAAAATTTAACCACAACTGGAAAGGGATAGCTGCCTATAAATTGTGACTGTAATAACTGATGTAGTCAGGTCTTGGACATCCTTTCTGACCATTGTTACCTTTCATTCACTTTCATTCCTCAAACTCCCATAACTACTCCTCCTGTCTCAACATTCCAGGTTTGTTTTGTTAAACCTTGCAATTATTGCAAGTTAAACCTTGCAATTCTAATTCCAAATGGTTTCATACAGATTAGTACATCTTAAATCCATCCTTTCCATGATTTCTACACTTCATAACCTACGTCCCCTCCAAAATCTAACTGATCTTGCTGCTCTCTATAAGACCCCTTCACAGATAATCTACCAAGGCCCCCAAAATTCTATAATCAACCCCTTCTCCAGTTCAGTTACCATACAGTCCAGACAGTTACCACAGGGGTCCTTCTCTACTCTTTAAAAGCTAAATAACTGATACACTATAATCTGGCCCAACTAGCTCATCTTTTTTTAATTTTTCTCCTCCAGCCAAATGGGTATTCTCCAACCAAATTATGCCCTGTAAGAGGAAAGACTTAACACAGAGTAATGGATACAGTGAGGAAAGGTATTGGTTATGTTGTCAGCTAAACCTGTGTATTAGTCCATTCTCACACTGCTATTAAGAAATAACCATGACTGGGTAATTTATAAAGGAAAGAGGTTTAATTGACTCACCCTTCCACAGGGCTAAGGAGGCCTCAGGAAACTTACAATCATGGCAGAAGGGGAAGCAAACATGTCCTTCTTCAGATGGTGGCAGCAAGGAGAAGTGCCAAGCAAAAGGGAGAAAAGCCCCCTATGAAACTATCAGATCTCGTGAGAACTCACTATCACGAGAACAGCATGAGGGTAACCTCCCCCATGATTCAATTACCTCCCACGGGGTCTCTCCCACCACATTTGGGGATTATGGGAACTACAATTCAAAATGAGATTTGGGTGGGGACACAGCCAAACCATATCAACCTGTGTCTAACCTAGACCAGTGTTTAAGACCACGTTCCCTCCTATAGAATGCCTCCAAGTTCTGATCTCAATAACCTGGGCTCCTGACACCTTCAACCATCCCCACTCAGTGTTTAAATTCAGTTTTCTTTAGCACTGTGTGTATAGTTTGCTCTCTTCCTTGAGGAAGGAAACATTCCTTCTCTTCATGCCCTTTTTTTTTTTTCTCCTGAATCTTGCCACTCTGGACCTACCAAAACTGTCAGATCTTTCCTATTTGTAGGAAAGGTCATTTATAATATACACAGACCCAAAAGTATTCTCTCAATCCTGCCCACCTCAAGAAACTCACCAACCAAATTTTTTTTTTTTTAAACAGGGTCTCGCTCTGTCACCCAGAGTTGGAGTGCAGTGGAACAATCACTGCTCACTGTAACCACTGCCTGCCAAGTTCAAGTCATCCTCCCCTTGGCCTCTCAAGTAGCTGGGACCACAAGCATGCACCACCACACCCGAGTAATTTTTGTATTTTTTGTAGAGAGGGAGTTTCACTATGTTGCCCAGGCTGGTCTTGAACTCCTGGGCTCAAGCGATCTGCCTGCCTCGGCCTCCCAAAGTGCTGGCATTACAGGCGTGAGCCACCGTGCCTGGCCTCACCACCCAAATTCTTAAAATCATAGTCTATGTTTACTTTTTCACCATTTGCACACTTAAAGATATCCTCCAATCTAATCATTGTCCCTACCTCTAATATAATATGGTTCTCTAAAGTCACCACTGACCTCCTAAATGGTCAAATCAGAAGGTTTTCCAATGGCCATGTCTCCATTTTGACACAATCTAGTCCGAAATTCAGGTTGTAGTAGACTCTGTTGGTGGCCTCCTCAGCATCCATTTACCCATCCTGTTTCCTTACAGAACCCATCTGGATGAGGCACCCACCCTGTTCCCATGACATCCACGTAACTCAGGGAAAATAAAATGTTATCCATAAACAATAGACACATGAAAGCACTCATGCTTCTTTGGCTTTTGTTTTCCATTTTGAGAAAAATTTGCTGATTGCCTGGCATCCCAGACAGATCTCTGACATATGTGTTACGATTGCATAGTTAATTCTATTCCTTCTGACAGTTATATTATGATTCTGATAGCTACAAAAACAGTGTCTTAGAGAAATCAAAGAGGGCCCACTCCCCAGCTTCTCAGTCACAAGGATAAGTTTCTAATACCAACATCTCGTCATGTCTTTCTCCTTACCTATTGCTATGGTTTGAATATTTGTTCCTTTCAAAACTCATGTTGAGATTTATTCCCGAGTCATAAAACAAGACTAAGATTTTCAATAGATTAAAATTTAAAAAAAAAGAAATACATTCCCCAACATGATAGTACTGAGAGGAAGGGCCTGTAAGAGATGATTGGATCATGAGGGTTCTGACCTCATAAATGGATTAGCAAATTAATGAGTTTTTATGAAAGGAGAACTGGTGGCTTTATAAGAAGAGGAAGAAAGTGGTGAACTGACTTGGGAGGCTGAGGTGGGAAGATCATTTGAGCCCAGAAGATTGCGGCTGCAGTGAGCTGTGATTGTGCCACTGCACAATCACCAGCCTGGGTGACAGAGTGAAACCTTGTCTCAAAAAAGAAAAGAAAGAGGAAGCAAAATAAAAAAAAAAAAGAGAAAGAAAAGAAAAGAAAAAGGAGAGAAAAGAAAGGGAAAGAAAAGAAAAAAGTCCTTAGCTGGCACACTGGGACACTCAGTCCCCTCACCATGTGATGCCCTGTGCCACTCTTCAGACAGTCCTCATCAACAAGAAGGCTCTCACCAGACGCAGCCCCTTGACCGCCTTGGACTTCTCAGCACCCGTAACTGTAAGCAATAAAGTCTTCTTCTTATAAATTACCTAGTGTCAGATATTCTGTTGTAAGCAACAGAAACTGAACTACTATGCCTATTAATTCTTTCTTCAGGTCTTGGGGCTCCTGTAATGTCTTTCCCAGCTCTTGGCCATCAATCATTCTTTGCTATACAAGATTGGTGACACAAGAGCAGTGACATTCTTTTTATATTATTCTTTTACTGCCTCTGTCAAAATACATTTTCACATGCATTGCCAAATAATCTTTTAAATTACCTTTTAAATTACAAGACACCTATATCATCTTGCAAACAGAGAAACTAAGTCCCAGAGAGACTTAGTGATTATCCAAGTTGGCATGTGTAAAGCAGCGGAGGCAGATTTGGAATCTGTTCAGTGCTTCTATATTTACTGAACACTGACCATGTGACAGGGATTCCAAGGGCTAGCATTCCTTAAAAACTATTGATGTGGCATGAATAAAAGAAATTCAACCTTGTTTCCAGTATGGTCACTAGTTACATGACTGTGAAAAGCCTTGAGCCTCAGTTCCTTCTCCTCTGTAAAATGAAAGTGTCAGATGAATGATCTCTGCCAGCCCTCACATCTGGTGATTTTACATGGTGCTCTGTGAACTACATATCATCAGAGTAACCAGTGCTGAATCTTGAACAAAAGTAGCTCATTCATTCATTGCCCAAGTATTGAACACATACTGAGTGCTGGCCATTCTTCTATGTGTTTGAGGATTATAACAAACAAGGTAGGCATGGCCTCCACCATCATGGAGTTTACAATCTAATGGAAAGAGGCAATATAAAAATATACCAGCAATCAATCAAGATAACTTCTGGACAATGAAAAGTACAGTAAAAGAATTAAACCCCTCCCTGAGGAGGTGACATCTGAGATTTGATGGGTAGAAGTCAGGCACACAGACATTTAGGAGAAAAGTATTCAAGCAGAGAGAATGGAAAGTTCTTAGAAAAACGTAGCAGGTAATTAGTTTCATTACTTAGAAAGACCGTACATTCAAATGCTTTGCTCATCTTCATTTTCTTCTGTGAATTAGACATGTGAGATGCAGTTGTTGCCTTTCACCTGCTGGGAGAGTGTGAATATTAATCTGTTCTCCAGGAAAGAAGAACACTTTTTAGGTGCTAAACACAGCTTCTGTAATTGACCATCAAGGACAATAATAAAAGAATCAAAACATACACAGAGTGCTGTTGAGGCCAACAAGAAGGGAGAGAAAGAGGTCCTTTGAAGTTTACAAGAAGAAGGAGGAAGACAGAAGTCACTAGTAGCAGACATTTCACACCACACCAAGATAGAGGCCAGAACTTCATAAGCCAAGATTTAGTAAACACCATGGATTGCCAAGGGTGGCTGGACTCTGGGACCAGAATCTCCCACATCAGGAGAAAGTCTTGCACTTCAAAGTCTGGTCAAGGTGATGTAATGAGCTTATATCTCAAGGCCTGCTCTCTGCTTTAACCACAAATCAAAATTAAATATAAAAAGAGGAAAAATATAAAAAGAGATAAAATGGTCTCTAAAATGAGATAAACATAGTGAAAAGCAAACACTGATGAAAATGCCAAGTGTGTAAGGCTAAGGCTGCAGGGCTGCTGGGGACCAGGACTAGGAGCTGGCAGAGGTTGCCTGAGGGCAATATGCTCACCATTTATCACTGAGGACACGACAGAGGAGAGCGGCAGAAAGCGCCTGAGCCCCTGCTTCCTACTGCTGCACCTACACAACAGGTAAAGAGAAGCTCCCCGCCTACAGCAGAGATTAGACACAGCCTCATTACCTGCTCCTGGAAGGATACAGAATTTCCTCCACATTGCTCAGGAGAAAGAGCCTTAGTAAGTAATATAAAACCTGGCTCTGGACAAAGGCCTATTGGGGACCTAAGAAAAAGACAGATAAAAAATCACTTGAGTCAGAGAAAATCATCAAAACAAAAATCTGAAACAGGAAAAATATCTAAAACATATACAAGAAACTAATACCAAGATAAGCAAATGGTAATTCAGCAATGACACATTCAATCCATAAGAATTAATGTTATAGAGGAGTCTGAAAAGGACTTTAAAATCCTCAAAGGAAAAATGAAAGATAAACATGCTTTAAAATAGAAAACAATTATAAAAGAAAAAGAAAAATTCCAGCTGGGTGCGGTGGCTCACGCCTGTAATCCCAGCACTTTGAGAGGCTGAGGCGGGTGGATCACAAGGCCAGGAGTTCGAGACCAGCCTGGCCAACATGGTGAAACCACATCTCTACTAAAAATACAAAAATTAGCTGGGCATGATGACGCGTGCCTGTAATCCCAGCTACTCGGGAGGCTGAGACAGGAGAATCGCGGGAAACTGGGAGGTGGAGGTTGCAGTGAGTCGAGGGTGCAGCCAGTCGAGATCAGGCCACTGCACTCCAGCCTGGGTGACAGAGCAAGACTCCGTCAAAAAAAAAAAAAGGAAGAAAAATTCCTCCCCTCTCTCACACATATATAGGATATAGGATAGATGAGTAGATAGTATCAGGTAAAATTTTTGTAAATAAAAAACGCAGTCTCTGAAATTAACAGTTAACAGAATAAACTCTGGAATGGAATTTACCCAGTCAAAAAGGAAATCAGTAAATTAGAGAACAGTATTGAAGAATTCACTAAAATACAACATGAAAAAAGGGAATAACAATGTTTAAAGTATTACGAAGATTAGATTCAGAGGACCGATATGCATCTAACTGGAGTTTCAGAAAAACAGAAGGGGAAATGTTAAATAAGCAATATTTTAAAAGATATACACTAAGGATTTTCTAAAATAAAAAATATGCAAGGAGTCTCAGTGTAAACAGACACTGAGCAAGATAAAAATTAATTCATATATAGATATATTGAACTAAAACTGCAGAAATCATGGATACAGAAAAAAAAATCTTAAAAGCTACCTGAGGAAGGAAAAAAGAGTTACAACCAAGAAGGCATAATAACAATGATAAACACTATCAGCTTATGTCATTTAAAGTGCCAGTGGAACATAATTAGTAATACAAAATTATATACACATTTAAACTATCATTAGCGAGAGGGCAGGAGAAAATGAATATAAATGTTTCTACATAAAATGACTGAGAGGATAGGAAACCCTCTAGAAGACCTCTCTAAAAAAATCCCAGCAAATTATGATGAAAATTTACCCTTGGAGGAGGAAAGAATTGGTAAGACAGTACGAAAAAAAGTAACAAACAATATATGAGTTTTTGTAAAGTAGTAAGAGTACAGATTAAAACCAACATATATTAGTAACTATAAATTACTCCAATTAAAAATTAAGATTCTCAGTTTAAATTTAAATATATATTTACATACATATACAGAATATATATTTACATATGTACATGTGTGTATACATATTTACATGTGTACATATGTGTGTGTATATATTTACATATATACATATGTGTATATATACATATATGCAATACATGTGTATATATACATACCTTGTAAGCAGTCTGTGTATATGTGTGTATATATACACACATACACATATATACACATATATACACACATATATACACACATATATACACATATATATACACATATATACACATATATATACACACATATATATACACATATATATACACACATATACATACACATATATATACACACATATACACAGACTGCTTACAAGATAGATATATTAAATATAAGGATAAGAAAAGTCAAAGTTAAAAGATGGAGAAAGGTATTGCATGCACAAACTTTCCAAAGGTAGATAGTATCAATCTTATAGTATCAGACAAAGTAGACTTTAAGACAAGTATAATTCAACATAAAAGGGATATTTTTAAATAATACATGAGTCAATGCAAGCAAAACATAGCAGTTAAAAAATTTCACCAATGATTTACCTTCAATATATAAAAAGCAAAACTTAATTGCCAGGATTCAAAAAAAAAAAAAAAAGAAAAGAAAAAACATAACAGAGGTGGTGTAAAAACATCTGCTTCAGAAACTGAGTTAACGAGCCTATTTTTAAAAATCAGTAAGGATACAGAAGTTTTGAACAGCACTATTAATTAACTCGATGTATTTGACAGAGATGGAACATTTTACCTAACAATTATAGAATGTATTTTCTTTTCAAATTTACCTGGGAATGTACAAAAGAGAACCATTTTCTGGGCCGTAAAGAAAGAGTATAGTTAAGCTAGAATTAAAAAAATAAAACTATATATATATATATAATATATATATATAATATATATATACATATATGTGTGTGATATATATATTCACACTTATATAGGTATTATGTATTTACACATATCTAGGTATAGTCGGATACAGACATAAACACATATACAAAATTGAATCCTCAACTAATTGGAAATTAACAGAACTTTTTTTAAGTTGAGGGATACACGTGCAGGTTTGTTAGCTAGGTAAACCTGTGTCATGGGGGTTTGTTGTACAGATTATTTTTATCACCCAGGTATTAAGCATAGCATTCATTAGTTATTTTTCCTGATCCTCTACCTCCTCTTTAGTTTAATTAGATCCCATTTGCCAATTTTAACTTCTGTTGCACATGCTTTTGGCATCTTTGTCATGAAATCTTTGCCTGTTCTCCTATGTCTTGGATGGTACTGCCTAGGTTATCTTCTAGCATTTTTATATTATATTTCTGGGGTTTACATTTATGTCTTTAACTCATCTTGAGTTAGTTTATGTATATGGTGTAAAGAAGGGGTCCATATGACTTCATAATGACTCAAAGATTAGAAAATATTTTCACCTGAATAACAAGAATATGAGAATCAACAAATGATGCTGGAACAGCTAGATATCTCTATTCGTTTTAAAAGAGGAGAGGAGTCGCTTCCAAGATGGCCGAATAGAAACAGCTCCAGTCTACAGCTCCCATTGAGGTTGATGCAGAAAACGGGTTATTTCTGCATTTTCAACTGAGGTACCTGGTTCATCTCATTGGGACTGCTTGGACAGTGGGTGCAGCCCATGGAGAATGAGCAGGGCAGGACGCCGACTCTCTCAGGAAGCACAAGGGGTTGAGGGATTTCCCTTTCCTAGACAAGGGAAGCTGTGAATGACTGTACCTGGAGGAATGGTGCAGCCCAAATACTGCACATTTCCCATGGTCTTTGCAACTGGTAAACCAGGAGATTGCCTCCCGTGACTGGCTCAGTGGGTTCCATGCACACAGAGCCTTGCTCCCTTCTAGCACAGCAGTCAGAGATCGAACTGGGATGCCCCAGCTTGGCCGGGGGAGGGGCATCTGCCATTGCTGAGGCTTGAGTAGGTGGTTCAATGCTCATGGTATAAACAAAGCAACAGGGAAACTCCAACTGGGTGGAGCCCACCATAGCTCAGCAAGGCCTACTGACTCTAGATTCCACCTCTAGGGGCAGGGCATATCTGGACAAAAGGCAGCAGACAGCTTCTGCAGACATAAACATCACTGCTTGACAGCTCTGAAGAGAGCAATGGTTCTCTCAGCATGGCGTTTGAGCTCCGATAATGGACAGACTGCCTTCTCAAGTGGGTCCCTGATCCCCGTGTAGCCTGACTGGGAGACACCTCCCAGTAGGGGCCGACAGACCCTCATACAGGCAGGTGCCCCTCTGGGATGAAGCTTCCAGAGGAAGGATCAGGCAGCAATATTCACTGTTTTGCAGCCTCTGCTGATGATACCCAGGCAAACAGGGTCTGGAGTGGACCTCCAGCAAACTCCAACAGAATGGCAGCTGAGAGGCCTGTTAGAAGGAAAACTAAAAAACAGAAAGGAATCAAATCAACATCAACAAAAAGGACATCCACATCAAAACCCCATCTGTAGGTCACCAACATCAAAGAACAAAGGGAGATAAAACCACAAAGATGGGGAGAAACCACAGAAGAAAGGCTGAAAATTCCAAAAAACAGAATGCCTCTTCTCGTCCAAAGGAACACAACTCCTTCCCAGCAAGAGAACAAAACTGGATAGAGCATGACTTTGAAGAGTTGACAGAAGTAGGCTTCAGAAGGTCAGTAATAACAAACTTCTCTGAGCTAAAGGAGCATGTTCTAACCCATCGCAAGGAAGCTAAAAACCTTGAAAAAAAGGTTAGATGAATGGCTAACTAGAATAACCAATGTAGAGAAGACCTTAAATGACCTGATGAGGCTGAAAACCACAGTTCAAGAACTTTGTGAAGCATACACTAGCTTCAATGGCCGATTCGATCAAGTGAAAGAAAGGATATCAGTGATTGAAGATCAAATTAATGAAATAAAGTGAGAAGACAAAATTGAGAAAAAAGAGTGAAAAGAAATGAACAAACCCTCCAAAAAATACGGGAGGATGTGAAAAGACAAAATCTGCATTGGATTGGTGTACCCAAAACTGATGGGGAGAATGGAACCAAGTTGGAAAACACTCTTCAGCATATTATCCAGGAGAGCTTCCCCAACCCAGCAACACAGGCCAACATTCAAATTCAGGAAACACAAAGATACTCCGCGAGAAGAGCAACACCAAGACACATAATTGTCAGCTTCACCAAGGTTGAAATGAAAAAAAAAAAAAAAAGTTAAAGGCAGCCAGAGAGAAAGGTCGGGTTACCCACAAAGGGAAGCCCATCAGACTAACAACAGATCTCTTGGCAGAAACCCTACAAGCCAGAAGAGAGTGGGGTCCAAACTTCAACATTCTTAAAGAAAAGAATTTTCAACCCAGAATTTCATATCCAGACAAACTAAGTTTCACAAGTGAAGAAATAAAATCCTTTACAGACAAGCAAATGCTGAGAGATTTTGTCACCACTAGGCCTGCCTTACAAGAGGTCCTGAAGGAAGCACTAAACATGGAAAGAAACAACTGGTACCAGCGACTGCAAAAACATGGCAAATTGTAAAGACTATGGACGTTATGAAGAAACTGCATAAATTAACGGGCAAAATAAGCAGCTAGCATCATCATGACAGGATCAAATTCACATATAACAATATTAATCTTAAACGTAAATGAGCTAAATGCCCAAATTAAAAGACACAGACTGGCAAATTGGATAAAGAGTCAAGACTCATCTGCGTGCTGTATTCAGGAGACCCATCTCACATATACAGACACACATAGGCTCAAAACAAAGGGATGGAGGAAGATCTACCAAGCAAATGGAAAGCAAAAAAAAGCAGGGGTTGCAATCCTAATCTCTGATAAAACAGACTTTATACCAACAAAGATCAAAAGAGACAAAGAAGGCCATTACATAATGGTAAAGGGATCAAGTCAACAAGAAGAGCTAACTACTCTAAATATATATACACCCAATACAGGAGCACCCAGATTCATAAAGCAAGTCCTTAGAGACCTACAAAGATACTTAGACTCCCACACAATCATTAACACCCCACTGTCAATATTAGATCAACGAGACAGAAGGTTAACAAAGATATCCAGGACTTGAACTCAGCTCTGCACCAAGTGGACCTAATAGACATCTACAGAACTCTCCACCCCAAATCAACAGATAATACATTCTTCTCTGCACCACATCACACTCATTATAAAATTGACCACATAATTGGAAGTAAAGCACTCCTCAGCAAATGTTAAAGAGCAGAAATCACAACAAACTGTCTCTCAGACCACAGTGCAATCAAATTAGAACTCAGAATTAAGAAACTCACTCAAAATTGCACAACAACATGGAAACTGAACAATCTGCTTCTGAATGACTACTGGATAAATAATGAAATGAAGGCAGAAATAAAGATGTTCTTTGAAACCAATGAGAACAAAGGCATGATGTACCAGAATCTCTGGTATACATTTAAAGCAGTGTGTAGAGGGAAATTTATAGCACTGAATGCCCACAAGAGAAAGCAGGAAAGATCTAAAATTGATACCATAACATCACAATTTTAAAAACTAGAGAAACAAGAGCAAACAAATTCAAAAGCTAGTAGAAGACAAGAAATAACTAACATCAGAGCAGAACTGAAAGAGATAGAGACACAAAAAACCCTTCAAAATATCAATGAATCCAGGGGTGGGTTTTTTGAAGAGATCAACAAAATTAATAATCTACTAGCAAGACTAATGAAGAAAACAGAGAAGAATCAAAGAGACACAATAAAAAAATGATAAAGGAGATATCACCACTGATCCCACAGAAATACAAACTACCACCAGCGAATACTATAAACACCTCTACCCAAATAATCTAGAAAATCTAGAAGAAATGGATAAATTCCTGGACAATACACCCTCCCAAGACTAAACCAGGAAGCAGTTGAATCTCTGAATAGACCAATACCAATAACAGGCTCTGAAATTGAGGCAATAATTAATAGCCTACCAACCAAAAGAAGTCCAGGACCAGATGGATTCACAGCCGAATTCTACCAGAGGCACAAAGAGGAGCTGGTACTATTCCTTCTGAAACTAGTCCAATCGATAGAAAAAGAGGGAATCCTCTCTAACTCATTTTATGAGCCCAGAAACATCCTGATACTAAAGCCTGGCAGAGACACAACAACAAAAAAAGAGAATTTTAGACCAATATCCCTAATGAACATTGATACGAAAATCCTCAATAAAATACTGGGATACCAAATCCAGCAGCACATCAAAAAGCTTATCTACCACGATCAAGTCGGCGTCATCTCTGGGATGCAAGGCTGGTTCAACATATGCAAATCAATAAATGTAACCATCAGATAAACAGAACCAACAACAAAAACCACATGATTATCTCAATAGATGCAGAAAAGGCCTTCAACAAAATTCTACATCCCTTCATGCTAAAAACTCTCAATAAACTAGGTATTGATGGAATGTACCTCAATATAATAAGAGCTATTTATGACAAACCCACAGCCAATATCATACTGAATGGGCAAAAACTGGAAGCATTCCCTTTGAAAACCTGCACAAAACAAGGATGCCCTCTCTCTCATCACTCCTATTAAACATAGTGTTAGAAGTTCTGGACAGGGCAATCAGGCAAAAGAAAGAAATAAAGCATATTCAATTAGGAAAAGAGGAAGACAAATTGTCCCTGTTTGCAGATGACATGATTGTATGTTTAGAAAACCCCATGTCTCAGCCCAAACTCTCCTTAAGCTGATAAGCAACTTCAGCAAAGTCTGAGGATAAAAAATCAATGTGCAAAAATCACAAGCATTCCTATACTCCATTAACAGACAATCAGAGAGCCAAATCATGAGTGAACTCACATTCACAATTGCTACAAAGAGAATAAAATACCTAGGAATCCAACTTACAAGGGATGTGAAGGACCTCTTCAAGGAGAACTACAAACCACTGCTCAACAAGATAAAAGAAGACAAAAACAAATGGAAGAACATTCCATGCTCATGGGCAGGAAGAATCAATATAGTGAAAATGGCCATACTGCCCAAGGTAATTTATAGATTCAACGCCATCCCCATCAAGCTACCAATGACTTTCTTCACAGAATTGGAAAAAACAACTTTAAAGTTCATAGGGAACCAAAAAAGAGCCCACATTGCCAAGACAATCCTAAGCAAAAAGAACAAAGCTGGAGGCATCACGCTACCTGACTTCAAACTATACTACAAGGCTACAGTAACCAAAACAGCATGGTACTGGTACCAAAACAGATATATAGACCAATGGAACAGAACAGAGGCCTCAGAAATAACACCACACATCTACAACCTTCTGATCTTTGACAAACCTGACAGAAACAAGCAATGGGAAAAGGATTCCCTATTTAATAAATGGTGCTGGGAAAACTGGCTAGCAACAGGTAGAAAGATGAAAGTTGATCCCTTCCTTATACCTTTCACAAAAATTAACTCAAGATGGATTAAAGACTTAAATGTAAGAAATAAAACCATAAAAGCCCTAGAAGAAAACCTAGGCTATACCATTCAGGATGTAGGCATGGGCAAGGACCTCATGACTAAAACACCAAAAGCAATGGCAACAAAAGCCAAAATTGACAAATGGGATCTAATTAAATTAAAGAGCTTCTGCACAGCAAAAGAAAGTATCATCAGAGTGGACAGGCAACCTACAGAATGGGAGAAAATGTTTGCAATCTATCCATCTGACAAAGGGCTAATATCCAGAATCTACAAAGGACACAAAGAAATTTACAAGAAAAAAACAAACAACCTCATCAAAAAGTAGGTGAAGGATATGAACAGACACTTCTCAAAAGAAGACTTTATACAGCCAACAGACACATGAAAAAATGCTCATCATCACTGGTCATCAGAGAAATACAAATCAAAACCACAATGAGATACTATTGCACACCAGTTAGAATGGCGATCATTAAAAAGTCAGGAAACAACAGATGCTGGAGAGGATGTGTAGAAATAGAAATGCTCTTACACTGTTGGTGGGACTGTAAACTAGTTCAACCATTGTGGAAGACAGTGTGGCAATTCCTCAAGGATCTAGAACTAGAAATACCATTTGACCCAGCAATCCCATTACTGGGTATTTACCCAAAGGATTATAAATCATGCTACTATAAAGACACATGCACATGTATGTTTATTGCAGCACTATTCGCAATGGCAAACACTTGGAACCAACCCAAATGTCTATCAATGACAGACTGGATTAAGAAAATGTGGCACATATACACCATGGGATACTATGCGGCCATAAAAAAAGATGAGTTCATATCCTTTGCAGGGACATGGATGAAGGTGGAAACCATCACTCTCAGCAAACTATCACAAGGACAGAAAACCAACACCACATGATCTCACTCATAGGTGGGAATTGAACAATGAGAACACCTGGACACAGGGTGGGGAACATCCCACACCAGGGCCTGTTGGGGGGTGGGCGCTGGGGGAGGGATGGCACTAGGAGAAATACCTAATGTAAATAACGAATTCATGGGTGCAGCAAACAAACATGGCACATGTATACCAATGTATCAAACCTGCACATTGTGCACATGTACACTAGAACTTAAAGTGTATATATATATATATATATATACACACACACACACACACACACACATACACACACACATACATAAAGTCCAGGAACAGATGGATTCACAGCCAAATTCTACCAGAGGTACAAAGAGGAGCTGGTACCATTCCTTCTGAAACTATTCCAATCAACAGAAAAAGAGGAAATCCTCCCTAACTCATTTTATGAGCCCAGCATCATCCTGATACCAAAGCCCGGCAAAGACACAACAACAAAACAAGGATTTTAGGCCAATATCCCCGATGAACAACGATGTAAAAATCCTCAATAAAATACCAGCAGCACATCAAAAAGCTTATCCACCACGATCAAGTGGGCTTCATCCCTGGGATGCAAAGCTGGCTCAACACATGCAAATCAATAAACGTAATACATCACATAAACAGAACCAACAACAAAAACCACATGATTATCTCAATAGATGCAGAAAAAGCCTTCAATAAATTTCAACATCCCGTCATGCTAAAAACTCTCAATAAGCTAGGTATTGATGGAACATATCTCAAAATAATAAGACCTATTTATGACAAACCCACAGCCAATATCATACTGAATGGGCAAAAACTGGAAGCATTCCCTTTGAAAACCAGCATAAGACAAGGATGCGCTCTCTCACCATTCTATTTAACATAGTATTGGAAGTTCTGGCCAGGGCAATCATGCAATAGAAAGAAATAAAGGGTGTTCAATTAGGGAAAGTGGAAGTCAAATTGTCCCTGTTTGCAGATGACATGATTGTATATTTAGAAAACCCCATTGTCTCAGCCCAAAATCTCCTTAAGCTGATAAGCAACTTCATCAAAGTCTCAGGATACAAAATCAATGTACAAAAATCACAAACATTCCTATACACCAATAACAGACAAACGGAGAGCCAAATCATGAATGAACTCTCATTCACAATTACCACAAAGAGAATAAAATACCTAGGAATGCAACTTAAAAGGAATGTGAAGGACTTCTTCAAGGAGAACTACAAACCACTGCTCAATGAAATAAAAGAGGACAAAAACAAGTGGAAGAACATTCCATGCTCATGGATAAAAAGAATCAATATAGTGAAGGTGGCCACACTGCCAAGGTAATTTATAGATTCAATGCTATCCCCATCAAGCTACCAATGACTTTCTTCACAGAATTGGAAAAAACTACTTTAAAGTTCATAGGGAACCAAAAAAGAGCCTGAATTACCAAGACAATCTTAAGCAAAAAGAACAAAGCTGGAGGCATCATGCTACCTGACTTTAAACTGTACTACAAGGCTAGAGTAACCAAAACAGCATGGTACTGGTACCAAAACAGATATACAGACCAATGGAACAGAACAGAGGCCTCAGAAATAACACCACACATCTACATCCATCTGATCTTTGACAAACCTGACAGAAACAAGCAATGGGAAAAGGATTCCTTATTTAATAAATGGTGCTGGGAAAACTGGCTAGCCATATGTAGAAAGCCGAAACTGGATCCCTTCCTTATACCTTACACAAAAATTAACTCAAGATGGATTAAAGACTTAAATGCAAGAAAAAAAAACCCATAAAAACCCTAGAAGAAAACCTAGGCAATACCATCAGGACATAGGCATGGGCAAGGACTTCATGAGTAAAACGCCAAAAGCAATGGCAACAAAAACCAGAATAGACAAATGGGATCTAATTAAACTAAAGAGCTTCTGCACAGCAAAAGAAAGTATCATCAGAGTGGACAGGCAACCTACAGAGTGGGAGAAAATGTTTGCAATCTATCCATCTGACAAAGGGCCAATATCCAGAGTCTACAAAGAATTCAAGCAAATTTACAAGAAAAAACAAACAACCCCATTAAAAAGTGGGTGAAGGATATGAACAGACACTTCTCAAAAGAAGACATTTATGCAGCCAAAGACACATGAAAAAATGCTCATCATCACTGGTCATTAGAGAAATGCAAATTAAAACCACAATGAGATACCATCTCACACCAGTTAGAATGGTGATCATTAAAAAGTCAGGAAATAACAGATGCTGGAGAGGATGTGTAGAAATAGGAATGCTCTTACACTGTTGGTGGGAGTGTAAATTAGTTTGACCATTGTGGAAAACAGTGTGGTGATTCCTCAAGGATCTAAAACTAGAAATACCAGTTGACCCAGCAATCCCATTACTGGGTATATACCCAAAGGATTATAAATCATGCTACAATAAAGACACATGCACACGTATGTTTATTGTGGCACTATTCAAATAGCAAAGACTTGGAACCAACCGAAATATCCGTCAATAATAGACTGGATAAAGAAAATGTGGCACATATACACCATGGAATACTATGCAGCCATAAAAAAGGATGAGTTCATGCCCTTTGCAGGGACATGGATGAAACTGGAAACCATCATTCTGAGCAAACTATCACAAGGACAGAAAACCAGACACTGCATGTTCTCACTTATAAGTGGGAGTTGAACAATGAGAACACGTGGACACATGGAGGAGAACATCACACACCAGGGCCTGTTGCGGGGTGGGGGCCTGGGGGGAGGCATGGCATTAGGAGAAATATCTAATGTAAATGACGAATTGATGGGTGCAGCAAACCAACGTGGCACATGTATACCTATGTAACAAACCTGCACGTTATACACATGTACCCTAGTACTTAAAGTATAATTTTAAAAAAGAGGGAAAATGGACACCTACCTCACACTAAATACAAACATTAATTCAAAATGTGTCATAGACTTAAAGGTAAGCTCTAAAACGATAAAACACTTAGAAGAAAACATAGAAATCTTTGTGACCTTGAGTAAGGCAATTGTTTCTTAGAGATGACACCAAAATTACATGTAACAGAGACAACAGTAAATAGAAAACATCAAGATTTAAAACATTTGTGCTTCGAAGTCACCATCAAGAAAACGAAAGGACAAACTACAGAACCAAAGAAAACATTTACAATTTACTTATCTGTTATACAGGTGCTTTATATACCGATATACATATACTTGTATAAAGGACTATTACAACTCAAAAATAAAAAGACATCTCAATTAAAAATGGGTAAAGGATTTAAATTCACATTTCCTTCAAATAACATATACAAATGTCCAATAAGCACTTATTGGACATTTGAAAAGATGCTCAATATCATTAATCATTAGGAAAATGCAAATAAACAATGAGATACAACTTCACACCCACTAGGATGGTTATAATCAAAAACAAAAACAGCAAGTGTTGGTGAGGAGGTGGCAAAACTAAAATTCTCATATGATGCTAGAGGGATTGTAAATAGTGTACCTACTTTGGAAACTATATTGGCATTTCTTAGTAGAGTCATTCATATGATGCCATTTGAAATTGGAATACATTCTTAAATGTGATTATGTTACACATCATTTTAATGGGCATCTCTCGCTTCATTTTATTTTTATTTTTTTGCTAACGACTTATTACTTGCTGTTTATTATATGTTTATTTTAATCTATGGAAATGACATTAGACAAAAAGTAAATTCGAGTGATTTTCTTATTTGAGTTCAAAATGGGTCATAAAGCAGCGGAGACAACTCGCAACATCAACGACTCATTGGCCCAGGAACTGCTAACGAAGGTACAGTGCAGTGGTGGTTCAAGAAGTTTTGCAAAGGAGACAGAGCCTTGAAGATGAGGAGCATAGTGATCGGCCATCGGAAGTTGATAAGACCAATTAAGAGCATTCATCAAAGCTGATCCTCTTGCAGCTACAGGAGAAGTTGCCAAAGAACTCATCGTTGACCATTCTATGGTTGTTCAGCATTTGAAGCAAATCGGAAAGGTAAAAAAGCTCATTAACTGGGTGTCTCATGAGCTGAGCGAAAATCTTTCAAAAAAGTGTTGTTTTAAAGTGTCATCTTCTATTATTCTATGCACAAACAAGGAACCATTTCTTGATTGGATTGTGATGTACAACTAAAAGCGGATTCTATTTGACAATCAGCAATGACCAGCTCAGTGGCTGAACCAAGAAGAAGCCCCAAAGCACTTCTCGAAGCCTAAGTTGCACCAAAGAAAGTACTGGTCATTGTTCAGCGGTCCCACTGCCGGTCTGATCCACTACAGCTTTCTGACTCCCAGAGAAACCATTACATCTGAGAAGTACGCTCTGCAAATCGATGAGATGTCCCAAAAACTGCAACGCGTGCAGCCAGCATTGGTCAACAGAAAGGGCCCAATTCTTCATGATAACACCTGACTGCAGGTCACACAACTAAGGCCTCAAAAGTTAAATGAATTGAGCTACAAAGTTTTGCCTCATCTATCATATTCACCTGACCCTTTGCCAAGCGACTACCACTCTCAATAACTTTTTGCAGGGAAAACACTTCCACAACCAGCAGGATGCAGAAAATGCTTTGCAAGAGTTTGTCAAATCCCAAAGCACATATTTTTATGCTACAGGAAAAAACAAACTTATTTCTCATTGGCAAAAATGTGTTCATTGTAATAGTTCCTTTTTTGGTTAATAAAGATGTGTTTGAGCCTAGGTATAATGATTTAAAATTCATGGTCTGAAATCAGAATTACTTCTTCACCAACCATGCATGCCACAGGCTTTAAAGAGGTGTTAAAAAGCCTTTAGTCTGCCAGGCGTGGTGGCTCACGCCTGTAATCTCAACACTTTGGGAGGCTGAGGTGGGTGGATCTTTTGAGGTCAGGAGTTTGAGACAAGCCTGGCCAACATGGTGAAACCCCATCTCTACTAAAAATAAAAAAATTTGCTGGGCATGGTGGCAGGCGCCTATAATCCCAGATACTCAGGAGGCTGAGACAGGAGAATCTCTTGCACCTGGAAGGCTGAGGTTGCAGTGAGCGCCACTGCACTCCAGCCTGGGTGACAGAGTGAGACTCTGTCTCAAACGGGGGAAAAAAAATCCTTTTTCTTTGTTGAGTAACAAAGAACAAAGAGCTACTATCAAGAATATATAAACAATTCTCTAAGTTACTAAAATAAGTAAAAGATATACAACTCAACTGAAAGAAAAAAGAGGGTGGGCAAAGGTAATTCAATGAAGAGGAAATGGTAATGACTAATAAATACATGACTAGATGCTCTCCCCACACTACTAAAAAAGGAAACAAATTTACAATAAATAGCATTCCATACTCCTCAGATGGGCTGGAAATAGGAAATCTGATGATAATAAGTGTGGCCATCACTTAATGAACGTAATTGTTCATCAAAGGGACAATGGGTGAATAAATGATAGTGTCTTTATACAAAGAGGATATTACACTTCATTTAAAATTAATAAGAGAATGAAGACATCATATGGAAGTTAAGAAATGAATTTTAAGTCAGTTTCAATCAGGGTGTTTGTGATAGGGAGGGTCAATATCTTGAGTCTGTTTCCTCATGTGCAAAATGAAACTATAATAATCACAAAGTGAACAACTGTTCCTGGTCTATCCAGCACAGAAGTGGAGACGAAAGACCCTCCGCTTAATAACCCAAACTGGAGCGATTCTCAAAACATATTGTTGAGGAAACAACAAAAATGATATCTACAACATGACAATGCTGAAATACACATTTCATATACAGAAAGAATACTAATTATTCTTTATGAATACCTGTGTTTTTAAAAGTATAAAAATATGAATAGAAATAATTCTCAGCAATGTTAAAATTGCAGTTACTTCTAGGAAGGGATAAATTGTGAGCTTCAACTGTATTAGTATGGTTTGTTTTCTTAAACTTCTTAAACAAAATATCTAAAGCAACCATCACAAAATAACTTTAAGTCTAGGTGCCTGTTTGTTACATAAACCTCTGAACTTTACAGAAAAGTTTGTAGTGTTTCATAAAAGTACTTTTCTTTTTTTTGAAAACAATGCTTCCCAGTATCAGTTGTCTCTCCATACTCACCCTCCCCTGTTACCAGATGACAGGAGCATGAGCTTTGTACTTCTGGGGCTACCTTGGAGACTTAAAGGGCTCCAATTATGATTGAGAGCATATTTCCTGTCTACCTTAAAGGAACAGAACCTCGTAGTTGAAACTAGATTTATTGAAGTAACATTTTTAAAACATTTCTTACAGAATTGCATTACGAACTTTATGCCTCCTATACATGCATGTCAAGGAAGTCAGGGAGAAATAAAAAGCACACAGAAAGAATATGCCAGGTTTAGCAGCTTATCATTGAGAAAAGGCTGAAAACCATAACAAACTGAGCATCAGGGAAATAATAAATCATGGTACAATCATATATTTTATTCAGTAATTAAAAATCATGTTTTCTGACTGCATGGATGACATAGAACAGTAGCAAATCTTGCAATTTTTTATAAAAAACTAACTGGAAAACATGATGCAAAATTAAAACAGCACCATTTTTTGAATCATGTAAAAATGTCAATGGGGGTGGAAAGGCAAGAAACATCTCTCACTCAGCGTTTTTCTCTCCTTTTTCTCTGTACCGTTACATACTTTCCCAAACTTTCAAAGTGTGCACATATATTCCTATTCAATTTAGAAATAAATCTATTAAAGACACATTAAAATGGAAAAGAGCAATGCACCTCTTCTCTAACGTAAAAACAAATTGTAGTTTACCAAAGGCACTTTTCTCTGTCTTAGAACTTAACTAATGCTTTCCATTCTGTTTTGACACACGCTGAGTCTGCTTAAAGTTTTAATCTTGATAAAAAATAAGATATTCTGCTTATTTAGACATTAGAATGCACAGCCTGTGGCATCACTCCCTGTTCTGTTGAAGAGAATCATGCTCTGGTCTGATCATTATAAAGTCTCTCACCAGGCTACCCAGCTGGACTCTGGCAGCCTGGCAAGCAGGTACTTCAGTATTAAGAAATCAGCACTTGGAAATGTTAGGATGTTATATTTGTAAAGAAGAAGAAAATGCATACTAAAGAATCAAATGAAGAATGGGTTGTGGACGAGCACGGTGGCTCACACCTGTAATCTCAGCATTTTGGGGGCCAAGATGGGCAGATCACCTGAGGTCAGCAGTTCAAGACTGGCCTGGCCAACATGGCAAAATCCCAACTCTACCAAAAATACAAAAATTAGCTGAGCGTGGTGGCACACACCTGTAATCCTAGGTACTCGGGGCTGAGGCAGGAGAATCACTCGAACCCGGGAGGCAGAGGTTGCATAGTGAGCCGAGTTCCATACCACTGCACTCCAGCCTAGCCGATAGAGTAAGACTCTACCTCAAAAAAAAAATAAAAAAAGAATTAGTTGTGTTTCTTCCCCTCAGCTATCCTCTTAGGAGGAAAGAGGAAGAAAGAAAAGAAAAATAGAGGAAGAGACAAGGAGAATGAGAGAGAGAGAGAGAGAGAGAGAGAGAGAGAGAAAATGGAAAGAGCAGACCAGATCAGCTACCATAATTCAAATGCTCCCCCAAAATCATTTGCTACATTTGTAATACAGAAGCAGCAGCACACTTCAGTGCAAAGACACTTCATTTAAAATTAATAAGAGAATGAAGACATCATATGGAAGTTAAGAAATGAATTTTAAGTCAGTTTCAATCAGGGTGTTTGTGATAGGGAGGGTCAATATCTTGAGTCTGTTTCCTCATGTGCAAAATGAAACTATAATAATCACAAAGTGAACATCAACTGTTCCTGGTCTATCCAGCATTACTGACTTGGGAATCATCTCTTCCCTAGTCTCTGTGGCTCTGGAAAAGCTGCCAGCCATAGACTTGTGCATGGGTACAAAGCCTTGCTACTGTCAGTACCCATTCTCCTGGCCACCATGATTAATACAGGGGCAGACAGTTATGCCAAGGCTGGCTAACTAGAGTCTTTCCATGGGATTTTTCAGCTTGGAGCTGCAGGAAAAGGGCCTTTGCCTTTGGGTCATATGGCTGAAAATAAGGTGCCATCATCCTAGTCACAAAGAGAAAGACTTGCTGCAGTAGAAAAAAATAAGGATTGTCAAGTAACTCTTTGAAAAAAAAAAAAAAAAAAAACAATAATGAAGACAAAGCACATATAGAAGTATAGAAGGGGAGTGTTTGAGAAAGACTGAGTGAAGAGAGAAAGGAGGCCCTGGGCAGGGCCAGGAGCCTCAGGCAACAAGCAAGCGAACAGGGGACAATAGGAGCAAGACTTCTAATAGTAGGGGGATAACTAGCAAGTAGGATGAAGTGCAAGAGCTGGAGCAAGCGCAAACTGTGGAGAGAAGATGAAAGAGGGAAGGAAAGTACAAAAGGGAATAAAAGGTTGCAAGCCAAAGAGATGGGAAAGATAATCAGGAAGATATTCGATTAAGGGAAAAGGAGTGGGTGAGGGAGAAAGGAAAGAGGGATTGAGGGATTGCAGGTTGTGGAAAACGGGAAGAAAAGAGAGACAGCAAGGAACAGAAGCAGACAGCCTGAGAGATAGAAAAGAAGGAAAGAAAAGAACAGGGAGACTGAGGAAGTAGAGAATGAGCTCAAAAATCTTCCATACATTCTCATTGCATAAAATGACTTGGAACTCTTTTCTGGCATTCCAAGTATGTAAAACTTTGATCTATATCTAACTTTTCAGCCTCATTTGTCACTATTCATACTAGCACATGCCTACTTGAGTTTTCGAGATGCATTCCTGCTTTTTCTACTTCATTGCCCCGACTCATGCTATTGTATCCTCAGTCTAGATTGTTCTCCCTGACTTCATTCCCCTTTGGACATATTGGCCAAACTTCAGTGCAAAGTTTAAACATACCACCTCCAAGAAGGCTTCTGAAATGTCCTGGTTGGAATTAATTTCTTCTCTCAAACTACCTGTTAATATTACTTTATTATGGCACTTATTTGCCTCATACATCTCTCTTAGTTTGTGAGGATTTGGAGAACAAGAGCTGTGCCTTTTTTTTTTTTTTTTTTTTTTTCTTGAGCTCCTTTGACTGAAGTTCTAAGTTCTTTACAATAGAAGTCACCTAATACATGCTGGACTTAAATACTAGCCAAGTAGCTATTGACATTGTCAAATACTGACTATTCTAATATATCATCCAAACAACTTATAGGACAAAGCTGAGTTTCTTCTTACTAGGGAAGGAAGAACACCACCTTAACAGAGTGGTGTTATATTATTAATAATACAATATTATTTATAATATTTATTTTCTTGGGCAAGCATTTCCTGTGTGGGGGTCATTGGGTCTTGGCCCCCTAAAGGTTCACTGAAAATTCACTGGCATGAGGTTGATTAATAGGAGAAAAGACATAACATGTTTATTTAATATATATACATGGTGGCCTTCAGAATGAAGACCCAATTTTCCAATGAGTTACAGAAACTTATATACCACCCTGAGACCACAGTAAAGAGTTTACACTCAGAGCAAGGCCTGAAACACGTTTAGTGGCAAGACAGGTTAGGACACAGACAAAGGGAAAGGCTTGGCTAGCAAAGGTGGCCTTGTTATGTAGATAAAGCCTCCCCTGGAAAGGGGAGGGGGCACAGAGATTCTCTACAGATACACATTTTCCCCAGTTTCAACAGCTTGGGTGTGGCTGGGGGCAGTAGGGGGGTGGTGGCAGCAGGGGCAGGAAGAGCATCAGGATAAATAGCTAGTACATGTGGGACTTAATACCTAGGTGATGGGTTGATGGGTGCAGCAAACCACCATGGCACATGTTTACCTATGGAACAAACTTGCATGTCCTGCACATGTATCCCAGAACTTAAAATACAATTAAAAAAAAAAAAAAAAAAAAAAGACAACTTTGCAAGGCCACTTCTGTTTGCTGGCCAAGTGGCAGCCATGTCAAAATATGTCAAAGAAATACATTTGTGGGCTAAAATATTTTAATTGCCTTCACTTGGAAGAGTAAATTCATAATGATGAAGACGGTAGAATAATAAAGTTACAATAATGTGAAGAGTAGTAATCTGTGTGTGGCGTGGGGGGATGGCTTATTTCTTGACATCAATAAAAATGTGCCAGCCATCAAGTTAAGAGCATTATAAAAGTGGATTTTAGAAGAAAATGAGAGGTAAAACACTCCAAAACTTCTTTTTTGCTTCATCATCCTGTGTTTTGCATTAGTCAATTGCCTTATTCTTTTAAATGGAACAAAAACAAGTAGAGCAGCATCCTGTGATTTAAACATACCCATATAGACCCTACTAGGCAATTTAAATCCACCGGTCTTTAGAATGTCAAAGATGTCCCCAAGGTTCTGGAATGTTGGAGAGGAACAAGAGAAAAGGATGAAGTATGGGGACTCCTGAGTATGCCAGGGATGCTAAATAAGCTTATTTTGCCTACCAATATTGAGTTCCTAGAGGGCTATTTTGAAAGGATTCTGAGGCCATGTCTGGACTTTGCAGAAAAGAGCAGTATGATGTCTGAAGTCTGCAAACTGCATGGGAAGGGTGGAATTTGCCCTTTCTGAGTTATTGAGTTGTGGAAAGACTATACTCATTGTTTAATTCCATTCAGACACCTTGTTTGCTTTCGTTTTCTCATTCTTCCTGGTAGAGCCACATCAATCCCAAGTAGCTACTGTGTCTTTATTGCCAAAACCTCTGAGTGGAGCCTCTGGAGGGTTCCATGAAAATACTGGTATTCTTTCAGAGATTCTTACAGTCATGTAGCATTCTTTTCTGTTTTTTTTGTTTGTTTGTTTTGTTTTGTTTTTTTAATAAAGACAGCATCTCACTTTTGTTTGTATGTTTTATAGAGACAGGGTCTCATCATGTTGCCTAGGCTGGTCTCAAACTCCTGGGCTCAAATGATCCTCCTGCCTCAGCCTCCCAAAGTACTGGGATTACAGGCATGAGCTATAGTGCCCAGGCTCACGTAGCATTCTTAAATGACAGCTAGAATAGACTCGGCTGAGGGAACTGAGGTAAATATTAGGAATATTGATTGAGATACAGAAGTAAATATAGTATCTCCATGCCCCTTGACCACTGATTGACCTTACATTTGGGATGTGACCCAAACTAGTCAAGAGAATCCTTCTTTAGGATTTTGTAATTTGAAGCTAGAGAAAGAAACTGTCTCTTTTGGGATAGCATTAGGAGACATACCTAATGTTAAATGATGAGTTAATGGGTGCAGCACACCAACATGGCACATGTATCCATACGTAACTAACCTGCACATTGTGCACATGTACCCTCAAACTTAAAGTATAATAAAAATAAAAATAAATAAATAAATAAAAATAAATAAAACAGTGTTCTGGGCCATATGAATAAAAAAAAAAAAAGAAAGAAACTGTCTCTTTTGTTTCTTGGGTTCCTAAATCGGCTTGGGTAAAGCCTAAAACTGTTGCAGCAGTGCCACTGTCCATACCTTTCCCTGTACCTGATGCAAGAATGAATCTAATCTGAAGAAGCAAAAACCGGGGCTAGCCCATATAGAGAAACATTGCACAGAAAGCAAGAGTAAGAGGGCAGGTGACTTTATGAATTTTGAGGATTGCCCTACTCACAGACTTTTCAGTTATGTGAACCAATAAATTCCTTTCGCTGAAGCCAGTGTCTGTCATTTCAAATTCAAAAAAAATCTAATTTCCTTAGGACAATACCTAATGATCAGTCTCAAATTCTAGAGACAGGCCTAACTTTGATGTTCTTCAGGAATCCTCATCTCTTCGGCAGCCTCCCACCCACTGCCATAGATTTCATAAGCTAGAAACAAAGTTTTCCATTTTACATTAGAAATGGATTTCATACCAGTCATCTGTATCTTTTGTACTGCATGGAGCCCAGATTAAAACTCACATAAATTCACAGGAGACCAAATATACCTGTTAGTGATGACTGCTGTACATCAAAGAAAATGACTGAGGCAAATCTCCATCATTGTGGAGGTTTATTTTGCCAAGGTTGAGGATGTGCCTGGGAAAAAGACACAAGCCACAGTAGAATCTGTAGCCTGTTCTTTTTCCAGAGAGGATTTTGAAGACTTCAATATTTAAAGGGGAAAAGCAAGCAGGAGGGGAAAGCGGAAAGAAAAAAAGGGGGAAGGCTATAGTCACATTCTTGTGAGGCTTTGATTTGGCTTACTTAGCCCATATGTTGCACATGAAAAGGAGGGGGTAGAAGAAACAATTATGTATTCATCTCATACTCAGTAAGTCTGAATTTTTACATAAGATAAACAGTAGAGGATGCAGTCAAATACGTATTCATCTTGGGACGGGAGGGACAATTTCTAGTCTCCCCTTGTTCCATATTTGTGAAGACAAGCTGTTCATTTACATTGTCAGTGTGAGGGGGGCCCCCTGTGGAGACACGTGGCCTTCTATCTGTAGCTATCAGTTTAGGAACAAAAGGAATGGCAGGTTTTTGGGTATTTTTGTGACTCAGCTTCCAAGCTTAACTTTTCCCTTTGGCATAGTGAATTTAGGGTCCTGATATTTTATTTTCCTTTCACACTGTATATAGATGGCTAAAATGGGAGAGAAATTACATGAAGCCATTTTGAAAGAAAAGAAAACAGAAAAATATTCATATGATTCCTAGCCACCTCTTTCAGTCTCTAGAAACATCCTAGGGAAATGACAAAATTCCAAAACAATCCTATTTTTTTGAAAAACGATTTTGGAAAAGAACAGGAAAGCCTGCTCCTCCCAGTGATGGCACTGCTTTAATTAGCCTGTAAGGGTCCTGTCTGGTCACTGCAACCCTTTTCTAATAATGCACATGTCTCATTGGCTTCCTTAGGCTAGTGTTTTGTCAGCTCTGTTTCCTGTATCCCATGAATTGTGTTGAGATGCAGCAGAGAGACTTTGTCAGGAAAAAAGGGGAATGCAATAGGACCTCTGTCCTCTTGCTGCCTTGCATCAACCAGAATCTCTCTTTTAAAAAATTATCTTTTATGTAGTGGGCTCCCAAAGAAAACTGAGGGGAAAAAGGATTGGGACTGTCTAAAAAATTTAGAAACTAGCTGCTTTAACTATATAAATAGCATAAATCCAGGTAATGCATTTTTAACCCAGATGTTGAAGGTCTTAGATAATGGAAGAAGGTACCACTGCTTTTACGTAGATGAAAGTACCTCTGGCACCATAAATTGCGTTCAGTGTATTAATCTAAAAGCATCACCCCATGTCTGCCAACCCTTTATTAGAAAATAAGATTCTGTTAATCTTGCTTTCCAGAGTATGTACCAACCGATGAGTTCTGCATTTATTAAGAAGTAAAATAAAGATTGAGACAGGGCACTAGTGATGCCTCTGGGGTTTAATCACTTGGGCTTATCATCAGTCTTATGTGAAATTCCACCTTTGAGATCAGAAGTTCAGCATGCAAATAAACCTCTATTGTTCCAACACAGAGACCTCCATACATAAGTAACATTTCAAGGCATTCTCTTTACATGTAATCGATAATACAAAAAACACCTGGGCTCGCACTCTTTGATACAAAGGAGAGGTAGAAAGAGGCTACTAGGAAACATTGGTATGACAAGCCTTTAAATACATTATGCTTTTAATAGAACTATTCCCCAATACATCAGGAACTAAAGTTATTGTGATCTTGTTAATTTTACAATTCTGTCCTTTTCCATAACCAAAAAAGGCCTTAAAAGAAAAAGACGAACCTCTAATTCGTCATCTTACTCCCCATCTTCAAAGCAGACTTTCTTTTCTCCCTTGCATTTAGATTCTATTCTTCTGCTTGAGTAGTAAGTTCAGGGAATTTTCAAAGAGACAAAAGCTACTCAAAAGAATATAAATGTCAAACACATGTAAATTTCTCCTGCTCCATTTTTCCCCAAGTCAGGAATGTCCTTTGTTGTCTCCTGGTATGTTTCAGCTGGCTGACATCTCTGGTTGAGGAGCAATCATCCGGGCAGCATCCTTACAATGTAATGACAATCAGTTACCAAAAATGTGCAGGCACTGATAACAGGATTCAGAAGGGTCAGAAACGAGTGTAAGAAAATAGATATTTTAAACAAGTGCACAGCAGCTGCTGCCGACCTTAGCTTAAGATTGCATCCAAAACGTTTATTAATTTTCTTCTCTAAAACAAAGGGAAGCCAAATGAAATCCTGATAAAGGGTCATTGTGAAGAGGGGGAGAACACTTTCCCGTTTAAATGGTATTCCTGTAGTTAAATTAAATTCTTCCAAAAACATCTTTTCTCCCACTTGTTCAGCCAAGAAGAGGGAGGTGTTAAGGAGGAGGAAAGACATATCTTCAAATTTATACCTTCTTTGAGGACGATTCTACAGTTTTTACACAGTAAAAACTAAACCAGGTACATGTAAAAAACAGATACACAAAAATATTCAAGAAACCCATTAAGAACAATACCAAGAATTTATCCCAATTGGATATCCTGTCAAAGCGATAACAAGTATGCGAACATGAAAGCAGCTGCAGCAGCTAAATTTACTGAGTGCCTACTATACTGAGGCACCCTTTTAATTCAAAATGATTCTGCAAGCTAGGTAATACCCTTCATCTTGCAGGTGAAAAATCAAAGGCTTAAATAAGTTAACTTGTTCATGGTCAAGCATTTAATATGAGGGGTCCAGGATTTAAAAGTAACTTGACTCTATAACCAGGAATAATCTTTGCGCTGTCTACTTAAAAACAAAGAGAAAAGATAAGTTGGGAAACCAGAATGGGGAGGGCTCTAGAGATCTCGTCACATGAAAGAACTTTAGCCATGTAATCTAGAGAAGAAGCTTGGCAGGCTTTATAGAAGCTGTGGGAAAATATCTGAAAGGCCACCATATGGGTGAGGAGAGACTTCCTTTTAATACATGTTTCATTAAAAACAAACAATAATTTGTAGATTGTACTTCTAGCTGTCACAGAGAAGTTTCATTCACAGTAAACTCCCCACTGAAAACAACTATAAAATCTAGGAAAAATTAACATTATAAAAAAAAACTGTTTACATTAATCAGAGAATAACTAAAGCAGCCGGGATTCAATAGATCAAGATCCTGGAGAGAAGGAAAATGTATTGAGAAAATCTCTATATTCATTATTTTTTTCCCTCCATAATGCTCTTGCCAATTTTTAGGGAAAAGCATAGAGGCCGATCAGAAATTAGCAATCAAGAGATTCTGGCAACCTCACTGAATTGGAAAAATCAAAATAAATGAGCTCAGGGCTACCCAGGAAGCTGGGATTAAACAGAAAATAAAAACATTTCTAGATAAACGTCCCTAAAAGTGTGATAATTTGTCATTAGTAGAGTTGTTACAGTAAAGGGGTCTCGATCCAGAACCCATGAGAGGGTTCTTGGATCTTGCACAAGAAAGAATTCAGGGTGAATCCATAAAGTGAAAGCAAGTTTATTAGAAAAGTAAAAGCATAAAAGAATGGCTACTCCACAGACAAAGCAGCCCTGAGGGCTGCTGGTTGCCCATTTTTATGGTTATTTCTTGAAGATATGCTAAACAAGAGGTAGATTATTCAGGATTCCCCTTTTCAGACCATATAGGATAACTTCCTGATGTTGCCATTTCATTTGTAAACTGTCATAGTGCTGGTGGGAGTGTAGCAGTGAGGATGACCAGAGGTTGCTCTCGAGGCCATCTTGGTTTTGGTGGATTTTAGCTGGCTTCTTTACAGCAAGCTGTTTTGTCAGCAAGGTCTTTACGGCCTGTATTTTGTGCCAATCTCCTATCTCATCCTGCGACTTAGAATACCTTAACCATCTGGGAATGCAGCCCAGTAGGTCTCAGCCTCATTTTACCCAGCCCCTATCTAAGATGGAGCTGCTCTGGCTTACACACCTCTGACAAAGTGACATTAGAAAACTACTAAAGGAGGTTCTTTCAGCAGAAGGAAAACGATTCCTGGTAGAAGAACACTTGCAGAAAATAAGAGTAAATACATGGATAAATTTAAATAAATGACTACTATAAGTCATCTTGTGCAAATAAATTATACACACACAAATACAGTATATTTTATATATAATTTAAACATATGACAATAACACAAAAAATGGGAGAATGGTAAATACAGTTAAAGTTTTTAAGGTTTGATTTATCCTAGAAATAGTAAAATTAAAATTTGAAGTAGTCTAGGTCAAAAATTTATCTTGTTTAGGATAGAACTAAAATATAATTTTAAAATGTATAGTTGTAAAATAAAACTTTAAAAAGAGAAGATGCTGATCACACCCAAGGCAGGAGGATTGCTTGAGCCCAGGAGTTTGAGACCAGCCCAGGCAACATGATGAGACTCTGTCTCTGCAAAAAAAAAAAAAAAAATTAACCAAGCATGGTGGTACATGCTAGTGGTCCCAGCTACTGAGGAGGCTGAAGTGGGAGGATTACTTGAACCCAGGGGATTGAGGCTGCAGTAAGCCATATCTTGCCACTGTCATCCAGCCTGGGCAACAAGCAAGACTCTTAAAAAAAAAGAGAGAGAAGACAATAGAGGAAAAAGACTAATATTAAAATATTTGATTAAAAGACTAAAAGAGCAGAAAAAATTATAACAGCTGGGACACATAGAAAGCACAGTAAGATAACAGATTTAAACCCCAATATATCAACAATTACATTAAACATAAATGGACATTAAATATCTTTTAAAAACACAAACATGGCCATATTGGTAAATAACAAAAAAAAATAACTATACCAAATGTTGTTTGCAGGAGACATATCTAATAAATAAGAACCAGAGGGGGCAAAAAAGAAGATCCTTGCAAATACAAATCGAAAGAAAGCTGCCATAGGTATACTAATATGAAACCAAGAAGATTTCAAGATGAGAAGTATTATTACCAATAAAAAGGCAGAGCTTGTAACAAAAAAAGGCTAATTTTGGTAGAACATAACTGTGTATACCCCTAATAACATAGGCTCAAGATATATAAATCACTAACTGATCAAACTAAAAGGAAAAACAAAAATATACATTTATAGGGTTGAGAACAGCTCCCATCTCAGTAACTGATAGAACAAAAAGAAAAATAAAAAGAGAAGACAGCAGAATAGGAATAGCTCCGGTCTGCAGCTCCCAGCGTGATTGACACAGAAGACAGGTGACTTCTGCATTTCCAACTGAAGTACCTGGTTCATCTCATTGGGACTGGTTGGACAGTGGGTGCAGCCCACAGAGGGCGAGCCAAAGCAGGGTGGGGCGTCACCTCACCCAGGAAGCACAAGGGGTTGGGGGATTTCCCTTTCCTAGCAAAGGGAAGCCATGACAGACTACCTGGAAAAACAGGATATTCCCGCTCAAATACTGTGCTGTTCCCAAGGTCTTAGCAACCGACAGACAAAGTGATTCTCTCTAGTGCCTGGCTAGGCAGCTCCCATACCCACAGGGCCTTGCTCACTGCTAGCGCAGCAGTCTGAGATCAATCTGCAAGATGGCAGCCTGGCTAGGGGAGGGGCCTCCACCGCTACTGAGACTTGAGTAGGTAAATAAAGCAGCCAGGAAGCTCGAACTGGGCAGAGCCCACCGCAGCTCAACAAGGCCTACTGCCTCTAGACTCCACCTCTGTGGGCAAGGCATAGCTGAACAAAAGGCAGCAAACAACTTCTGCAGACTTAAACTTCCCTGTCTGGCAGCTCTGAAGAGAGCAGTGGTTCTCCCAGCATGGCGTTTGAGCTCTGAGAACAGACAGACTGCCTCCTCAAGTGGATCCCTGAACCCTGTGTAGCCTAACTGGGAGACAACTCCCAGTAGGGGCCGACAGACACCTCATATAGGTGGCTGCCCCTCTGGGGCGAAGCTTCCAGAAGAAGGATCAGGCAGCAATATTTGCTGTTCTGAAATATTTGCTGTTCTGCAGCATCTGCTGGTGATACCCAGGCAAACAGGGTCTGGAATGGAACTCCAGCAAACTCCAACAGACCAGTAGCTGAGGGACCTGACTGTTAGAAGGAAAACTAACAAACAGAAAGGAATAGCATCAACATCAACAAAAAGGTCATCTACACCAAAACTCCATCTGTAGGTCACCAACATCAAAGACCAAAGGTAGATAAAACCACAAAGATGGGGAGAAACCAGAGAGGAAAAGCTGAAAATTCTAAAAAACCAGAGTACCTCTTCTCCTTCAAAAGATTGCAGCTCCTCGCCAGCAACGGAACAAAGCTGGATGGAGAATGACTTTGATGAGCTGACACAAGTAGACTTCAGAAGGTTGGTAATAACAAACTTCTCCGAGCTAAATGAGGATGTTCAAACCCATCGTGGGGAAGCTAAAAACCTTAAAAAAAGATTAGATGAAAGGCTAACTAGAATAAACAGCGTAAAGACCTTAAATGACCTGATGGAGCTGAAAAACACAGCACGAGAACTTCATGACGCATGCACAAGATTCAATAGCCGATTCGATCAAGTAGAAGAAAGGGTATCAGTGATTGAAGATCAAATTAATGAAATACAGCAAGAAAACAAGGTAAGAGAAAAAAGAATAAAAAGAAATGAACAAAGCCTCCAAGAAATATGGGACTATGTGAAAAGACCAAACCTACATTTGATTGGTGTACCTGAAAGTGATGGGAGAATGGAACCAAGTTTGAAAACACTCTTCAGGATACTGTCCAGGAGAACATCCCCAGCATCACAAGGCAGGCCAACATTCAAATTCAGGAAATACAGAGAACACCACAAAGATACTCCTTAAGAAGAGCAACCCCAAGACACATAATCGTCAGATTCACCAAGGTTGAAATGAAGAAAAAAGTGTTAAGGCAGCCAGAGAGAAAGGTCGAGTTACCCACAAACGGAAGCCCATCAGACTAACAGCAGATCTCTCAGCAGAAACCCCACAAGCCAGAAGACAGTGGGGGCCAATATTCAACATCCTTAAAGAAAAGAATTTTTGCCAGGCGCGGTGGCTTACGCCTGTAATCCCAGCAATTTGGGAGGCCAAGGTGGGCGGATCATGAGGTCAGGAGATCGAGACCATCCTGGCTAACACGGTGAAACCCTGTCTCTACTAAAAATACAAAAAGAAAATTAGCCGGGCATGGTGGCGGGCACCTGTAGTCCAAGCTACTTGGGAGGCTGAGGCAGGAGAATGGCGTGAATCCAGGAGGTGGAGCTTTCAGTGAGCTGAGATTGCACCACTACACTGCAGCCTGGGAGACAGAGCGAGACTCCGTCTCAAAAAAAGAAAAGAATTTTCAACCCAGAATTTCATATCCAGACAAACTAAGCTTCATAAGTGAAGGAAAAATAAAATCCTTTACAGACAAGCAAATGCTGAGAGATTTTGTCACCACCAGGCCTGCCTTACAAGAGCTCCTGAAGGAAGCACTAAACATGGAAAGAAACAACCCATACCAGCCACTGCAAAAACATGGCAAATTGTAAAGACCATCGATGCTATGAAGAAACTGCATCAATTAATGGGCAAAATAACCAGCGAACATCATAATGACAGGATCAAATTCACACATAACAATATTAACCTTAAATGTAAATGGGCTAAATGCCCCAATTAAAAGACACAGACTGGCAAATTGGAGAAAGAGTCAAGACCCATCTGTGTGCTGTATTCAGGAGACCCATCTCACGTGCAGAGACACACGTAGGCTCAAAATAAAGGGATGGAGGAAGATCCACCAAGCAAATGGAAAGCAAAAAAAGCAGGGGTTGCAATCCTAGTCTCTGATAAAACAGACTTTAAACCACCAAAGATCAAGAGACAAACAAGGCCATTACATAATGGTAAAGTGATCAAGTCAACAAGAAGAGCTAACTATCCTAAATATATATGCACCCAATACAGGAGCACCCAGATTCATAAAGCAAGTCCTTAGAGACCTACAAAGGGACTTAGACTCCCACACAATAATTATAGGAGACTTTAACACCCCACTGTCAATATTAGACAGATCAAGGAGACAGAAGGTTAACAAGGATACACAGGACCTGAACTCAGCTCTGCAACAAGCAGACCTAATAGAAATCTACAGAACTCTCCACCCCAAATCAACAGAATATACACTCTTCTCAGCACCACATCACACTTATTCTAAAATTGACCACATAATTGGAAGTAAAGCACTCCTCAGCAAATGTAAAATAATAGAAATCACAACAAACTGTCTCTCAGACCACAGTGCAATCAAATTAGAACTCAGGATTAAGAAATTCACTCAAAACGGTACAACTACATGGAAACTGAACACCTTGTTCCTGAATGACTACTGGGTAAATAACGAAATGAAGGCAGAAATAAAAGATGTTCTTTGAAACCAATGAGAACAAAGACACAACGTACCAGAATCTCTGGGGCACATTTAAAGTAGTGTGTAGAGGGAAATTTATAGCACTAAATGCCCACAAGAGAAAACAGGAAAGATCTAAAATTGACACCCTAACATCACAATTAAAAGAACTAGAGAAGCAAGAGCAAACACATTCAAAAGCTAGCAGAAGGCAAGAAATAACTAAGATCAGAACAGAACTGAAAGAGAGGGAGACACAAAAAACCCTTCAAAAAAATCAATGAATCTAGGAGCTGTTTTTTTGAAAAGATCAATGAAATTGATAGACTGTTAGCAAGACTAATAAAGAAGAAAAGAGAGAAGAATAGATGCAATAAATGATAAAGGGGTATCACCACCAATCCCACAGAAATACAAACTACCATCAGAGAATTCTATAAATGCTTCTATGCAAATAAACTAGAAAATCTAGAAGAAATGAATAAATTCCTGGACACATACACCTTCCCAAGACTAAACCAGGAAGAAGTTGAATCTCTGAATAGACCAATAACAGGCTCTGAAACTGAGGCAACAATTAATAGCCTACCAACCAAAAAAACTCCAGGACCAGATGGATTCACAGCCAAATTCTACCAGAGGTACAAAGAGGAACTGGTACCATTCCTTCTGAAACTATTCCAGTGAACAGAAAAAGAGGGAATCTTCTCTAACTCATTTTATGAGGCCAACATCATCCTGATACCAAAGCCTGGCAGAGACACAACAAAAAAAGAGAATTTTAGATGAATATCCCTGATGAACATGGATGTGGAAATCCTCAATAAAATACTGGCAAACCAAATCCAGCAGCACATCAAAAAGCTTATCCACCATGATCAAGTGGGCTTCATCCCTGGGATGCAGGGCTGGTTCAACATACCCAAATCAATAAATATAATCCATCACATAAAAAGAACCAATGACAAAAACCAAATGATTATCTCAATAGATGCAGGAAAGGCATTCAACAAAATTCAACAGTACTTCATGCTAGAAACTCTCAATAGGCCAGGCGTGGTGGCTCATGCTTGTAATCCCAGCACTTTGGGAGGCCAAGGCAGGCAAATCACGAGGTCAGGAGTTTGAAACAATCCTGGCTAAAACGGTGAAACCCCTTCTATACCAAAAATACAAAATATTAGCCGGGCACGGTGGCGGGCAACTGTAGTCCCAGCTACTTGGGAGGCTGATGCAGGAGAATGGTGTGAACCCAGGAGGCGGAGCTTACGGTGAGCTGAGATTGCACCACTGCACTCCAGCCTGGGTGACAGAGTGAGACTCCATCTCAAAAAAAAAAAACCTCTCAATAAACTAGGTATTGATGGAATGTATCTCAAAATAATAAGAGTTATTTTTTACAAACTCACAGCCAATATCATACTGAATGGGCAAAAACTGGAAGCATTCCCTTTGAAAACTGGCACAAAATTGGGATGCCCTCTCTCACCACTCCTATTCAACATAGTGCTGGAAGTTCTGGCCAAGGCAATCAGGCAGGAGAAAGAAATAAAGGGTATTCAATTAGGAAAAGAGGAAGTCAAATTGTCCCTGTTTGCAGATGACATGATTGTATACTTAGAAAACCCCATCGTCTCAGCCCAAAATCCCCCTAAGCTGATAAGCAACTTCAGCAAAGTCTCAGGATACAAAATCAATGTGCAAAAATCACAAGCATTCCTATACACCATTAACAGACAAACAGAGAGCCAAACCGTGAGTGAACTCCCATTCACAATTGCTCCAAAGAGAATAAAATACCTAAGAAAGCAACTTACAAGGGATGTGAAGGACCTCTTCAAGGAGAACTACAAACCACTGCTCAATGAAATAAAATAGGACACAAACAAACGGAAGAATATTCCATGCTCATGGATAGGAAGAAGCAATATCATGAAAATGTCCATAGTACCTAACGTAATTTATAGATTCAATGCCATCCCCATTAAGCTACCAATGACTTTCTTCACAGAATTGGAAAAAACTACTTTAAAGTTCATAGGGAACTAAAATAGAGCCCGCATTGCCAAGATAATCCTAAGCAAAAAGAACAAAGCTGGAGGCATTATGCTACCTGACTTCAAACTATACTTCAAGGCTACAGTAGCCAAAACAGCATGGTACTGGTACCAAAACAGAGAGATAGACCAATGTAACAGAATAGAGGCCACGGAAATAACACCACACATCTACAACCATCTGATCTTTGACAAACCTGACAAAAACAAGAAATGGGGAAAGGATTCCCTATTTTATTAATGGTGCTGGGAAAACTGGCTAGCTATAGTAGAAAGCTGAAACTGGATCCCTTCCTTACACCTTATACAAAAATTAATTCAAGATGGATTAAAGACTTAAATGTTAGACCTAAAACCATAAAAACCCTAGAAGAAAACCTAGGCATTACCATTCAGCACATAGGCTTGGGCAAGGACTTCATGACTGAAACACCGAAAGCAATGGCAACAAAAGCCAAAATAGACAAATGCGATCTAATTAAACTAAGAGCTTCTGCACAGCAAAAGAAACTACCATCAGAGTGAACAGGCAACCTACAGAATGGGAGAAAATGTTTGCAATCTACCCATCTGACAAAGGGCTAATATCCAGAATCTACAAAGAAGTCAAACAAATTTACAAGAAAAAAACAAACAACCCCATCAAAAAGTGGGCAAAGGATATGAACAGACATTTTTCAAAAGAAGACATTTATACAGCCAGGAGACACATGAAAAAATGCTCATCATCACTGGTCATCAGAGAAATGCAAATCAAAACCACAATGAGATACTATCTCACCCCCGTTAGAATGGCGATCATTAAAAAGTCAGGAAACAACAGATGCTGGAGAGGACATGGAGAAATAGGAACCCTTTTACACTGTTGGTGGGAGTGTAAATTTGTTCAACCATTGTGGAAGACAGTGTGGTGATTCCTCAAAGATCCAGAACTAGAAATACCATTTGACCCAGGAATCCCATTACTGGGTATCTACCCAAAGGATTATAAATCATGCTACTATAAAGACACATGCACATGTGTGTTTATTGCAACTTAAAACCTAGATGACAGGTTGATAGGCACAGCAAACCACCATGGCACATGTATACCTATGTAACAAAACCTGCACATTCTGCACATGTATCCCAGAACTTAAAGTATAATTGTTTAAAAAATTATATATATATATATTTAAAAGTTAAAAAATAAAATAGAAGACAGTATTAGCAATAGCAAAGAAAATAGCAAAAAAAAAAACAAACAAAAACCCAAATGTCCATCAATGATAGAGTGGATTAAGAAAATGTGGCACATATACACTGTGGAATACTATGCAGCCACATAAAAGGATGAGTTCATGTCCTTTGCAGGGACATGGATGAAGCTGGAAACCATCATTCTCAGCAAATTATACAAGGACAGAAAACCAAAGGCTGCATGTTCTCACTCATCGGTGGGAACTGAACAATGAGATCACTTGGACACAGGGTGGGGAACATCACATACTGGGGCCTGTCGGGGGTTAGGGGGCTAGGGGAGGGATAACATTAGGAGAAACACCTAATGTAAATGAGTTTATGGGTGCAGCAAACCAACCTGGCACATGTATACCTATGTATCAAACCTGCACAGTGTGCACATGTACCCTAGAACCTAAAGTATAATAATAAAAAAAATTTAATAAAGAAAAAAAGAAAAATAAAAAGATGTATTTTTGAACAATCCAATTAACCAATTTGCCCTAACTGGTATGTATATAGAACACTATACCAAACAGCTGCAGAACACACATTCTTTTCAAATGCACATGATACATTTACCAAAATGGGCCATGAAGCCAGAATCAGTACTCTGACCATAGTGGAACTAAGTTAGAAATCAGTAACCAAGAGATAAACAGAAAATCACCAAATGTTTATAAATTAAGGAATTGTTTTCTAAATTACCCTGAAGTCAGAGAAGAAATAACAGAGCAAATTAGAAAATATTTTGAACTGAGTATAGCTATCAGAATTTGTGCAATGTAGATAAAATAGTGCTGACAGAGAAATTTATAAAATCAAACACACACTTTGGAAAAAAACTGAAAAAATTATTTAATAATCTCCTAAAAAGCTAAAAAAGTACAATAAATTACATGCGAAAAAGTAGAAGGAAATGTTAAAGAGGAAAAAAATAAAAAACATACAATTTAAAAATTGGTATTTTTGGAGATTAATAAAACAGATAAACACCTATCAAGATTCATTAAAAGAAATGTGAGAAAACTATACTTAAAATTTTCAGAAATTAAAAAGGGACATCATTAGAGATCTTAAAATATTTAAAAGTTAAGAACTTCCAGCCTTCAGATAATATGTAGAAGGTCTTGATGGACCATTTCTCCCACTAGATAAACCACAAAAATTACTGGATCAGCTTGCCCATCTCCCCCATATTTAAGAGATTGGAGGGTTGCAGATCAAAAATGATCCAAAATTCAATTACAGGGGAGGATAAGGTATTTCTAGCTGAGCAGGTATCAGTGGCGAAATTCTCTTCTGCTGAATTTCCACAGGGGCTGGTGGAAGACTGGGCTTATCACAGTCTCTGGAACTCTGCTATGATACAGGAAAGCCTGCAGACCTTGTGGGCTAGTATAAATGGATTGAAGTCTGTAGGAGTTTCAAATGCAAAGAACTTGTTCTTCTTACCTGCTGAGTTTTCCCCCATGAAACTTTTGGTGAGTGTGTGGAAATGGTATGAAAATGGAACTGGAAAAGCAGAGAGAGAGAACTCTGTAGTCTTCTGGTGATTAGATCCCAAGGTCCTACTAGAGAGAGTAGTTTATAATATATACAGTACAGACCCAGTTAGCCCTAAATACATGTGAAAACACAGGTGAAATAAAGCTTACTAAAGCTGTATCCCAGCCACAAATCAGCTCAAATTCTTTCTGGATTATAAAGATTGACCCATTTCCCTAACTTACAGACAAAAGAACACACCCTCCCTTTTAGAAGATAGTATTGTGCTCACTTTGGCAGCACATATACTAAAATTTGAACAAGACACAGAAGATTACCATGGCCCCTGCACAAGGATGACACAAACTCATGAAGCCTTTCATATTTTAAAAATAGAGTTCATGTCCTTTGCAGGGACATGGATGAAGCTGGAAGCCATCATTCTCAGCAAACTAACACAGGAACAGAAAACCAAACACCGCATGTTCTCACTCATAAGTGGGAGTTGAACAATGAGAACACATGGACACAGAGATGGGAACATCATAGACCAGGGCCTATCGCCAGGGGGTTGGAGGCAAGGGGAGGGAGAGCATTAGGACAAATACCTAATGCGTGCAGGGCTTAAAACCTAGATGACGGGTTCATAGGCACAGCAAACTACCATGGCACATGTATACCTATGTAACAAACCTGTACATTCTACACATGTATCCCAGAACTTAAAGTATAATTTTTTAAAAAATTATATATATATATATATTTAAAAGTTAAAAAAGAATAAGATAGAAGACAGTATTTATACCAAGGGCTGTAGGGTTTTATTTTTAATTATACAATTTCTGGCAGGCAATAAACAGCTATGAAATAAGTGAAGAAGCGGGATGTACTCCTAATTAAAAGGAAAAAAAACTGAACAGTAGCAGATCCACTAATGGTTCAAATATCGGAATAAGCAAAGACTTTAAAATAACTATTGAAATATATTAAAGAAATTTGAGGATAAGATTGACAAAATGGATAAAAAGAATGACAATTTCAAAAGATAAAACTGCTAAAATAGAACAAAGTGAAAATTCCAGAACTGAAAAAAAAAATCTACTGTGCATGAAATTAAAAATGTATTTATAGAGCTAAAGCAGAATGGACACAGCAGAGAAAACAGCATCAGTCATTTTATCCAGGTCATCACAAACTGGTTGAAAATCAAAAATATAGGAAAAATTTTAAGATGCACACATAAAATAAATTATTAAATGTAGACATAGAAAATAGATTATATTTAGCAGAACAACAATGAAAATCATGGCTGACTTTCATCAGAAAACAATGGGTGACAGCTGGGTATAATGGTGTGCACCTGTAGTTCCAGCTACCTGGGAGGCTGAGGCAGGAGAATTGCTTGAGCTGAAGAATTCACGTCCAGTCTGAGCAACATAGCAAGATCCTGTCTCAAAAAAAAAAAAAAAAAAGAGAGAAACAATAGAAGACAAAAGACAATGGAATTGACATCTTCAAAGTGCTGAAAGAAAGAAAAACAGAATTCTATAAATGAAGTGCATATAGAGATGTTTAAAAAAACAAAAGGTGAGAAAATATGTCACCAGCTTTTGAAGCTAAAAGAAAATAACTCAAGATGAAAGCAAAGATCTGCAGGAAGGAATGAACAATGTCAAAAAAGGTCAAATATGTGCATAAACATAAAAGAATACTTTAAATTTTCAAAATTATTGACTATTAGAAACCACAGGCCAGGCACAGTGGCTCACACCTGTAATCTTATCATTTTAGGAGGTCGACGCAGGTGGATTGCTTGAGCTCAGTAGTTCAAGATCAGCCTGAGAAACATGGTGAAACCCCATCTGTATGAAAAATACAAAAATTAACTGGGTGTGGTGGTGCACACCTGTAGTCCGAGCTACTCAGGATGCTGAGGTGAGAGGATGGCTTGAGCCTGGGAGATGGAGGTTGCAGTGAGCTGAGATTGTGCCAGTGCACTCCAGCTTGGGCAACAGAGCAAGAACCTGTCTCAAAACAAAAAAACAAAAACAAAAACAAACAAAAAAGCCAAAGCAAAACACAATAAAGTTTAGTGGTTTATAATATAGACAGAAATAAAATATGTGACATCAATAGCACAACGAACTAGAGAGAGATTAGTGGAATTTTTTGTGCAAAGTTTTTACATTGTTTGCAAAGAAGCGAAATACTAATTGATTCTTGTGATAAATTGGGGTGTTAAGTTGAGGATGCATACAGTAATCACTACAGCAGTTGTTTTCAACCTTTGGTAATTCCCCTACCCAGGCCCCAGCCAAGGAACCCTGTCACAACTGGAGTGGGAGGACAGTTGCTACTGCCATCTGCTGGGAAGAGGCTTTGTTTTTATGAAAATTTTGTAGATGAGGAAACAGACTCCTAGAAGTTAAGTAAGTTTCTCTAACACTACCTTTGATAAGGTGAATAGTGGCTCCCCAAAGATGTCCCCGTTCTAATCCCCAGAATCTGTGAATATGTTACATCACATGGGTAAACGGTTTGCAGATGTGTTAAGGATCTCGAGATGGGAAGATTATTCTGGATTATCCTAGTGCGTCAAATGTAATCACAAGAGCTTTTATAAGAGGAAGGCGGTTGGGTCAGAGTCAGAGAAGACACATTATGATGAAAGAAGAGGTGACAGAAGGAAGGGGGATAGGTAGACAGACTGAGAATGAATGAAAATGCTACATTTCCAGCTTTGAAGATGGAGGAAGGCACCTTAAGCCAAGGGATGGAGGCACCGTCTAGAAGCTGGAAAAGGTAAGGAAATGGATTTTTCCCTAGAGCCTCATGAGGTAGCACAGCCCTGCTGATACCTTGACCTCAGCCCATTAAAAACCATTTCAGACTTTTGACACAAAGAACTGTAAGGTAATAAAACTGTATTTTCAAACCACTAAGTTTATGATAATTCATTATAGCAGTAATGGGAAATTAGTATAGATATCCAACTAGGATTTGCTTCTAGATTTTTCAGTCTATGCCTTTAATCACAAGATGGACATAGCTACCATAATGGGAAGAAAAGCTAAAGCATTTTTCAGAATGTTTTTGCCCTGCAGATATCTCTGATATTGCCTAACTGATCATGGTGTTCCTAAAATTGAAATAGACAGGCAACCTACTAAAGCCTTATTTGATTTGTGGAAGTGTTACCTACAGTGGAAAGAATCCAGCAACCAACAGACTCCTCATAACATGAGAGCTTCCTAAATAATCTTAAATTTAAAATATATATACACATATATGTGTATATATACATGTATATATATACATGTATATAGATGTATATATACATATACGTATATTTATGTGTGTGTGTATATATACACACACACGTGTCAAAAGAAAAACTTCAGCCGAGTTAAATTTAAAGGAGTTTAATTGAGCAATGAATGATTTGCAAATCGGGCAGCCCCCAGAATCACCGAAGATTCAGAGAGACTCCAGTGCAGCCACATGGTGGAAGATTTATGGACAGCAAAAGGAAAGTGATATACAGAAAATGGAAGTGAGATACAGAAACAACTGGTTTGGTTACAGCTCCGTGTTTGCCTTGTTTGAACATGGTTCAAATAACGTTGGCTACATTTGATTGGCTGAAACTCAGCGATTGGTACAGTTGTGTGTTATGGTTGGTTTATACCTCCACTTGTTATAGTTCATGACGTACAGAAAAATCTTTAGGCTGAACTTAAATATGTAAGGAGGCAGCTTTAGGCTAAACTTGATTTAATACATGCATACATGTACAAATATACATACGTGCATGTATATATATGATATACACATATTCTATGGATATTTATATAGATAGGCTTACAGATATTCACATATATATGTGTGTATGTAGTGTGTGTGTGTGTTTCCGTGTATATGAGCAAAATGTCTTGAAAAAATACAGAAACTGTTTAGAAAGTTACATCCGAGAAGGGGAACTGAGATCCTAGAGGATAAAGGTGGGAGTTTATTGTTTTGGTTAGATATCCTTTTGTACTTTTTAAATGTTGACCCATGTAAGTATATCGCTGATTTTTTTTTTAAATACACACATAAAATTTAAAAAAAATAAAGAATTCTATTATACTATTGGGGCTAAAATGATACCCCAAAATGAAAGCTTCAGAAGCAGCCCAGAAGCTTCTCTTCCAAAAGTTTCTCTCTGACGTTCTCTTGGCCTGCTATCTCTGACCCCTCAATTCTATCCTGAGGCTAGCAATAGAAGCTAGAATCTCTCCTCCCCCAAGGTGGATCAAAAAACCAGAACCACTTTTCCCCAAAGCCAGCCATAGGACCTAAAAATATTGCTCAAACTTTTCCCCCACCTTTCTGTGTAATAATTGACCATACAGAAATTATCTGATCTATCTTGTTTGATTATAGATTGTAAGACCTCCATTCCAGAGAGTGTCCTGCCCCATACTGAGAAGGAAGGAATGCTGCTCAGAGAGGCCAAGAAGAATCTAGACAGACAGGCCTTGCTCGGTTTCCCCACTCCGTCTATTAGCATTAGATCTCACACTTTTTGTTCAATCCTATTTCCACACGGCCGTCCATAGTTTGTTGAACCTAAGCATAAAAATGGACAATTTCCCCTGTATCTTTGGGTCTTCATTCTTTAGGCTCCCATGCACATTAATTCATTTGTATGCCTTTTTTTCCATGAATCTGCCTTTCGTTGGTTGATTATCAGCGAACCTTTGGAGGGCGAAGAAGTTTGCCCTTTGCCTTTGTAATACCTCCATCAGCAAGAGCCAAGAGAGATTCCATGTGTTTTTCCCCAAGACCCTCAACCATTTCCCCAACCCAACCTTCACTGCCTTTCCTTCACTCTCTGCCTTGAGACAGTGAGGCCTAATCACTCTATGCCTTTCATTCCTGTTTCCAGAGGAAGCTCAGACCCTAGGGGAGCCCCCATTTTCCATGGCTCTCTGCACCAGTATAATACCTTCCCCTGCCTCCTCACCTTCCTTCCTTGCTTTATCTTCTCCATAGCATTGACCACTAATCTGGTATTCTATACCTTACTTCCTTATCTGGATCATCACCTGTATCCCTCTAATACAAACTGAGCTCTATCAGGGCAAGGATTCTTGTCTGCCTTGTTCACTCCTGTAGCCAAAGCAGGAGTAAGAGTGCCTGGACATACTAGGCTCCCAATGAACACTTAATAACAGAGGAAGAGAGGCAGTGAGTGATCATTGAGTACTACGCTGGGAACCACAGCTTTGCTGGCACTAAAATGAAGAAGAGATGAACAGAGGGAGGTGTATTTCCTATGGCCACCCATCCATCTGCCTGGCAGGGACTAGGTGGAAAGAAGAAACTGCTGTCAAGGCATGTCCCGTTATATGTCAGATCCCTCCACACACTACCACCTTGCAGCAAGAAAAACGCCTGGAAGCCAACTAGACAAGTGGCAGGGTTTGAAGGATAAGAGCCCCTATGGCTGGGAAACTGCTGATGTGAGAAAGAAAGCATAATTATACTCACATTTGCAACAGGTAATGGAGCACCATGAGCAACTTAAATACTGACATTTTATTATAGCCTTAAGAGAGAACATAAAAACCTTCAGAAAGAATAACTAAATGTGGCATTTGGTATTTGCCACATCATTTGTGTTAATCATAGAACATTTCTCAGGGGAGGAGCCCCTAACATTTCTTATATGTAAATATATACTTCATATATAAGTGTCTTTATGAGAATATCATCTGTGAAAAGCAAATCATCCAACAAATATTTACTGAGCAGTCTTCTGTGCACCAGGCACTGTGCTAGTCCCTGGGAAAATGACTCACAATAAGATGATGCCCTTATGAAACTTACGTTCTAATAAAGAAGCCCAGCACTAAACAAGACACCCAAACCACAAAGACAGTCATTTCAGACAGTGACTTGTGATGCAAAAGAAACAAATTTGGGGGTCTGGAGATTCCTACTTGAGGATGGGCATGGAGGAAGGCAGAGCAGACACCACTGGGGCCTCCTTGTCCCTCTGACGTCCCTTGGCCATGCACGGCAGCTGCTTGCTCCTCACAATGTGATCCTCAGAACATCAGCAAGGGCATCATCTGGGAGCTTCTAAGAGCCGCAGCATCTCAGGCCTCCTAACAGAACTCTTTAACCAATCTGCATTTTAACAAGATCCCCAGGGTTTGTGAGCACACTAAAGTTTGAAAACTACTCTTCAGGACTGTTTCTAACTGCCCGTATTTGCATATTCCCACTGCTCTTTCTGCATAACGAGGAGCAATCAGAAGTGCTCTCTCCCTCCCCAAGGATCCAGTACCAGTGGAGGGGGTATGTAAATGTTCAAGTCCCTCAGCACTCATAGGGGTAACCCAGAGGCAGCATTTTATGCCTTTCCCAGAGCTTCCCACAGGATGAAGCTTGGTGGCCTGCGGTGGTGGCTGGTGCCTCTTGCCACTGATTTCCCCTGCTACTGCCTTCTGTGCCTCCCAAGCCACCTGCTGCCATCTGCTTGCTTGTCTCAGGGTGCTCCGAGGGGAACGTGAGTAAGACAGGGGCCTCTCTGAAGATGTGAGCTGAGAACTGAAGAATGAAAGAAGCCACCTGGTGAAGAGCTAGGAGAGGGAACAGTCAGTGGAAAGGCGCTGAGGCTGGGAAAAACTGCAGTGCTCAAGGACCAGAATGGAGATCAGAGGCAGGAGCACAGTGGGGAGTCCTGTTGGGGGTGGATACAGAAGTGCAAGAGTAGAGAAGGGAAGAGTAGACATTGATTGCACTAATGCAGTGAGGTGATTGTGGCTTAGACATGTCAGTTGGGAGCACAAGGACCAGAGGCAGGTGGAAGAATGTTGACCTGTTGTAAAGCCAGAGGTGAAAAACAAACTGTGCAAAATATTCACACACACTCAGCAAGCTTTGGATGACTGCGTAAAATTAAACAAACCCTCCAGTCGTACCTGTCTCTATACTAGGGATGCATAAGCTAATGGCTACACCCCAAAAGTCTGTTCCTTAGGTTAAAATGCCCAGCACTCAGTAACATTTCCTTCTCTAAAAATCTAGAAAATGTTCGAAGAGAAGTTAACTGTTAGGGCTCAGAAAACAACACTTCAAAATGAAGGCCCCAGAAGTAAAAGGTTTTCTTCTGACCTTCTTCTGCTCTTCTGTCTCTCAGTCCCATTCTCCCCTGAGGCTAGCCATAGGCACTAGAATCCCTCTTCCCAAGGCTGGTCATAGAAACCAGAACCCTCTTTTATTCCCTGAAGACAACCATAAAGCCTAAAAATATCACTCTATTTTTCCTCTGCCTTTCTGTGCAAAAACTGGCCGTAAAGACATGATCTGGCCTACCTTGTTTGACTGTAGGTCATATAACCCCATTCCACAGGGGGTTCCACCCCGTACCCAGAAGGACGGAATGCTGCACAGACAGAATCTGATAGACAAGAATCTAGACAAACAGGCCTTGCTGGGTTTCCCCACTCTATTAGCAGTAGATTATACATTTTTGTCCAATCCTATTTCCACACGGCTGTCCATACTTTGTTGAACCTAAGCATAAAAATGGACAGTTGGCCAGGCATGGTGATTCATGCCTGTAATCCCAGCACTTTGGAAGGCTGAGACGGGTGGATCACGAGGTCAGGAGATCGAGACCATCCTGGCTAACATGGTGAAACCCCGTCTCTACTAAATATACAAAAAATTAGCCAGGCGTGGTGGTGGGCGCCTATAGTCCCAGCTACTTGGGAGGCTGAGGCAGGAGAATGGTGTGAACCCGGGAGGCGGAGCTTGCAGTGCGCCAAGATCACGCCACCGCATTCCAGCCTGGGGGACAAAGCGAGACTCCGAAAAAAAAAGCGAGACTCTGAAAAAAAAAAAAAAAAAAAAAAAAAAAAAGGACAGTTTCCCCTGTATCCTGGGTCTTCATTCTGCAGGCTTCTGTGTATACCCATTAAGTAAATATGTATGCGTTTTCTTCAATAAATCTGCCCTTTAGCTGGGCACAGAGGCTTACGCCTGTAATCCCAACACTTTGGGAGGCTGAGGCAAGAGCCCAGGAGTTTGAGACCAACCTGGGCAACATAGGGAGACCCTAGTTCTACATAAATTAATTTTAAAAAAATAGCCAGCATGGTGGTATGTGCCTGTGGTTCCAGATACTCATGAGACTGAGGCTGCAGTGAGCTGTGATCACACCACTGTACTCTAGCCTGGGCAATAGAGCCTGGGCAACATAGCGAGATCCTATCTCAAAAAGGAAAAGAAATGCGTTAAAAAAATTAATCTGCCTTTTGTGAGCTGCTTTTTCAGCAAAACTTCAGAGGGCCAAGGGAACACAACAATAACTACACAACAATGACTAAGATAGACATGAACTCGCTTCCTGGCTTTTGTGTTCCTTAATTTAGACTAATTTTCATTCATTTAACAAACATGTATTAGGTAGCACCTGTTGGCAGGACCTGTGGATTCCAAGATGGGCCAGATAAGGTTACAGTGGGGAGCAGCCCCAGCTATTATAATTCCACATGATAAGTGTGATAAACACACTATGAACAAAGGGGTATGCAACTACTGAAAGAAGTATCCAACCCTTTTATTGGGAGTTGGAGAAAGCTTAACAGAAAAGGCAAAATAAAACTGGCATTTGAGTTGGATTTAAAGAGTGAGTAAAAGTTTGTTAGTCAAGGAAGAGGAAAAATAGCAGTTATCTGAGGAAAAGTTCAGTAGGGCTGGAGTATTCAAGCAACAGGCAGTGAGTAGGGGAGCTGTGCGTGGCAGAGCTTTCCTAACTTCAGGACTGTTTCTTTTGCTGTTGTTTTTTTTTTTTTTTTTTTTTTTTTCTGAGACTGTTTCTCTCTTTTCGCTCAGGCCAGAGTGCAATGGCACGATCTCGGCTCACTGCAACCTCCACCTCCCGGGTTCAAGGGATACTCCTGCCTCAGCCTCCCGAGCAGCTGGGATTACAGGCATGTGCCACCACGCCAGGCTAATTTTGTATTTTTAGTGGAGATGCGGTTTCTCCATGTTGATCAGAGTGGTCTCGAACTCCCGACCTCAAGTGATCTTTAGGAGACATAATTCTTCCTAACTGTATTTAACTACAGACAGTATCATTTAATGTTTTTAATCAAAAATGAAACCAGTAGATTACCTCCAGATAAGAAAAATAACACCAATTCATGTTATAATGTCACTTGCATGCCAAACCCAGGCATCAGGAGTAAATAACTAAAATAATTTTATAAGAAAAGGCTATCAATATGGTTAGATTGGTGTTTTACAAAGATAATGCTAAAAGCAGAGATGGTTAGCTTGCACTATGAAAGCTATAATAACAGAATTAAAGAAAATCCCATAATTTCTGCCAAGATTACATTCCAATCTTAAGAAACCCTCCCTGTCAAGTTCTTCAGTGCATCTCACTTAAGTCTTTCTTGCTGCAAATTAAGCCCATGTACCATCCCTGCATCCTCCTTTATAATTAACATTATTCATTCTGCAGATTATAACAGATCATTTTCCTCCTTCCTAACTCTAGAAGAACTCTTACTAAATAAAATACACCAGAGAAACACAGTGGGTGAACTATCAGATGACTTTCAAACTTAAATGTTAAAAAACAAAAGAAAAAAAAATGACCAATTTGCCTTTCTGTGCATTTGTTGGAGAGTCTATTCCTTCCTAGATAGGAATATTCTTCTCCCAGAGTCAACTTCTTCCTTCATATGACTATTTTTTCTCCTGAACGCTATTGTCTGTGAATATTTGCACAAAACAGACTGTGTTGTCCAATGACAGAACGGCATGTTCTTCCTCACTAACCCCCCCTCCGAGATCAGGAATCCAAAGTGCTTTGCCATCAGCTACATGACCTTGAATAAATGACTGCTCCATCTGTACCTCACTTTCCTAAGTGTCAAATCAAAGTGTCTAGAGTAGGCCATCTCCAAAGCCTGTCCTGTGGCTATGAGTCCGAAAATGGCTCTCTCAGACTTTCAGCTCTCCTGTCTATAAGAGGCAGATTCTCAGGGTTGGGAGAGGCTTCTAGGTGCTTCCCTTCTATGGCTTCCTTCCTAGTACATTCACAATAGAAAATTACCTAGCACTGAAAATTTGTTAGTAATCTTAACTTTCCCAACCTCTCCTAGATCAAATGAGGTTAACTGGATATTCAACATTTCTAGTCTACCATCCCGTCAGACAGCTGAACAATGCATTTTCTTTTCTTTGGATTAAAAAAAAAAAAAAAAAGATGCAGTTGCCAAAGACAAGGAATTCCTATGCATCTCCCAAGGAACTTTCTCTCATCATGCTAGAGCCAATTAGCTCAAACTAGAAGTTGGAGGCAAAATAATTCAAGTTAGAAGATAAAACATCCAAGTTATAGTCCACAGAGATTATAACTTGTTATCCTAGGAGTGTCATATCTGGCCCACAGATGGGTCTTGATTTTTTAAGTTTGAACCAGCCTATGTAAATGACAAAAATTCACATAAAAATCCAGATTTCCCATTTCTCTTGAAAAATCTGAAGATCCCACCTGTGTGAGGACACCCTCACCTCGCTGGCATGTGACGCTGCTGGCGCCTTTATACATTCCCTATTGCCTCCCTCACATGCGGCCAAGGGTTGTTTGAGTTTTATCATCATGTTTTTGCAGTCCTTTTTTAAACCATAGAAGAAATTTTTTTTCTGAATCAGTACTGGAGATAGTAAAGATACACCAAGTGGCCTGATCAAGAAAACAGGAAACAGCAAATGTGTATGCAGAAAAAAGAGCACCCCTTCTATTCATTAGGCTAAGGAGGGTCCACTTGACTTTCCTGCCTGTCTGACCCTAGGGGCATTTAAGTTTGAGATCCTGATGTAGAAATTTGGGAAGCTCAGGGTGGTAGAAACCACCCCTGAACAGGAATCAGCTGTTCCTTCTCCATGACTTAGCCCCTTCATCCACGAACAAAGCTGGTTGTGCTAGATGGTCCCCTCCTGGTTTGGACAGAAAATCTAAGATTCTGTATTCCAACAAAACCCAAAAGTCTCTGAAAAGGACAACCTGATTCAGTTCCTGCCAGGGTAAGTAAAGACAATACTGACACCCAGTGGTCCATTAACCAGCTCCATTTAATGCCCTAAAATTCCCAAGGACTGCTGAGTAAACGTTTAGGTGCTGCCAAAACCTTCTTCATGTCCCAAAGATACAGGAAACAAAAGATCAACAAAAATTAATGACACTGAAACAAAAGATAGCATGTACTGGTTTGTTTTCTAAGCCTCTCTGGTGAGGATCTGGCTATATCTTGTTTGGCTTAAACATATTCATTATATCAAAGCATTTGTATTCAACAATGTATTTCCCTTACATCATGAAAACAAATACGCTTTTAAAAATACAAGGCTTATTTCCCAGGAGGTAAAAGCCCAAATACCCTAAACTGTTTTATAATGATTTCTTTGATTTGTTAATTAGTCTTCTAAACCCTGAAAAGTAAATAATAAACATCTGAGATTATGAGGACAGGAACTCCATTTGACTAGTTTCTGTGAGGATCTCACCACAGCCTCACATCCTTAAATTTGGAATAATGAGGTTACTACAGCAGTGAAGGCCGAGGCAGAAATGGCAGGAAAAACACATTTTGAGAACGTCTTTCACTTCCAATAGGCTAATAACTACCAGAGTTTTAAAATCAGCACGATCTCAAATATAACACTTGATGACATTTAGTCTGACTGTTGATTGAAGTAAAATAAAAGAGTAAAAAAAAATGTATTTTAGTAATTTTTATTTCACATTGAACGCTTTTGATTTTGTCAAAAAGGATAAGTGGCCTGGCCTTCCAATGCTGACATAAGCTGACATCTCATTGTAATACTTTAAATCAGACTTCAGAATATGGCATTGGTGAGCAGCGTGGGAAGACTTCATGCTAGTGAAAAAAACACCCAAGGAACGTGCCTTTTTGTTAGTGAAAAAGGCAACAGCTGGTATCATGACACAAATGAAAGGCTCAAGACAGACATTCAGGTAAAAAAAAGTAAAATGACTCACAGACTCCCTGTCCTGTCATACACAATGAAACTAGTGGAAAAAATAGAAAAATAAATAAATCAGCCACAACCAAAAAAGAGAATTGAATGCCATAATATGCAAAAGACAGTGGCCAAGAAAGGAGGCTGGCTCCCAGAAGGTGCTGAAACTCCCGAGACTGTTCCTTGATACTCCCAAATTGGATAAGAAACGCAAGGAGGATGATGTCCTCTTTGCCCCTTTTGATTTCAAGGAAGTACACAGAAATGGCCTGAGGTGGGGAAAAATGAAAAGAGAAGAGAATAGTCAAATCGACCCCCTTGTGCAGAAGCGCAGGCTACTAGACTCCATGCTAAATTGGGGGAAGCATTTAGAAGGTATCACCCTGCACTTCATTAAGTGGAGCAATCGCAGGTTTAGGACAGAAAACAAAATGTAAGAAAGAGGAACAGAAACCAGTTCCTGTAAGAATGATTGCACCCAATCCTAGCTGACTGTTCCCTTGCCCTACCCCATCCACAGGCTAGAGAGAGGGGGATGGAAAAACCCCTGAGCCTTCCAGCTGCAGCCAGAGGATGAGGCTAGTCTCAGAAAATGGTGGAAGGAGGGCTCGAGAGAATTCATTCAGAACATCAGAGGAGGAAGTAAGATACAGAGCAGATCTCTTAGAGAAGAGTAATGCAAAAAGAAATAATGTGTTAACCTGAAAATATCCAAGGCAGCACAGCATAAAAAAGAAATTAAAAAGATGAATATTTGGGGGCCAGGCTCAGTGGCTCACACCTGAAATCTCAGCACTTTGAGAGGCCAAGACAGGAGAATAACTTGAGGCCAGGAGTTTGAGACCAACCTGGGCACCCTAGCAAGACCCCATCTCTACAAAAAAAATTTAAAAAATTAGCCAGGCATGTTAGTGCAGACCTGTAGTCCCAGCTACTCTGGAGGCTGAAGTGGTAGGACTGCTTGAGCCTGGGAGGTCGAGGCTGCAGTGAGCTATGATTGTGCCACTGTGCTCCAGCCTGGGCAACAGAGTGAGTCACTGTCTTTAAAAAATAAATTAATAAAATAAAAATAAAAGAATTCTTCAAGCTTGGGGGCAGAAAATGAACTCAAAACCTCTAGTAATCTATAACCCCTCCTTAAAATAAAGAGAAAAAATTGTTTGTTGAAATAATGAAATCCAGCCAAGAAATCAAAATAAAGACCTCAGCTGTAGAGTAGCCCAGATGAAACAACTTGGAGTGAGCATTGATCAATTTAAATATAGTATTAATCAAAATTACATGGGGAGTTAGGACTGGAAAGTAAAATAGGAGTATTATAAACCTGGATAATGTATAAAAAAAAGCAACTCATAATATTTCAAGAAATAAGCAGGTGCCAATAAATACTGGTTAAAATTTAAAGGCAGTTTAAAAAATAATGAGACCAACCTGTTAAATGTTTGACCTCATTTTTCTTAACATTCAACATACTTAAACAGTGATAAACATCTTCATGGGAGCCACTGTGCTAGACACTGGGAATCCAGTATGAATAAGACATGGTCTCTGCCTTCCAAAGGTATATAATCTTTGCACAAAAATAACAACTATCATATTTGAACATTTTATTAGACATTTTACATTAGCCTCATCATAGTCACTTGCATCCTAGTATAAAATAGGCACTGATCAAGGTGCTTTACATGTGTATCATGGATTCCTCACAACAGAGCTACAGCAAAGATACATTATTTTCTTCATTTTATAAGGAAGGAAGAAGTATTTATCTAAAGTTTATGAAGTTCATTACTTCCATTTCTGTCTGTTAAATTCAAATAAAATTTTGAGGAGTGTTTTATAAAAGAAGGAACAAAAATAAGGAAAAGAAAAAAACAAGGAAGGAAGGGAGGAAAGAAGGGAGGGAAAAAAAGGATCTAGTTTCAGCTCAACTGTTAATTAGCTTGCCACAAAAAGAATAAAATACCTAGGAATACACCAACTAGGGAGGTGAAAGACCTCTACAAGGTGAGCTACAAACCACTGCTCAAAGAAATCAGAGAAGACACAAACAAACGGATAAACATTCCATGCTCATGGATAGGAAGAATTAATATTGTTAAAATGGCTACACTCCCCAAAGCAATTTATAGATTCAATGCTACACCTATTAAATTACCATTGGCATTCATCACAGAACTAGAAAAAACTATTTTAAAATTCATGTGGAAGCAAAAAAGAGCCTGAATAGCCAAGACAACCCTAAGCAAAAAGAACAAAGCTGGAGACATCACATTACCTGACTTCAAACTATTCTACATGGCTACAGTAACCAAAATAGCTTGACACTGGTACAAAAACAGACACATAGACCAATGGAACAGAATAGAGAATCCAGAAATAAGACTACACACCTACAACTATCTGATCTTCAACAAACCTGACAGAAATAAGCAATGGGGAAAGGACTCCCCATTCAAAAAATGGTGCTTAGATAACTGGCTAGCCATATGCAGAAGATTCATACTGGACCCCTTCTTTATACCTTATACAAAAATTAACTCAAGATGGATTAAAGACTTAAAGGTAAGTAAGACACAAAACCATAAAAATCCTGGAAAACAACCTAGGCAATACCATTCAGGACAGAAGCATGGGCAAAGATTTCATAATGAAGACTCCAAAAGCAATTGCAACAAAAGTAAAATTGGCAAATAGGATCTAATTAAACTAAAGAACTTTTGCACAGCAAAAGAAACTATCAGCAGAGTAAGTAGAAAACCTACAGAATTGGAGAAAATTTGTACAAACTATGCATCTAACAAAGGTTTAATATCCAGCATCTACAAGGAACAAATGAATTTACAAGAAAAAAAACAACCCTATAAAAAACTGGGCAAAGGACATGAACAGACATTTTTTCAAAAGAAGACATACATCGGGAGGCTGAGGCAGGAGAATCACTTGAACCCAGGAGGTGGAGGTTTGCAGTGAGCCAAGATGGTGCCACTGCACTCCAGCCTGGCAACAGAGCGAGACTTCGTCTCAAAAAAGAAAGGACAAATATGCAGCTGACAATCATATGAAAAAAAGCTCAACGTCACTGATCATTAGAGAAATGCAAATCAAAACCATAATTAGATACCATCTAACACCAGTCAGAATGGCTACTATAAAAAAAAGTCAAAAAATAACAGACGCCGGCAAGGTTGTGGAGAAAAACGAACACTTATACACTGTGGGTGGCAGTGTAAATTAGCTCAGCCATTGTGGAAGAGAGAGTGGTGATTCCTCAAAGACCTAAAGACAGGAATACTGTTTGGCCCAGCAATCACATTACAGGATATATACCCAAAGGAATAGAAATCATTCTATTACAAAGACACATGCATGTGTATGTTTATTGCAGCACTATTCACAATAGCAGAGACATGGAATCAATCTAAATGCCCATCAAAGGTAGACTGGATAAAGAAAATGTGGCACATACACACCATAGAATACTATGTAGCCATAAAAAATAAGAACATGTCCTTTGCAGGGACATGTGTGGAGCTGGAGGCCATTATCCTTAGCAAACTAACACAGGAACAGAAAAGCAAATACTGCATGTTCTCACTTATAATTGGGAGCTGAATAATGAGGACACATGGACACACAGAGGGGAACGACACCCAGTAGGGCCTGTTGGAGGATGGAGGGTGGTAGGAGAGAGAGGATCAGAAAAAATAACTCATGGATACTAGGCTTAATACCTGGGTGACGAAATAATCTGTACAACAAACACCCATAACACAAGTTTACCTGTGTCACAAACCTGCACACGTACCCCTGAACTTAAAAGTTTAAAAAAAAAAAAAAAAACCCTGTTAATTAGCTGTGTGCTCTTAGTGCAGCCTAACTAGTCTGCATCTTAGACCAGAGGGTTGGTCCTAGTTGTCACTATATTCGTTCCCTTTTTCTTCTAATTATACAACTCCTGGATTTCAGTTAGGCGCATCACTGCCCAGCACAAGGGCTACAATTTCTAGCCTCCTGAGCAGCTGATATGACCATGCAACTATGCCACAACCCAACGGATTGTAAGTTGATTTTGTGCAATTTCTGGAAAGTGTTCTTTAAAGGAGAGGATGTTTCTCCTCACCTCGCACCAGACCCATCCACCTGGTCCTTGCAACGTGAATATGATGACTGGAACACCCTTTTCCATCATGACAATGGAGCTCCATTCTAAGGGGGCAGGAACAGAAACCTGTAGGCAGCCTAGCTCCCAGATGATTATGGAGTTGCCACACCAGCTGTAGCCTAGCTACATCTGGACTTCACAGGACAGAGAAACAAACGTTTATCTGATTTAAGCCACTATTTTAGCCTTCCAGTTACAGCTAATTCTAATCTTCACAGATACAAGTGGCTTTTCTTTTCATCTTTTAAAGCACCAGAAACCCTTAATTCACATTAGAACAATCACAAGGTAACGCTCAGGTTGAAGCAGGAGTAGGGGACAAAGCCACATTTTATCAATGATAAAGGTGAAGCTCAGAGAGAAGTAACCGACTAGCGAAGGGCAATGCTCAGATCTGGGCCTGCATCAGGCTTCAGCAGGTTCTCACTGGCAACACAGAACTGTTGCTTTGGATCTATTCCCCTGTTGATGCTGTATACTCCCCACTTCCCTGAATCCTCCTCCGCTCAAGAAGTACAAAAGCAATTTTACTTCTCATCAAATGTGGAGACCTGCCAAAATATTTTAATCCTGCAAAACTAAAAAAAAAAAAAGAGCCAAAGAGACAATTGATGTCTTTTTCAAAAGCTGACATACAATTTTTGACCAAGAAAGAAAAGGAATCATGAAGGGAAAGAGTGAGAGAGGAGCCAATCACCAATTATAAGGACTCCTATAGCTTCCACTCTCCCTACCTGGAGAATAACTCCTGACTGCCTCCCAAATATTTTTCTCCAGCCCTGTCTCTCCCGTTCCAAGAGGAAGCTGGAAACTCAAAAACATCCATTCTACAAATAATGGTAAACATCCACATGGGAAGCACTGCACTGAACACTGGGATTCCAATACAAATAAGACATGATCCCTGACTTTCAAATGTTTAAAAACTCTTGAAAAAATACCTATCACATTTGAACATTTTATTAGATGTTTTACCTTAGCATCATGGCAGCCACTCACACCCTAGTATGAAATAGGTACTGATCAAGGTTCTCTACACATATTAGGAGTTCCATGCAACACATCTATAAGAAATGTGTATTATCACCCTCATTTCACAGATGAAGAGATGAGGCATATAGCAATTGAGTAATTTACCCGTTTGTAATACAGTAAGTTGCATATGTTGTATTATTTAAAACTCACAACAGACTTAATTATTGGTAGTTGTATAATGCTCTAAGTATTATATTCATTATTGGTAAAGTTGGTGGAGAAATGGATGGACAAAGTTAAGTGCTGGGAGTTTAATACAGCTTTAGTTGAGGAAATATGGAACACAATTTAGACAAATAAAATGACATTTAAAAGTCTCACAGGTATTAAAACCCAAACATAAGCCCAGGGAAACTGAACTCCAAATCAAACCTCTTCTAAAACCTTACACTGTAACAAGCGCTATTCTGTGCTTAAGCAGAGGACTTAATGGAATCGCTCAGGAAGGAGATTTGAAGCAGCAGGTAGGGGAGCACTTACGAAATGCTTCTCAGTGGAAGAGGCATCCAGGCTGAGCCCAAAAGGGTGGGGAAAGGCTTTCCATGTTGAGAGAACATGGAAAGTGCAAAATCCTGCAAGCATTGAGAACTTGCCTCTGTGGAGGAAGTACTAGCCCCATGGCTGGAATTTAGAATGGGATGGCCGGAGTAAAGAAAGACATAAGTGGAAATGACATCTTTCTTTGCTGGCTTCTTAGTCTCCAAGTGTCCACAACTTTCTGTAGAAATTTACTCCTTCTCCTGCTTTTCTGGTGCAGTTAACAATTCATATTTTAAGTCTTAAAATTGACTCCGTTGTGTTCCTTTCTCTTGCCTCTGCATTTACCACCTTGCCATGTCTTATTAAATTATCTGATATCTATTCCTTTTGTTATTTCCAATACCACATTTGGGGCATACTTTCATTCACCACAAGTCTAGACAAGAGCAATATCCCACCAGCCTACGGTTTTCAACCCACCTTCCCAAAACCCACATGCCACGCCAGGTCGTGGGTCTCCAGGACACAGGGCAAAAACTGGCATTTCACCCCACACACACATATGCAATACAAATGACACTGAAAACTGGGAGAGACATCTAGCCTTGCTGGCAACCAAAATAAATGCAGGCAATAAAGTTTTTACTTCTCAGACTTTGAAACAACCAGCAATACCCACTGCGGACAGAGATGTGGGAAATGGGCACGCACAGATTCTTTGGGGAGTCTAAACTGATAAAACTATTGTGGAAAGTAGTGCAGTCATGGGTATTGACATCCTTAAAAAGGTTCTTGTCCTTTCCCAGTAATTCCCCTTCAAAGTGTTTCCCCTTAGAAATAATCTGGGCTGGGCATGGTGGCTTGTACCTATAATCCCAGCTACTTGGTAGGGTGAGGCAGGAGGTCAGGAGTTCAAGACCAGCTTGGGCAAAATAGCGAGATCATGTCTCTTAAAAAATAATTAACAAATTAGCTGGGCACTGTGGCAGGTGCCTGTAGTCCCGAGCTACTTTGGAGGATGAGGTGGGAGGATCCTCACAAGACATATAGGATGCTTATTATAGCATAATCAAAAACAGAAAACAAACTATATAACAATTATCAATTGGTTTAATAGCTACGGAATATATATGAGATATATATATATGAATACCACTCAGCTAATAGACATGATACTGTAGATATACATTTATTGACATTAAAAAAATGTCAATATGGGCTGGGCATGGTGACTCACGCCTGTAATCTCAGCACTTTGGGAGGCCAAGGTGGGCGGATCACTTGAGCCAAGGAGTTCAAGACCAACCTGGGCAACATGGTGAGACTTCGTCTTTACCAAAAATACAGAAATATAGCCAGGTGTGGTGATGCATGCCTATGGTCCCACCAGCTACTTGGGAGGCTGAGGTGGGAGGATTGCTTAAGCATGGGGGCAGAGGTTGCATGAGCCAATATTGCACCACTGCACTCCAGCTTGGTTGACAGAGTGAGACCCTCTCTCAAAAAAAATAAATAAATAAAAAATCAATACGAATACACGCATTATTTATATGTGTGGGTTTATATGTGTATATGTATATACATGCTTATATATAAAGTGAAAAAGCCTCTAGGCAATTAAAAAAAAAAGCCTGGGTAGTATGGTCTCATTTTGTAAATATCTACATATGAGTAACCCAAGTAAATTCCATAGCCAAATCTTGCCGCAATATGATAACTAAAGAAAAATAATCCATATATTAGAAAAACAGAAAAGGTTTACATCAAAGTAACACAGACCTGAAACTAACAGTGAATTCTTACTTAGACCAAAGGAGATCCAATGTTTCACCCCAAACAATACTTCTTATGCCCTCTTTTGCCCTTTTCTTTCTAATCTCTTACTATCTTACAACCTGATGCTGCACAGAATCCTTCATCTTCCTCTGTTCTTCTCTCTCCACCACCCACAAAAAATCTGACTCATGTTTCTTTCCTCACTCCTGTTTCTATAGAGGCCTCTACTCCTATTTTTTCCCCTCACTCTACTGCAAGGCAGCTACATTCCTCTCCAAAGGCTATTCTGGTCTTCAGTGATCTCCAAACTGATAAACTGGGGAAGGGAAAGGGAGAGAAGAGAGATGGGAAAAGGGAGGGAGGAGGTATAGAGTAACCTCGCCCTCTGGGACAGTTCCCAGATGGCAATATAAAAATATTAGTTATGTCTACTGAATAAAGATTCTTGGAAATAATTCATTTTCATGATCAAATGTGGCTGGCACAAAACTCATAAAGACAGAATAGATTAGAGGTCACCAAGGGCTAGGAGAAAGGAGGAAGGAGTTACTGCTTAATGGGTACAGAGTGTCTGTTTGGGGTGATGAAAAAGTTTTGGAATAGTGGTGATGGTGGGGACTATAGTAAATAATAATGTATTACATATTTCAAAATAGGTAAAAGAGGATTTTAAAAGTTCTCTGCACAAAATGATAAATATTTGAGGTCACAGATAAGCTAATTAGCCTGACTTGCTCACTCCACTATGAATACACTTGTCAGAACATCACATTGTATCCCATAAATATAATTATTATTTGTCAGTCAAAAGAAAAATTAAAAATAGTTTAAAATGTCTGGACACAGAATAAAAAATGTGTTTTAAATCATTAAAATGGCAAATTTTATAAGATATTTATATTTGTGTGTATACACACACACACACATATACATACACACACACATATATATACACCACAATTTTTCTTTTTTTTTTTTTTTTTTTTTTGAGACAGAGTCTGGTTGTGTTGCCCAGGCTAGAGTGCAGTGGTTCAATCTCAGCTCACTGCAACCTCTACCTCCCAAGTTCAAGCAATTCTCCTGCCTCAGCCTCCCGAGTAGCCAGGATTACAGGCATGTGCCACCACGTCCAGCTAATTTTTGTATATTTAGTAGAGACAGGGTTTCACCACGTGGCCAGGCTGGTGTCGAACTCCTGACCTCAAGTGATCTGCCTACCTCAGTCTCCCAAAGTGCTGAGATTACAGGCGTGAGCCACCACACCTGTCCTATTAACCACAATTTTAAAAAGGGAGGTCTGGCACAGACTTTGCTCTTTTGCCTCCTTTGTCCTTTCTTCCTGTCCAGAGTACAGATCATGCCCAAATCACATAAGAACCATCTAGAGACCAAGAGGTAATTAGCAAGAGGATGAAAGCAACATAGTATTCATGATGACAAAGTAGAAAAATAGCCTCGGGGTCCCTGTGGCACTAGCAGCCTCACAGTCCAAGCCGACTTCCCCCAGGTTTTTTATTATGAAAGAAAAATGAAGTCTTCTTTGCTTAAGGTACTTAGCAAATTTTCCATTACTTGCTGCTAAATACACTCCTAATAGATACAGCTCCCTGTTGCCTACTCACAGAAATGCCTAGCAAGGCGTCTAAGACCCTTCCCAGTCTTGCCCCCACCTCCCTTTGCAGATTTCTCTCACCCTTTTTTCTCATAAGAACTCGACTCCAACTTTGCTTTCTCTAAACAGAATGTTCACCACCCTGCTCTGTGTCATCGCTCACGGCAGCTCCCTACTTTGCATGCCCTCCCCCGACCACCTTTGCTTAGCTACTCTTCAGCTCCACCTCTCCCAGAAACACTTTACCTTGCTCCAGCAAGAAGTAAAATGCTCCTTCTTCTGAAATTCAAAGAGCGCTATTTGTATGCCATCTATCACCAGTATCCAATCCATCAGCAAGTCTTTTCAGACCTATTTTCATACTGCATCTCCCCAAAAACCACTTCCAGACATGACTACTCATATTATCTACTGCACACCACTTTTAGCTCTCATATGGATACCCAAAATGGCCCTGATCTGGCCTACGTATTCCATTCTTACCCCTCTCCCTCTGGTCCATTTCTAACACAGGTGCCAGAATAATCTTTTTTAAAATGTTAAGTCAGATCATGTCATTTCCTGCTCAGACCCTCCAGATGGCTTCCCAACGTCCTTGGAATAAAATCCAAATTCCTTTCCGTGAACCACCTGCCCAGCACCTCACAATGTGGTCCATTCTCCCTCTTCAACTCCATTTTTGCTCCTTTCCACCTGTTCACTCTCACTCAGCCATGTTAGCCATCCTCTGTTCCTTGACAGCGCCAGTCTAATTCCAGACTTAAGGCATTTGCACTTGGCATTCCCTCTGCCTGGAATGATCTCCTCCCAAATCTATACATAACTCATTCCCTAACTTTTCTGCTTCAATGTCATCACCCCAGATAGGCCTTCCCAGACCACCTTACCTAAGATAGATGACCCAAACACACTATCTAACCTTCATTATGCTTTGTCTTTGTAGCATTTACCTGACCCTGAGTTTATATATACATGTATTTTTTAAATTTTCTTGTTTATTATGTAACTCCCCTCTGGATCGTCAGCTCTGGCAGAGCAGGGGCTGTGTTCCGTCCATCACTGTGTCTCTAGCACCTGCCACAGTGCCTGGCACATAGTAGGTGTGGCTACTGTAACTCCTTCCTGTTTGTTTACAATCTGAGTACCTGCTTCATTATGGCCACTAGGTGGATATCTACAACTTGAAGTCACATCCAATGTTTCCTCCAGTTCTTCCTCCTTCTCCTGCCTCCTCCATCCTGCCATTCACCCTCTATACCTATTACAAAGCATAGAACATCGAAATATTGGAAAAATGAAAGAGCTTTTCATTTCTGGTTTTATTTTAAGTGTATCAGCAATCTCTTTCTTAATATGTAATCTTACCTAAGCTAACAAAAATTGTCTTCCACCAATATTTAATTACTCTTCCACAAAATGGTAAAAACTCGATATCGCTTCTTTCCATTTATATAAGGTCTTACATTTTAAATAATTTTGATACTAATGACTATATCATTTTATTCTATTTTTCTTTCATTAGAGAAAGTGAAGTTCTATTTTTTATTTTTATTTTATTTTGAGACAGAGTCTCATTCTTGTCACCCAGGCTGGAGTGCAGTGGTGTGATCTTGGCTTACTGCAACCTCTGCCTCCTAGGTTCAAGCGATGCTCCTGCCTCAGCCTCCCAAGTAGCTGGGAGCTCACCACCATGCCCAGCTAATTTTTGTACTTTTAGTAGAGACGGGGTTTCACCATGTTGGCCAGGCTGGTCTTGAACTCCTGACCTCAGATGATCCGCCCCCCTCGGCCTCCCAAAGTGCTGGGATTATAGGCATGAGCCACCGCAACCAACTGAAGTTCTATTTTTCAATTTCATTAGAAAAAGCAAAGCCACTTTGAATCCTTCTTGCAAATAGACATAAATATATTTTTAAATACAAAAGATAGTTTAAAAATCTTAACAAATAATGGTGTACTATTTAAAAGAACAGAATCACTAGCAACCACGAGCCCTTACACACAAATATTTGTTAGCTTCTCTTTCTATTTCTGCTTGGAATCATTCCACTAGCTGACTGCTACTGAAATCTAATTTTCCAAGTTTCTTAAGAATACCCTTTCAATGCCAAGTCTCATTCCAAACAGCAAATCTCATTGACCTACGCCCATGACTGAAGTTCTAATGACTAAAATCCTTCAGCAGCGCTACTATTTCAGATCAAGTTATTAAAACTATAGTTCCCCTCAAATGCACATTGATTAGTGAAAGAAGCCAGCCTGACTGGCAACACACTGTAGGATTCTATACGACAATCTGAAAAAGGCAAAAATATAGAGGGTAGAAAGATCAGTGGTTGAATGTACTATCACTAAATTCTACACTTAAAAATGGTAAAAATGGCAAGTTTTATGTCATGTATACTTTACCATAATTTGTTTGTTTGCTTTTTGAGACAGTCTTGCTCTGTCACCCAGGCTGAAGTGCAGTGTTGTGATATCTGCTAACTGCCACCTCCACCTCCTGGTTCGAGAGATCCTCCCAACTCAGCCTCCTGGGTAGCTGGAACTACAGGCACACACTGCTATGCCCAGCTAATTTTTTGTTTTAGTTTTTGTTTTGTTTTGTTTTGTTTTTTGTTTTTTTTTTTTAGTAGAGATGGGGTTTCACCATTTCGGCCAGTCTGGTCTCAAACTCCTGACCTCAAGTGATCCACTCACCTTGGCCTCTCAAAGTGCAGGGATTACAGGCATGAGCCACTGTTCCTGGCTGGTTTTACCATAATTTGTTGAAGGGCAAAAAAAAAAAAAAAAAAAAAAAAAAGAGCAAGTGTCAGAGGTGCAGGATGAGAGGTGAGGAGGAGTAATAGGTAAATCACAGGGTGGGTTTTAGAGTGGTAAAATTATTTTGTATAATACCATAGCCAAGAAAGCCATGAATGCATAAGCACGTGCATGTGTCAAAATACACGGAGCTGTCAAACACAGAGAGTGAACCCTAATATAAACCGTGGATTTAAGGCCCAGCATGGTGGCTCACACCTGTAATTCCAGCACTTTGGGAGGCCGAGGCAGGCGGATCACTTTGAGCTCAGGAGTTCGAGACCAGCTTGGGCAACATGGTAAAACCCCATCTCTACAAAAAACACAAAAATTAGCTGGGCGTGGTGGCTTGCACCTGTGGTCCCAACTACTTGAGAGGCTAAGGCTGGAGAATAGCTTGAGCTAGGAAGCAGAGGTTGCAGTGAGCCGAGATCAGGCCACTGCACTCCAGCCCGGGTGACAGAGTGAAATCCTGTCTCAAAAATAAATAAATAAATAAATAAACAAACAAACAAACAAACAAACTATGGACTTTAGTTAATAAGAATGTACCAGTATTGGCTCACCAATTGTAAGAAATGTACCATACAAATGTAAGATGTTAATAACAGAGGAATCTGAAGGAAGGCGGGGAGAGTATATGGGAACACTGTACTTTCTGCTCAATTTTCTGTAAACAAAAAACTGCTCTAAAAATAAAGTCTATCAATTAAAAAATAAGAAACAAAACTTAGTTCCTGTTTTGGTCATAAATGTCTAATTAAAGAGAAGTTTTCTTAAAAAAAAAAAAAAGTCCTTCGTGCCAAATTGCCAAATTGTAGATCTAGGTAAATATTACCTTAATTGCATGTTCATATTTCTTCTTTGTGGATGAGTTTTCTATTTAATAAGTACCTCTATCTTTAAACATCAGACAGCTCATTGGAGACAGATATTTATTAAATGCCCATTCTTTGCAAGGCTATGTAGTAGGCATTAATATACTTTTAAATAAATAAAGCAAAATCTTGTATTGCAAATCACGCTTGGGAAGAGGGAAGAGGAAAGAAAGATTTCCATGGGATTTCCCTGGATGGTTTTTTCAGGGTACACAGGTCACCTTGCTCCTGAATCATTCTTCTCAGCAATCTCAAAGGAAACTGGGACTCTCTCTCCTATCTTTTGTACATTTTTATGGATTCCTTGGCTTCTCTCTACAGCAAGAAGATAATTTCCTAGAGCAAACAGCCACATTGATATTCATGGGATAAACGGTTTGTAACGGAACAGCAACACCCCGCTAATGTAAATTTCATACACAGCTTCCAAAAGGTTAAACAATGCCGCTTAGCTCTACTGTGCCCGGAAAGCAAATGACAGCAGGAGGCTCAACCTTGGCACCAACCTTGGCAGGAGGCTCAACCAGGCTGAGTCCTCAAACAGAAATTTCTTTCAGTAACAAGGTCTTGCTCTCTGCTTGGGAGAGATGTTCAGTGCCCTGTAACAGTCTAAGTCCCCTGGAAACTAACAACTCAGACACAAACAAGCCCCATTCAACTTTCTCAACTCAAAAAGGAAAGACCACAGGCAAAGAATGAGGGAAAAGCAAAGACAGAAATATTTTCAAGTTTTCTTTATGAGTACATATTTTTAAACAGCTTTCCCACATATGCTTGCTGAATACCTTTATCCTCTCCACTGTTCCTTTACTCAATGCTCTGACTCCATCCTCTCACATTCAGACAGTATTTATTGAGTGCCTACTGTGTGCCGAGTGCCCTAGGATGTGCTGGAGGTACAACAACGAGGAATTCAGACAACTTCTTTGCATCCCATGGGGCTTATATTCTGGAAGAGGCAGACAATAAACAGGTTAATTTCAGGTTGTGTTACATGATATGGAGAAAAATAAAACTGGGTAATTTTGCAACAAGGAATATAATGGTGGTGGGGCATTGGTGTATATATTTTATAAAAGTGGGTCATGAAAGGCCTCTGTCAAAAGGTGACGTTTAAACTGAGACTTGGAGGATGAGAAGGAGCCAGCCATCTAAAGATGTGTAAAGGCCCCTAGGCAGGGACAAACTTGCATGTTCAGGACTGGGAATGAGGCCAGAGAGTCCAGGGCACAGTCATGGTGGGAAGACATAGGAGCAGGGGCTAGATCATGAAGGGCCTCGTAAGCACAGTGAGAATTCTGGGTTTTATGCCACATACAATAGAGAAGCAAGGAAGAATTTTAATCAGGAAAGCAAAATGATCTGATCTACATTTTTGAAAAGATCCATTTTACTACGGTGTGCAGAAAGGATTGCAGAGGGACAAGACTGGAGACAGGGAGATGTATTGGGAGAAGACTAGAGGGCGTAGAGCAGATGAGAGGGAGTGACGACTTGGACAAGCAGGTCACTGCTCAGTCTGTACTACACCTGTCCCTGTTGTGGGACACACGTTGAAATCTAGGGGTTGAAATCTAACCCACATCATCTTGCCAAGCCCTGTAATCTAGCTTGGCAAGGGGCTGATTCAGGCTGAGAGGATAGCCTTGTAACCATTCATCTACCCCAAAGGAATACTTTTTATCCAATATGGGAAGGTGATTTATCTGCCTTAGGTTAGCCCCAGGGCAATGGAGAGAAAAGCCTTGATGGAGAAAATACCATAGAAGGTGACCTGAATAAGACTTGCTTGACTGGGGGTAGGTGGGAAAAGGAGAATTAAGTGACTCCTAGGTTTTTGGCATGAACATCATGGTGGGTAATCTCATTTCCTAAGAGAGGGGAGATTGAAGAGCAATAGCTATATGGGATTAGAACACTAAATGTTTTGTTTCAAATATGTTAATTTGAAGCGTCTATTAGACATCATACGGACAATCAGGTGGGGGAGAGTGGCAAAAGAGAAGACTTAACCTCATTCTGGAGGGTGGCAACGTTTAGAGGTCAGATGGAAAAAAAGGAGCCAGCATATTCCATGCTTGACTCGCTTAGTGGCTAACACACACTCATGCTATGCAACAGGACATGAAAACCATTTGTTCCAGAAACGGCTGTCTGGCAGGTGGAAGCTGGGTGTTTTTCACTCAACATGTGTTTTATAGCTCATTTTCAATCAAGGGCTCCCATATAAACCCAGACAGTAGATCATGTACAAATTTAATTAACTATATTTGTGCAGAATCTCAATCTGACCATAAAAATTTAATGCTTAATATAGTTTAAGTTTCAATGGCCTTTCTTTTTAAAAGCAGACAGATGAAATGGCCACAGATTAATTTTTCCAGTCATCATCAATAGATCAGAGTTATGAAGACAACTGAGAAGAGTGGATGCTACAAGAATCAGTGTGAATATCAGATACATATCAGGACTTAATTACCTTCCACCAAACTCTCCTTAAACAATAATTGTTTTCTCTAATTAACTGTTTGCTCATAGTAACATCTAACTAGTGTCTCCTGAAGCTATTCTCTGAAGCCAAGGTTTTTTTGATTTTTTATTTTATCTATTTATTTATTTTTTTGGAGAGACAGGGTCTCAGTATGTTGCCCAGGCTGGTCTCGAACTCCTAGGCTCAAACAGTCCTCCCGCCTTAGTCTCCCAAAGTGCTCAGATTACAGGTGTAAGCCATCATGTCCAGCCCTGAAGCCAAATATCTTATTCCCAGGCAGAACAACTATATCACTTTCTAATACTTCCTCACCTTTGGGTGCACCCAGGTACAGTGTATATTTGCTAATAATAGTAGGGGAGAAAAGATCCTGAAATCCATAAATATTTATAAGCCATAGAGTGAATTCATTCACATTTTTAGGTTTGCTAATTTAGGAAGAGTCGCCATAAAGAGCGCTAGACCTGGATTTTAGTCTTACCTCGGACACTTGCTGATTGTGTGACTTTTGGAAAGCAGTTACCATCAGTTTTCTTCATCTGTAAAAGGGGGAGAGGAATGCCTCGTCTGGCTACTTTACTGGAGAGTTAAGCAAACTGAATGAAATGGGGATATGTAAAATCATTTGCCATTTCTGTTGCCAGAATATGTGAATTCAGGTACATAACAAACTCAATGTTGTTCTGAAATATCTTACCCAGTCATTGTTAGAAATATGCCTGGCAGACCTGATACCAACCTAGCACACAGCCTGTGTTCTTTCACAATAGCACATATCAGTTGACCAACAGTCATGAGTTTTATTCTGTACATGCTTATTTTGTTACTCACTAGAAGAGATTTTAGAGATTAATTCACACCTGTTTTAAATAGGAGGAAACTAAGGCCCAGAGAGGTGAAATGACATACTTTTGGTTTAACAGTAAATCTCTCTCAGCTTAAGTTTTACCATCTGCTAAATAAGGGGCTTAGAATAGATAAATTATTTTAAAACTGTGTTTCACAGCAGAGCCCACACATAGGCTAAGAGGGAAACAGCAAGAATATGGCCTCCATTCACCCAGAGCAGATCTGCCTTTAGATCTCTATATATTCCAGTTGTGCATAAATTAGAAGAGAGGGTTTCATGCTGCTGACAACAACTAAATATTTTAAAACAACTCAGCTTATCAGAGTTCACCAAGTGGCTTGGCCAAATTCTAATAGCAGACTCTCTTTGAGCTGAAATACAGTCTATATGTTCATGTCTTCAGGAAGGTCACAGCTCTGCAATTTACCTGGTCCCCGCAGGTTCCATGTGTCTTATACCAGCCCACCTCACTCAATCAAGTTACCCCCACTGGCCCCAGAATTCCATACTCCCCATGCCCAGCCTCCTATCATTCACATTTGGGGAAATGCTGTGGTTCACTTTCTTAAGTTCTTATCTCCCTACACAGGATGCCAATTGGGCTGCTATAAAATACGACAGAAGCTTAAACAAGATAGTTTATTTCACTCTCACATAGCAGTTTGAACGTAAGCAATCAGGGCTGATGTGGCAGTTCTGTGGTGCGTGGGAACAATGTTCTTCCCGTCTTATTGTACTGCTGTTGTCAACCTGACACTAGGCATTCATGAGCCCAGGTTAAACTTGGGATTCCTAAAGGGAGAATGGCTGCTAGAAGAGTGCTATTGGCTTATGCCACATCTTCTTTATTGAATTTTAAATGCTCAGGGCAGAGACCATGAGATTAGCTTCTACATACCGTGCATGGTGCCCAATTATATGCAAAATCTGTGCAAGCAAAACTGCTTAACATTCGTTCACTAGTAAAGAAATCAAATAGGAAAAGGAAAGATTTTAAGTAGAAAAAGCAGGTTGGGTGTGAGGGAACAATTCAGTTCTGGACATATTTAAATTGAAGCGCCTGTTAGACATCAAATGGAAAGGTCAAGTTGACAGCTCTATAGACCAATACACAGCTCAGGATCAAAGATTGAACTGGGAATATAAAGTTGGAGTGACCAATATGTGGACTATGTCTACAGCCTTGGAGGAGAACCTGGGGAATGGATGCAGACAGACAAAAAGAGGTGTCCAGGAAATAGATCTTGGGTGGAGCAACATTTAGAAGTTGGAGAAATGAGGAAAAAACAGCAAGTGAGAAAGAAATAAGAGCCCTTGAGGTAGGAGGGGAGAAAGAATGATATTTCGGATACCAAAAGAAGGGTTTCAAGAAGGAGGTAATGATCAATTGTGTCAAATGCTGCTTACAGGTTGAAAATATTAGCAAGGGAGGTCATTAATCATTGGTCACAGCTGCAGAAGAATGTTGAAAGCAAAGTATGTTTGGAACAAGTTCAGGAATGAATGAAGGAGACAAATTGGGGACATCAAGTGTCAACGATTCTTCCAAAGAATTTTGATGTAAAAAGGAGCAAAAACAGAATACAGCTGCTAAGAAAAAGGGGGAGAGAGGGTCAAGAAAACTTTTTTTAAAGATGTGAGAAATAATAGCCTGTTTCATTGCTAATAGGAATGACCCATTAGAAAGATAAAATTTAATGATGTAGGTGAGAGGGAAGAATTGCAGCAATGTCCTTGAGTAGGCAAGAGGTGATTGGATCTAATAAAGAAGTGGAAGGAGGATGCCAGATAGGAGTCTGGACAGTTCATTCTTGGTCACAGCTGGGAAGGCAGAGTATATAGATGTTAAAGCTGGCAAATGAGTAGATGTGATGGAGAAACCTGTGAATACTGTCCATCAGCTTTTGAAGTGGAATAGAAACAAGATCATTGAGAGTGAGGATGGGGAAGGAGGTATTAAAATTTTTAAAGAAGAAAATTAGATATAAAATGGTTATGTATAAAATGGGAGAGTAGATGGACTAAGAATGTATAGCATGCCTGCCTGGCAGCATCAAGAGTCCCCTTGAAAATTATGGTCATGAATTTAAAGTGAGACCAAATCAGACCAATTATATGTTTTATTCCAGCCACATTCAGCTGTACAGATGCAAGCAAGAGGAAGTAACTCAAGGGTATATGAAAGGCAATGATTATAATGACTAACCTTAGAATTAAAAAAAAGTGAGATCATTATGGTAGTGAGGTATAGCAAAAAAAAAAAAAAAAAAACAACAAAATAGTAGGATTAATCAATTGGAAAACGTATTAGTCCATTTTTACACACTTACGAAGAATTATCTAAGACTGGGTAATTTATTAACATAGAAGGTTTAATTGACTCACAGTTCTGCAAGGCTGGGGAGGCCTCAGGAAACTTATAATCATGGCAGAAGGCAAAGGGGAAGCAAGGCATGTCTTACATTGTGGCAGGAGAGACAGCGAGCAAGTGAGGGGGAAAATGCCAAACGCTTTTAAACCATCAGATCTTGTGAGAACTCACTATCACAAGAACAGCATGGAGCAAACCACCGCCATGATTCAATCACCTCCCACCAGGTCCCTCCCTTGACACATGGGAATTACAATTAGAGATGGGATTTGGGTGGGGACACAGAGCCAAATCATATCAAAAGTGCAGGTGGACTTAAAAGACTGTTGGAGTTAAGCGTTAGAGATAGTAAGGAGAAAGATGGAGGTGGTGGTCGGAGACTAGGTTACAAGAAATAGAATTTTGGAAGGGGTGCAGCCACGTGTAATGATACAGTCTGGGGTAAGACTGTGTGAATAGGTGACTGAAAAACAAAGGAAAAAAGAACGTTGGTTACTGGGACCAAGAGCACATGTATCCTACATCTTCTATCCCCATCATCAAGGCTGAGAAGGGGCCTCTGCTCTTGGAATCACATCAAGCTTCACCAGAAGTCAACATGTCAATCAGCAAGATCAAGATAAGCATACACACTCAAAACGAGGCCTGTCCTTTCCCCAGCAAACGTTAAGAAGGAACAAGTACAGGAGGATCAATACCCCCCTTAGGTCTCCTACACCCATTTTGTATAAGGGTTCAGAGGAAGACTTTTCAGGCTTCCCTTCAAAAACAATTCATATGTTGAAGCCCTAACCCCAAAGTGTTAGTATTTGGAGATGGGTCTTAGAGAGATAATTAGGTTTAGATGAAGTCATAAGGGTAGGCCTTTTTGATGGAATTAGTACTCTTACAAAAAGAGACTCTAGAAAGCTTGCCTTCTCTATGCCATGCAAAGACACAGCGAGAAGGCAGGCAAAGGGCACCCACCATAAACTGACGATTCTGGCACCTTGATCTTGGACTTGTATCCTCCAAAACTGTGAGCAAATAAATTGCCATTGTTTAATCTACCCAATCAATGGCATTTTGTTGTGGAAGCCCAAGCTGACTAAGACTCTCAGCCACTCACTCTTATGTGTACACCTAGATCTGGTCATTACCTCTGGTAGGTGAGAAACCGAACTCTATAAAGGTTTGGTCTTTTTAAAAATCAGTATGCTCTATTGCCTCTCCCTCGATGTTCATGAAGACGACACAGGCCTAGATGAATTTGACCCAAATTCTAATTTAGAGCCCACTGTTTATTAGCTGTATGACATTAAGCAAACACCTGAAGCTTTAATTGTCTCATTGGAAAAGGGAAGATAATGTCCCCTACCTTGCAGGGTTATTTAAGCATTTAATTAGATTATGTATGATAAAAGCATAGCGTTGTTATTTTGTTTTTTTGAGATAGGGTCTCACTCTGTCACCCAGGCTGGAGTGCAGTGGCATGATCGCTGCTCACTGCAACCTCCACCTCCTGGGTTCAAGTGATTCTCATACCTCAGCCTCCTGATTAGCTGGGATTACAGGCATGAGCTGCCACACCTAGATAATTTTTGTATTTTTGGTAGAGACGGGGGTCTCACCACGTTGTCAAGGCTGGTCTTGAATTCCTGGCCTCAAGTGATCTGCCCGCCTCCCAAAGTACTGGAATTACAGGTGTGAGCCACTGTCCCTGGCTAGCATTGTTTTTATTATATTTTTCAAATATATGACAGCTATGAAATTATACCTGGCCAGGCACAGTGGCTCATGCTTGTAATCCCAAGACTTTGAGTGGCTAAGGCAGGAGGATAACTTGAGGCCAGGAGTTTGAGAGCAGCCCTGGCAACACAGTGAGACCCCATCTCTACAGAAAATACAAAAATTAGCCAAGTATGGTGGTGCATGCCTATAGTCCCAGATACTCAGGAGGCAGATATAGAGGTGGGAGGATTGCTTGAGCACAGGATTCTGAAGTTACAGTGAGCTATGAATGGCCATTGCACTGCAGCTTGGGTGACAGAGCAAAACCGGAAGGATGGAAGGAAGGAAGGCAGGAAGGAAAGAAGGAAAGAAGGAAGGAAGGAAGGAAGGAAGGAAGAAAGGAAATTATACCTTTTTTTGCTACCTTTTCACTCAAGAGACAGTATTGTTAGGTTGTTGTGAAAATTAGGTAAGGGAGTACATGCCAGGTGTTGGAAAACTACAGCCCACAGTCCGAGTAGCCTGCTGCCTGTTTTTTTGAACAAAGTTTTACTGGAGCACAATTACATCATTTGTTTAAATATTGTTTATGGCTGCTTTCCTGTTACAATTAGAGTTAAGTAGTTACAACAGAGAATGTATGTCATGCAAATTCTAAAATATTGACTATCTGGCTCTTTACAGAAAAATATTGTACACCCCTGATATAAGCAAGCATTTAAAACAGCCTTAGTATAAGCTCTCAATAAGCAATAATGTTTCTTCCTTGTAAGCTTACCTCAATTTGCTCAACAAATTATGGGCAACAGTTGCACACAGGAGAGCAAGTAGAAATAAATCACTTGCATTGTGAAGTCCAACAGTAAAACTCTAGATTACATAGTCCTACGTGTAAGTTCAGATTTCCCTGGGTGCCATAGCAGAGTTTTTATATTGGGCATAGGGCAGGGTTGAACTTCTATTGTATTTTCACATCACTGCTGATCCTGTGACCAGTGTATCTCACACCAAGCATAGCATATGTTCATCAGACTACAATCTATACAAGACACTTAACTAAACCCAAGATTCTCACAGCAAAACAGGCAGGACAAGCCTAAGAGTGAAACTAAATCACTCTCACGAAATATCACTGATGATATTCAAAAACTCAAATATGAAGATGAGACAGCTCCTAGGGCCACAAAGAGGTGGAAAAAAAAAAAAAAAACAAGAAGATGGTCTGAGAATTGGACTTTTATATCTTCAACATCCCACACTCCCATCTGTCCACAGCAAAATGCATAGAAAATATCCCCCTGACTGATGGTTTCTACAGTAAAAAAAGTGACATTGAGGTGAACCACCAGCTTCCCCTACCACCTTAAGTTTCCTGACAGGAGACCTTTCTCTGCTTCAACGCATGGGAAGCATCATGAATGCCTGAAAGGAAAAATATACCTGAGGACAGCCATAGATAAAGGAGGAGAGTGGGACTATTACCCCCAGCCCTAGAAACTCCATCTGAAATTCAGCCAAAAGAGATGCCAAATCAGGGTAGCTATTCAGCAGCAGTACATTGTAGGAGGAATAGTCCACAGGTCCCCTGGGCATGAACCACTAGCCAGCCTTCCCACACAGCTGGGATATCCCTTTTGGCACCTCCCCATTTGGGATGGGCAGTGCTCTGATCATTAACTGGAGCCAAGGAAAACCTAGGCTCAAAGCACAATCTAGTGTTAAAGAGAAAGCAGCAACCAGTGGGGGAAATAAAGAAATTCAGCAGGTAAATTCAAAGAACCTCTAAGCAAACATATCCAATAATAATCAAAACAAGCCAGAGAAAGAAGAGAGAAATAATCACTTAATGCAAAAATACAGATGTATATCCACAATAAACAACAGCAAATAGGGAACTATTACCTCCCTAAATGAACAAAGCAAGGAACCTGTGACTGAGCCTAATAGGATGGTGATACGGAATCTCTGACCAAGAATTCAAAATGACAATTTAAAGGAAACTCAGTATCTCCAAGATAACACATAAAAGCAACTTAGAAATTTATCAGAGAAATTTAACAAAGAGATTGAAATTTAAAGAAAAATTAGACAGAAATCTCATAACTGAAAAATACATTTGCTGAGCTGAACAATTTATTAGAAGTTCTCAACAGCAGAAAGGATCAAGCAGAGCAAAGAATCGGTGAGCTCAAGGACAGGTTATTTGAAAATACAGAGTTAGGGCCAGGCACAGTGGCTCATGCCCGTAATCCCTGCACTTTGGGAGGCTGAAGCTGGTGGATCACTTGAGTCCAGGAGCTTGAGACCAACCTGGGCAACATGGCAAAACTCTATCTTTACAAACACACACATACACACACACACACACACACACACACACACACACACACACACACACACACACATTATACATGTGTGGCTGGTGCCTGTAGTCCCAGCCACTCAGGAGGCTGAGCTGGGAGGATCACTTGAGCCTGGGAGGAAGAGGTAGCAATAAGTCCAGATCACTCCACTGTACTCCAGCCTGGGTAACAGAGTGAGAACCTGTCTCAAAAATAAATAAATAAATAAATAAATAAATAAATAAATAAAAGAAAAGGAAAAGAAAAACAAAATACAGCATCACCTTTGGGAGGCTGAGGTGGGTGGATTGCCTGAGGTCAGGAGTTCGAGGCCAGCCTGGGCAACATGGCAAAACCCAATCTCTACTAAAAATACAAAAAATTAGCCAGGTGTGGTGATGCATGCCTATAGTCCCAGTTACTCAGGAGGCTAAGCCACAGGAATCTCTTGAACCCAGGAGGCGGAGGTTGTGGTGAGCCAAGATTGCACCAGTACACTCCACCCTGGGTTACAGAGTGAGACTCTGTCTCCACCAAAAACAAAACAAAACACAACAACAACAATAACAAAAATATGGAGTCAAGAGAAAAAGGAAAAAAGAATGAAAGGAACAAAAATATAGAGAAAAATTGCCTAAAAAGACAAAAATCAAGAATTATGGATGTTCAAGTGGGAACTGAGCAAAAACAAGGGGTAGAAAACTTATTCAAAGAAATAATAAGAGAAAACTCTCCAAAACATGAGAAAGAAAAATACCTAGGTACAGGAAGGTCAGAGAACACCAAACAGATTCAACCCAAATAAGAGTACTTTAAAGGATATAATAATCAAATTCTCAAGTCAAGGACAAAGAGATACTCCTAAAAGCAACAAGAGAAAAGCAGCAAATGACATATAAAGAAGCTCCAATTCATCTGGCAACAAACTTCTCAACAGAAACCACACAGGCCAGAAGGGAGTAGGATGACATTTTGAAAGTGCTGAAAGAAAGTAACTGCCATCAAAGACTACTGTATCCAGCAAAGCTATCATTCAAACAGGAGGGATAAAGTCTTTCTCAGACGAACAAAAGCAGAGAGAATTCAACACCAAACCCATCCTATAAAAAATGCTAAACGGAATTCTTTTTTTTTTTTCTTTTGAGACAGAGACTCAGTCTGTCACCCAGGTTGGAGTGCAATGGCATGATCTCAGCTCACTGCAACCTCCACCTTCCAGGTTCAAGTAATTCTCCTGCCTCAGCCTCCCAAGTAGCTGAGATTACAGACACGCACCACCATGCCTAGCTAATTTTTGTATTTTAATAGAGACGAGGTTTCACCATGTTGGCCAGGCTGGTCTCAAACTCTTGACCTCAAGTGATCTGACCACCTCAGCCTCCCAAAGTGCTGGGATTACAGGTATGAGCCACCGTGCCACATCGGGAATTCTTCGATAAGAAAAACCACCATCACCACCGCCACCACCATGCAAAAAGAAAACATTTGAGGTATAAAACCCACTGTAAGTACACAGAAAAATCCAGAATGCCCTAATACTTGTAAAGGTGGTGTGAAACCCACTTATAACTCTAGTATAAAGCCTAAAAGACAAATCAAAAACTTTAATAGCTACAGTAATCGTCAAGAGTTAGGCAATATAAAAATATATTAATTGAGACAATATAAAGTCAAAATGTGGTGGGGGGATAAAGTTTGTTTCTATTGTGTTTTCGTGCTCTGTAAGTTTTCATCTCTTTACAACTTGTTACATCTATAAAGATGTTTTTTTTTGTAAGCCTCATGGTGTCCACAGTACAAAAGAACTATGAAAAAGGGCGTCGGATTTGCTCCACCCCCCCCACCCCCACCACACCCACCACCCCCCACCCACCACTCCCCGCGGAGCTCTAGGCCGGCATCTCTCCGCGAGCCGCGGGTCAAGTGCCGGCGGCTAATGGTGCGCGAGGAGCCGCCACCCATTCGGCGTTGGCTCTGGCGTCGGGGTCGTTGTGACAACCGCTCCAGTAGCCGTTTCCGAGGCAGCAGGTGCGGCCGCTTTAGCCCTGAGCGGGCTCTGCGGCTGCCTGCGAGTCTCTGCTGTGCCGACCCTTCTCTTCGCGGACCCCACGCCAAGCAGCGACCCTGAGGCGACAGCCGGAGCGCCCGGCAATGGCGGCCTCGACGGCCTCCCACCGGCCCATCAAGGGGATCTTGAAGAACAAGACCTCTACGACTTCCTCTATGGTGGCGTCGGCCGAACAGCCCCGCAGGAGTGTCGACGAGGAGCTGAGCAAAAAATCCCAGAAGTGGGATGAAATTAACATCTTGGCGACCTATCATCCAGCAGACAAAGGCTATGGTTTAATGAAAATAGATGAACCAAGCCCTCCTTACCATAGTATGATGGGTGATGATGAAGATGCGTGTAGGGACACCGAGACCACTGAAGCCATGGCGCCAGACATCCTAGCCAAGAAATTAGCTGCTGCTGAAGGCTTGGAGCCAAAGTACCGGATTCAGGAACAAGAAAGCAGTGGAGAGGAGGATAGTGACCTCTCACCTGAAGAACGAGAAAAAAAGCGACAATTTGAAATGAGAAGGAAGCTTCACTACAATGAAGGACTCAATATCAAACTAGCCAGACAATTAATTTCAAAAGACCTACATGATGATGATGAAGATGAAGAAATGTTAGAGACTGCAGATGGAGAAAGCATGAATACGGAAGAATCAAATCAAGGATCTACTCCAAGTGACCAACAGCAAAACAAATTACGAAGTTCATAGAAGAGATTTGTTCAACACTGCAATTGTTTGTTAGATATAAACCCTGTGACTATAATACATTGCTTCTTGTTCTCCACAATTCATGACTTAAGTACCAAAATGCATACCAGTTATTATATATTGCCAAGAATTAAATGATAAACTTAGAGACTAATTAGACTGAAAATGCCTAATTGATATATATATTCTTATGCCTAGTACTTTACCACAAATACAGTGTAATATCATCAGTCCAAAACTGCATTACTTTCATAAGAACACTGGTTAATTTGTATAAGATATTATAGAGCTTTTTATGCTTTAGAAGTTAAGCAATATCTTTGGGGGGGAACTAATTTATTTTCATCACTCGAAATGTGGTAGCTCTTACAAAGTTTGTTGATTTGTTTTTTTAAAAATCAAAAGCCAGTTGAACAACAGGATATATAGACTTATAAATATTCAAGCTGAATCGTATTTTAACACTTCTCTTCAACTTGATTTGTCTGTTTAATTGAAAAGAATTGTAAGAGTTACTGTTGCATTTTCTGACCTACTACCTTTAAAATTCCTGTTGAGTTTCTTTGTGTTTACAAGGAAAGGACTGAACTTTTTCTCATCAAAACTAGCTTTTTTCCCCACAAATAAATTATCAGGTTAAACTTTCACCAATGTCTGCTCTGTTTTTTGGCAGGGGGTTTGTTTGTTTTTGTTTTTTAATGTTTTTGGTACACTGGGCAGACTTCAGAGCAGTTTTTTAAAAAATAAATATTCTAATGTAGCTATCTCGCCATTCCCTTTAAATACCTGTCTTAACCTCCTGCTTTTATTTCCTACTCCTTTCCACACATACACACACAATCTTTTACCTTTTAAAGGATCATTAAGATTGTCACGACATTAGGAACTCTTTCTGTCACTCTTCTGTCATTTGCTGCTGTGTGGAAATTCTTATTTTGACCATCAATGCCTATGAATTCTTCTAATACATGAAGAAAATAGATTGAGTAGCAGCAGTACTATAGGCAGGAAATACAGTTTAACTGCTGAATTTCTATGCCTCTCGATTTACAGATTGCTAATTAAATTGCTATTATTAGTTTGGCTTAATTAGACTTAAGAAAACAACCGAGGGTTTTTTTTTGTTTTTTGAGGGTTTTCTTTGCATGAGAATTGTATGTAACCAGTGATATGATTATTCCTGAATGTACAGACAGAAGTAAGCCTGGACATTTTTTAATTTAAAAACTTTAAATAGTCCCTGCTTTAAGGGAATATGATAATGTATACTATGACAAATGTACTTTATTCCTCTAACGCAGTAAGAATTATGTGGAATATTTTCCTTAAACGAAGTGCAGGAAAGCCCTGTGTGTCTTGGTTTGGTTATGGTTTCATTTCTAGCCATACAATTGATGAATCGTATACAATTTTCGTTAGTACCAAAATAATCTGTTATATGAACAGACTTCTAAAATAATGTCTGTATAATATATATTTATATATATAAAATAAGGCTTTTATTGAACAGCTTATCTTCCACTTGCAGGTTTATAGAAATATCAGTATTTCAAAATAAATAAAAAGTGGGAGAATTCTTTGCTGTTAGAAGAATGTGGTTATTATTTTGATTTTTTTAAATGAGATATATAATCAAAGTACTGCTGAACTATAAGTGCAGTATTCTAAACATTTCATCTAGTAATACCACTGATTTAGAAACAAAACTGTTTATCTCTGGTTTCTGAATTTAGAATTTTGGGATTACCTGTTTAAATCTGTCTTGGGGGATGTAGAGATTAAGTCTGTACATATGTGTGCACATATATTCATGCAACCTCTGATTTTGGTTTTCTTGTTTCTGAGTTCTTAGAAAGTGTCCACATACTCTTTTTTGTAGAAGTAGCTGTTGTAGAGTGAAGAAAAGGATAAGACTTTAAACAGTTGATTCTTTTTGTGTTTTCTACAAACTATTTTTTGAAATTTAAATCACAAGCAAACTCATTTTCTGGTTTTTAGAAAGTAGATGATTTCAGAGGAGTAAGGCATGCCAAGCAGCATGCTCAGTGGGGTTTTAGGCTGTCACATGCAGCTGAGAAAAGGTATGTTCAAGTCATAAGTCGCTAATTGATAGGGTATGAACTAGTCAAAATATGAACCATTATGATTCAAGTTAGATTTTCCTCTGGAGAGACAGATCTGAATGTTCAGTTCTAGCCAAGGTAGATTTTACTTTCAACTTTTTAATCAGTATCACTTTCTGTGCTTAACTCTCTGGTGTTACCTTGTCCGTTTTCATTGGTCTAAAATTCTGAAGAGATGACTAAAATTTGACATAATGGTATAAATGGATTATTAAGGGTAACTTTCAGTTGAAGAGAAAAGCAAGATGCCATTTTCCCCATGACTTTGATTTTGTTTACATTTTTCCCTTTAAGTTAGTATACACTACGCATACGGTAATAAAATACAATAATATAAAAAAAAGAACTATGAAAGATACACTAAAAATAAAAAGTAACAAATTAAAACATACTACCAGAGAAAATCGCTTAACCACAAAGACAGTAAGAAAGGAAGAAAGGAGTTACAAAACAACCAGAAAACAAGCAACAGAATGTTTGCTTGTAGTACATCCTTACTTAATAACACTAAATGTAAATGAACTCAATTCTCCAATTAAAAGACATGGAGTAGCTGAATGGATAATGAAACAAAACCCAACTACATGCTGCCTACAAGAAACCCACCTCAACTATATAGAAACACATAGACTGAAAGTAAAAGAATGGAAAAAGGTACTCCGTGCCTGCAGAAACCAAAAAAGAATAGGAGTAGCTATGCTTATACAGAATGGATGACAAGTCAAAGTCTGTAAAGAGAGACCACAGAAGGTCACAATATAATGATAAAGGGGTCAATTCAGCAAGAAGATATAATATAAATATTTATGCACCCAACACCAGAGCTTCCAAGTATATGAAGAAAACATTAATAGATCTAAAGGGAGACATAGACTGCAGTACAATAGTAGTAAGGGATTTCAATACCCACCTCTCAGTAATTGACAGATCATTCAGACAGAAAATCACAAAGAAACATTGAACTTGAACTACACATTAGACCAAACAGGTCTAACTGACATTTACAGAATATCACCCAACTGCTACAGGATACACATTATTTTCATCAGCACATGGAACATTCACTAGAATAGACAGTACCTTAGGCCACAGAACAAATATTAAAAAATTCAAAAGTAGAAATCATATTAACTATCTTTTCTGACCACAAAGAGTAAAATTAGAAATCAATAATAAGACGAATTTTGGAAACTACATGAACATTGAAATTTAAAATGTGCTTCTAAACAACCAACAGGTCAATTAAAGGTTAACAAAGAAATTTTAAAATTCTTGAAATAAATGAAAATGGAAATACAACATATCAAAATCTATAGATACAGCAAAAATGGTGCTAAGAGGAAAGCTTATAGCAATAATCTCCTACCTCAAAAAAGTAGGAAGACTTTTAAAATACAACCTAACAATGTGACTGTAGGAACTAAAAAACAAGAACAAACCAAACCCAAAATTAGACAGAAATAATAAAGATTAGAGCAGAAATACATAAAATCAAGACAAAAAATACAGATCAACTTTAAAATGAAAAGATGTTTTTTTGAAAAGATAAACAGAAATTGAGAAACCTTCAACTAGATTAAGAAAAATGGAAGACCAAAATAAATAAAATCAGAAACAAAAAAGGAGAGATAATAACTGAAATCACAGAAATACAAAGAACCATTAGAGACTATTATGAACAACTATATGCCAGCAAATTGGAAAAACCTAGAACAAATCTACATTCTTGGGCAGATATGACCTACCAAGATTAAACCATGAAAAAATAGAAAACTTCAACAAATAAACAAGTAATGAGATTGAAGCTATAATAAAACGTTTCTCATTAAACAAATTCCCCTGACTGAATGGCTTCATTAATGAATTCAACCAAACATTTAAAGATGAAACAATACCAATTCTATTCAAACTCCTCAAAAAATTAAAGAGGAGGGAATATTTCCAAACTTTTGAGGTCAGCATTACCCTGACACCAAACCAGACGAGGATACAACAACGAAAACTACTGGCCAATATCACTGATGAACATATATGCAAAAATCCTCAACAAAATATAAGCAAACTGAATTCAACAACACATTAAAAAGGTTACCAACACATTAAAAAGGTTACTTACCATAATCATGAAGGATTTATCCCAGGAATGCAAGGATGGTTCAACATACACAAATGACTCAGGGTGATACATTTCATTAACAGAATCAAGAACAAAAACCACAAGATTATTTTAATGATGCTGAAATAGTCTTTGATAAAATTCAGCATCCCTTTCTCATAAAAAATACTTGGGTACAGGAGGAACATGTCTAAAAATAATAAAAGCCACTTTGTCAAATCCACAGCTAACATCATACTGAACGGGGAAAAAATGAAAGCCTTTCCTCTAAGATTTGGAACAAGACAAGGATGCCCATTTTCACCACTTTTTATTCAACATAGTGTTTAAAGTCCTGGCCAGAGTAGTTAGGAAAAGGAAGGAAATAAAGGACATTCGAACTGAAAAGGAAGAAATCAAATTAGCTTTTTTGCAGATGACATGGCCTTGTATTTAAGAAAAACCTAAAGACTCTACAAAAAAAAAAAAAAAAAAGCCTTAAAACTGATAAATGAATTGTAGGTTACAAAATTAACATACAAAAATCAGTAGCGTTTATATACACCAACAGTGAACAATCTGAAAAAGAAATCAAGAAAGCAACCCCATTTACAATAACTACAAAGAATATAAACTAGGAATAATTTAACCAAAGAAGTGAAAGATTTATATAGTTCAATATTAATGAATAAACAGTATGATTAAATAAAGTTTATTTCAAACAGAAACACACATAAAACAGGTCATATGTTAACTGGTTGATAAAATATTGTGACCAGACGCTTACAAAAATCTAATCCTATATTTTCTCCTGGGAGCAGTGGTTTGGTACTCTCTAATTCAGGGTCTGTGGTGACTTCATAAAATGTACCTACTGGAAATAATAAACATCAATTATATATATACATATGTGTATATAATAGATATATACATGTACATAATTGTCTATGTGTAAATTTAATGATTACTAATAGAGGTTAGTGCCATTTCTTTAATTTGTTCTAAGGCACCAGCAGTTTATTCATCGTTGCCTTTGTACCATCAGTACAAATGTCAAACACTATAGAAAATAACATCTTACTATCACTATTAAAATACTAAAGATGTCCCTCTCAGGGGTTAAAAATGTTTTCATTACCAAACAGACTACTTTAAAGTACGAAGTTAGTCTGGGTGAGGTGGCTTACACCTATAATCCTAGCACTTTGGGAGGTCAAGGTGGGTGGATGATTTGAGGTCAGGAGTTTGAGACCAGCCTGGACAACATGGTGAAACCCCATCTCTGGAAAAATACAAAAATTAGCTGCTGTGGCAGTGCATGCCTGTAATCCCAGTTACTTGGGAGGCTGAGGCACAAGAATCCCTGAACCCAGGAGGCAGATGTTGCAGTAAGCTGAGGTTGCGCCACTGCACTCCAGGCTGGGCAACAGAGCGAGACTCAGTCTCCAAATAAAAGAAAATAAAAGTCCTAATTTTTTGCCTTCAAGTATGTCAGTATTTCACCAGTGCTATCTGTATAAGTTTTATTGGTTTTACTTTTTATGCATTGAGGTAGTGTTTCCAAATGCTTTTGAATTTAAATTCTTAAATTTAAGTTATAATTTAAGCCTTATAATAAGCCTTGACAACAAATATGTAAATAGAAACAAAATTCATGCCTTGTTCTGTTCTTCTTCCCTTTTCTTTTTTTCCCTTTAGTTTTTTTTTTTTTTTTTTTTTTTTTTTTTTTTTTTTTTTTTTTTTTTTTTTGTGAATGCTGGGTTTCACTCTATCACCCAGGTTAAAGTGCTGGAGTGCAGTGGTATGATCACGGCTCGCTGCAGTCTCGACCTTCTGTGTTCAGACAATCCTCCCACCTCAGCCTACTGAGTAGCTGGGACTACAGGCATACAATGCTATGCCTGGCTAATTTTTTTTCTTTTTTTTTTTGTAAAGATGGGGTTTCACCATGTTGCCCAGGCTAGTCTTGAGCTCCTGTGCTCAAGTGATCCACCCTCCTTGGCCTCCCAAAGTGCTGGGATTACAGGTGTGAACCACCACCATGGCAGGACTGAATGCTTTCATTTTGTTTTGCCGATTTCCTTAATGTAATTAACTGTTCCTACGTTACCTCTAAGTTACTTCCACTGAGATACAAATGAAATATATTTTGTCCACTTACACATTTTAAAGTAGAAGATAATATTCAGCACATGACTTGAAGTTATAAATAAAATAGAAAAACTTGTTTGAGGTGATGGGAAAATAAAATTACTAAAGGGAAATTTTTTTTAATTTTAAAATTGGAGCTATTATTGCCTATAGGAGGGAAAAGAAAAATAGATCACTTATATTGCCTTCATGTCTAAAATATAGTTTGATAAAAAAGAATTATGATTTAAAAAAACACTATAGGTTTTATGGGTGGATAGAAAGGAGATAAATTTGAAATAAGCATTAAAAGATTAAGAAATTAATAAGAACTATTATTATTAGCAGACACATATTTAGAAGGTGATTTGTACAGGAAACTCTCTTTCAATGCATCCTATCATGCCAGTTTGATAGAGTCTCTTCTCTCATCTACTTTTTCCATGTACTAGCCATGCGGCAAGGTTATTAAAGATGAGATTTAAATCTTTGATGAGATGAGGCTGCAAAGAAACCAAACTGAGTGGGTAAAGTTCCTCCAGGGGCTTACGAGGTGCTTTTTAAGACTGACTAGTCTAGACTGTGGAAAAGGTACTAATGACCTTAAAGGGAATGGATATTCTGTGATTATCCTGTAGAAATACTGATTAGAGAGCAGGAAATAAGGAAATGTCCTCTTTTCTCTCTTGTACGTAAGCAGAGAAAAAGAACGGAATGGTGGGGTATATCATTTTGGCCTTGACCCTGAAGCACAAAGGTTTAGAATTTTTGATCATGGGAAACAAACTGGTCTTGCACAGATAGGGTTGAGCAAATTACATTACAATTAGGCTTTAATCTGGAATTCAAGAAATGATTCAGGAAAGTCAAGTCTCTCATTTGTTACAAAAACATTCTTCCCCTCACTTAGTTTGCTATTCTACACCTTTGCAGGGCTTGTCCCACGGATGTTTCCCTTTGCTATCTTGGCTTTGTTCTTCCTCCACTGGTTTTGCTAACTAAAGACAGGACCAGTTTAGCCCAGTATAACTAGAACCCTGTGTGTAATGGTAACTTTATCTCTCCAACTTTGAAACTAGTTAACAGCCCTTATCAGCAAATAAAAGGCTTCTACAGCAGACAAGTGACTGAGAACCCCATAAAAAGCTAAAATAAAAAAAAAAAGCTGCACAAAGCTAAAACAAATTTCAGCTTTATGTCTCCCTTGATTTCTGCAATAAGTATAAAAACCTAACATGTGTATTGGCCTTTTTATTATAAGTCATTACTATTGTGCTGTTTTCATATCACCTAGTACCTTCTTAGTTGGGACCTTCCAGTAAAACAAACATTCAAACTGGGGCACTTTTAAAAATAAAGAGGCACAACTCTATTCAGATTCTACAGTTGTAAAGTTGTAAGTTTTCCAGAACTCACTTGGAATTATAGCACACACATAAACAATGAGAATTCTAAAAGCCATACTTCAGTTTTATAAAATATTTGTCTAAATTTTATTCAATAAAATAGACATTTTTAAATTAAGAAAGCTGTCATGTAGACAGCTCTTTCAGTTAAAAATAAGTGCAACTAATAAAATAAGCACAAACACTCATTCCTATCATGTGATTCTGTATTAAACTGCATTCCTGTATCTAGAAGCAATAAGAAGACTGAAGTAATTAGAATAATTTAATTCTGAAAAAGACCATTTTTGTTCATGATTTTTAACCACCAAATATTTTTAAATTCATTAGATGGAAAAAAGATTTTTCACTTATTTTATATAACCTCAAAGGTCAGAATTTAGGTACTTTAAAAAAAAAAAAAAAAGCCAGGTGCAGTGGCAGCTCACGCCTGTAATCCCAGCACTTTAGGACACCAAGGCAGGTGAATCACTTGAGGACTTGAGGTCATGAGTTCGAGACCAGCCTAGCCAACATGGTGACATCCCATCTCTACTAAAAATACAAAAAATTAGCCAGGCATGGTGGTGGGTGCCTGTAGTCCCAGCTACTCAGGAGGCTGAGGCAGGAGAATCACTTGAACCCAGGAGGCGGAGGTTGCAGTGAGTCAAGATCGATCATACCACTTCACTCCAGCCTGGGCAACAGAGCAAAACTCCACCTCAAAAAAAAACAAAAAAGCTTCCGGGAGAATATTTTCAGTGAGAACATTATTACTAAGAAAATATCAAATTTTGAAGTGGGTTCTAATAGGAGTAAGTGAGTTCTCTGTTACTAGGGGTATTGAAACCAAAACCCATTTGGATACTTCAGTGGTCCCTCAACCATAGGCTGTTAAAATAGATAAGTAATTTCAAGCTTACTTTATGTATCTTAGCAGTAGAAGCTTTATTGAAATGAAATATTGATGTCTAGATTCCATAAAAATGATGGCAACTACAGAAACCAGAATCTTTCTTCCTATTCTGCGAAAACCATTCCAATAAATACAGCACAAATAAAATCCCATCTTTTTTCAACTAGGAAAAGAGATAGTAATTCAAACTTCAAGTTATGTGCATGAGGAGAAGTAAACATTCTGAAACCAGTAGTGCCTTTTCAGAGCCCATGTCAGGGCAGACTCATGCACAGACTGAGTGGAAAGCAGATGGGACAATAGGATACTAACAATGGGGAAACACACATAGAACTGCCTCTGGAGAAAAGCTCCCACCTTGAGTGGCAAAGTTCCTAAAATAAGCCTTAGATCTTGGGTATCCCAGCACTGGGTCCTAGAAATAGAAATGAAGGGGTCTGAAATTGCTTAGGATCACAGGTGGTAGATTTGGAAGCCAATGCATGAATGTGAAAGTGTGTGTTTGTGTGTGTGTGTGTGTGTGTGAAAGAGAGAGAGACAGAGAGAGAGAGAGAGAGAGTGTGTGTGTGTGTGTGTGTGTGTCTGTGTTGGGAAAGGTGACTTCATGGTTAAGTCTGAAAAAAAACAAACCAGAAAAATGAAATAGAGGTAAAATGAATCATAGAGAAAGGGATAGGCATGGAAGAGAAGCAAAGACTCAATAAACCTATAATGAGAGTCCCTGAAGAGAAAAAACAATTATCACTTTTAAATATGGAATAGAATTCAAAGCTGTAAGTCTCCTCCCCCACAAAATTTTCCAGATATTAGACCAGACTTGAATCTACAAAGTAAAAAGATTCATTCTGCATATGGAAAAATTGCCAAAGCATAATAAGCTCCATGATATATGTTAGTAAAATAATTATGCTATGAAGGCAAAGAATTCCCCCGACTCTCCTCCAGCCACCATCAGTTGCCACTAAAATCTCAACAGCAGTATATGGAGCAAGAAACAATGCACAGCATTCTCAAGAAACTCAAGACATGCAAAAGGGAGCCCACAATTGTGTATTCAGTTGAACTACCCTTTAACTATCAAGACCATGGAAAAACAATTTTAAACATGCAAGAACTGGGGAATACTATACTCATAAACTCTTCCTGAGCAATCTACAAGAACATGGCTACTCAGAATGTAATGTGTAGCCAGCAGCAGCAGCAGCAGCAGCAAAATCCAAGAGATTGTTCAAAATGCAAAATCTTAGCCGGGTGTGGTGGCTCATGCCTATAATCCCAGCACTTTGGGAGGATGAGACGGGTGGATCACTTGAGGTCAGGAATTTGAGATCGGCCTGGCAAACATGGCAAAACCCAACTCTACTAAAAATACAAAAATTAGCTGGGTGTGGTGGTGCATGCCTGTAGTCCCAGCTACTTGGGAGGCTGAGGCAGAAGAATTGCTTGAACCCAGAAGGCGGAGGTTGCAGTGGGCTGAGATCAAACCACTGCACTCCAGCCTGTGCATTAGAGTGAGACTGTCTCAAAACAAACAAAATAAAAACAAAATGGAAAATCTCAGGTCCTACCTCAGGGCTTCTGAATCAGAATCTTCATATTAACAAGATCCTCAAGGGATTAGTATGCACATAAAAGACAAGCTCTATCAATGAAAAGATCATTGTGCAAACTTTGGCCAAAGAATTAATGGTCTTTTTATCTACATATGAAAATATGTTTAATTATAGGTCTGAGACTAAAACAAAGGAGAAAAGTTTAGAGTTCTGTCAAGGTAGAAATATCACAACTTCAAAATGAAAAAAGAAAAAACAAAAGAGAAGTAAATAATGATTGTCTCATAGGGAATAGGTGGTTGAAAAAAGGCATTAGTATGAAGATTGCTAGTAGCACAAAAATATATATCTTCCAAATTTTAATTGAGAAAATAGACCATATACAAAAATAAACACAGTAAATGTAACAAAAATAATATGAGCTATACGAGACCAAACATATCAGTCCTTAAAAAAGTGAACTCGTCTCTATGCTGTATACAAGAGGCATGCTTAAGTGATTCAAAAAGGCTAAAAGTAAAAAGATGGGTGAAGGTATACCAGGTAAATGTAAACACTAAGAAAGTATAGCTGTGATTCTGATAGCAAACAACCTAAGCTAACACTAGAGTCAAAAGAAGGAAGGCCTTTATTATGTTATAGGACACAATCCACAATTAAGATAGAAGTTATGACTATCTGGAACCCAAATAACACAGCCATCAGTCTCATAGAGCAGAAACTACAAAAGATGCCGTGATAAGTAGATTAATAAACACACTAATAATAAATTTTATCACACAAATCTCAGTCAAAGGAAAACCAAGAGGACAGAAAGCTAAGTGAACATGTAGAAGTTCCAAAAATCATTCATAGATCTGATGAATATAAGGTAAGCTTTATATACTGATAATAGAAAGTATACCTCTTCTTTGGCTACATAGAATAGGGTCACACACAAAAAGTACTATATATTGAATCACACAAACAGAAATCAGTACGTCCCACAGGATAGAACAATGCATATGGTAAGCACAGTGAGATCAAATAAGACATTTATAACAAAAAGTAGAAAAAGTTCTTGCTAGAAATTGTAAAAACTCCTATTCAAAAATGCTTAGGTAAAAAGAAAAATATAAACTAAAATTGCAGAGTTGCTAAAATTTTGGAATTTATGAAACATAAATGAAGCTTTAAAATCAGCAGAACAGGCCAGGTGCAGTAGCTCACACACCTATAATCCCAGCATTTTGGGATGCTGAGGCAGGAAGATCGCTTGAGGCCAGGAGTTTGAGACCAGCCTGGGCAACATTGTGAAACCCTGTGTCTCTACAAAAACAAAAAAACAAAAATCAGTAGAACACGTATAACTTAAATATTAATACCAATAAAAAGTAAAAAGTAAAGATCAATAAAGTAAAAATCAAAATATACTAAAAAACTAATTTTATTCATACTTGTATTATTTATGCAGATTATAAATACAAAGTATAGAGTATAAATAATAAAAGTATAAATAAAAATTATACAAATAAAAAGTAAAGAATAAGGGTCAATAAATACTAACTAATCAACAAAATATATGAATAAAAAGTAAAGAATAAAGGTCAATAAATTAAGTAATATCAACAAAAGTACAACAAAGAAAGCAGAAGGGGAAAAAATCAAAACAAAAGTATAAATGAATAAAGTTGGAAACAGAAAAAAGATGAGAACCAAGAAATCAACATGCTGGTTTACTAAAAATAGCAACAAAATAGGCAAACCACTAGTTTCTCATTCAAAAAAGAAAAAGAGTGAGAAATGAGAGAAAAAAATACCAAGTAAGAAATCAGTGGCCAGATGTGGCTCATGCCTGTAATCCCAGCACTTTGGTAAGCTAAGGTAAGAAAATCACTTCAGCCCGGAAGTTTGAGACCATCCTGGGCAATGTGGCAAAACCCCATCCCTGCAAACGATGCAAAATCAAAGGAAGCAAAATCCTAAGTCTCTATTTTTCTGAGCCTTCAGCCTTAGGAGAGTCTCCTAACTACCACTTACAGTAAAATTTTACCCCCAGTTCTTCCTACATAGAAATCTCAATGATAGCAAAGATTCTGGGTCATTAAAGGGCTATTAAAAGTATTATTCTTTATCTCACGTCCTCCTATATCATACCAATGGAGAAAACATGAACAGCTGAAGGTTCAGAAAAATAGAGATTTAGGATTTTGTAATGAAGTCCCTCATATACTAAGAAAAACATGTCAGTGTGTGCATGCATCATTTTGGACACATACTCATAAAGCAGAGTTGTCCCTTGCTTGCTTTATAGCTCCTGGTAGGGGTCATGGCCCTTTGAGCCTTCTAGTCCAGCATCCCCTCCATCCTGGAAATAATATTTCTCAGATACAAATACCCATCTGAGCAGAGCTAACCTTCTCAGCACTCAATGTCTGGGTCATACTTTCCTAGAACAAAGGAAAACAAAACAAAACAAAAAAGATAATCTAGTATTTTGGTTCCAAATGGAGCAATTTCAAGCCTCATTTCATTTCAGCAACTTCTTAGTTGCACACTAGTAAACAGTGAAGAGAAGAAGATAGCAATGTGTATTTGCTCATTTAACAAGTGGTTCAGGCTGGGCACGGTGGCTCACACCTACAATGCCAGCACTTTGGGAGGCTGAAGCAGGCAGATTGCTTGAGCTCGGAAGCTCGAGACTAGCCTGGGAAACACGGCGAAACCCTGTCTCTACAAAATACACAAAAATTAGCCAGGCATGGTGGCACACGCCTGTGGTCCCAGCTACTTGGGGGGCTGGGGTGGGAAGATCGTTTGAACGCAGGAGGCAGAGGTTGCAGTGAGCTGAGATCATGCCACTGCTCTCCAGTCTGGGTGACAGAGCAAAACACTGGCTGAAAAAATAGAAAAATAAAACAAGTAGTTGAATGTCTCTATGTCAGGCCATACTTCCGGTGCTTAGCTCATGGAACTCATGGGAAAGGTCAGAGTATGTCTATGTCAGAAAGTAATGTGCTCTCTGAAAAGAGGAACATGAGCTGAAAGTACATTTTAGGAAGGGTGGTCAGAGAAGGGCTCTCTGATAGGAAATATTTGGGCAGAAGTCTGAAGGATATGAAGAAACAGCTATTTTAGAAAAGAGAATTATAGGCAGAGATAAACTGTATGTGCAAAGGCCCTGAGGCATGACAATGCTAACAAAGCAGTCTGTAAGAACAGAAGATAGAGTTATACGGACAGTGAAAGTCGGCCTTGATCTGTGTGAGCAAAGCACACTGTGAATGATGAAGAACTGCCCCGAGTCTCTAACACTTCACCCATCATCATAAATCCCTTCACTGCCTAGGCACCCCTTCATTTTTCATCAAAGCTCCAAGGTAATTTATTTTTAGAAAATAGTTACTGGCTATTTGGAAGTAAAATGTTCGTTGTTCCCATTCTACCCAACCCCACTTCATCTTCCAGGTCACACATTAAATCTCTCGTATAAGCATATTACTCCCTGATGTGACACATAAGGACCACAGGCTGACAAAAAAAAGTATCAAATGTTCCTCTTGCCTTTTATTTGGTTTAAACTATCAACAAAATTTGGAATGTACATTCAGCATTAGGATTAACCGGTACATGTAATTTTCTAACCGACTTTGCAGGAAAAGACAGATCCGTGAAACAGAGGTCAAGAGAGGCTCACACACAAATAATTTCTTACCAAGGTGACATTTAAAAGCAGTAGAAAAATGTCAGTTGTCCAACAAATGATGATGGGATAACTGGCCAGACACTGGGGGAGGAAATAAATATGTATCATCCCTATTTATACCAAAATAAATTTCAGTGGATCAGAAGGTTAAAAAAAAATGTAAAAGTCAAAGAAAATATTACAACTAAAAAAAAAAATATTTGGAGTGGGGACAGCTAAAGCAAGATACGTAAACCAAAAGCCTCAAAGGAAAAGATTAATGACTGTGACCACAGAAAAACTTCAAAGCCATAAAACAGTAAAAAGACAATTATGGTAGAAAAAATGCAACATAATACAACAGGTAAATTCCTCAATTCATAAAAAGTTCTGACAAGTTAGTTTCAGAGGACAAGTTCTATCCCATTCCCAGGCAACTTGGGGGTTGTTGTTGTTGTTGTTGTTGTTGTTGTTGTTGTTGTTGTTGTTTGAGACAGGGTCTTACTCTGGTCCCCAGGCTGGCAGGCAGTGGCATAATCATAGTTCACTGCAGCCTCAAACTCTTAGGGTCAGGTGATCTTCCTACCTCAGCCTCCCAAGCAGCTAGGACTAAATGAACCACCACACCCAGCTCATTTCTTGTAAAGACAGGGTTTCTCCTTACCTCAGGTTGGTTTGAACTCTTGGTCTCAAGCATTTTTTTTTTTTTTTTTACCTCAGCCTCCCAAACTGCTGGGATTATAGGCATAAGCCACTGTGCTCAGCCTGGATAGCTTTTAGCAAGAAAAAAATGCAAATGGCTTTTAAATGTATGTGTAGATGCACATTCAAAATTAAGGAAATGTAACTTAAAAGTAGCAATAACATTTTATCCTATTAACAAATAATAAATAATTTGAAAACAAGGTGTTGGTGAGGATATAGGAAACAGGCTTCCCTATGCAATTCTTGGTAGAAATGTAAACTAATTGGTATATTTATGAAGGATAATGTGACTACATCCATATCAATTAAATATTCACATGCCCTTTAACTTAGCAATTATATTTCAAGCAATTTATCCCGATACGTTTTCATACATGTATAAAGAGGATTATCTAAGGCTGCAGTATAATTTTTAATGATAAAAATTTAGAAACAACTTAAACATTCATTGATGAAGAATGAGTTAACTAAAGGACAGCACAGTCATACTTATTGTAATACTGTGTAGCCATTAAAAAGATTCAGGCTGATTTATATGAGCTGATAAGAAAGGACTTCTAAGATATAATGTTAAGTAATAAAAGCAGGACAGAGGCATTATAGATATTATATGTATATACCTATACACACAAGAAAAATAGACTGGCTAGGACTAACCCTGAAAAATATCTGTCATACCTACTGTGGCCCAAGTTCATTGGTTTTATTAGCCCATAATTATATTGCCAATGAGTAGCAAAGTGAGCACTCAAACCCAGATCTGTCAGACTCCGAAGCTCACACTGTTAATCATGATGCTGTATACCCTTTGATGATGCTGAAAGGACAAAGGTAGCAAGAAAACAAATGGTAAGACATTTCCTACTTTCTGCTTCCGAAACAACCAGGTATAAAAATGAACAGATCAGTAATAAAGGAAATAATGGAATTTTACAAAAGAAAGTCATATTCATCTTTAAGTTCTTGAAGGGAAAAGGTTGATACGGCAGAAGAATGTTCAGCTCTGTCTCTCTTTCCCAAGGATAATCCAAAAAGACAAGTGGAATTTGTCAACATTTAGAACACTTTATCTCCGTAAGTGCAAAGCTTACCAGGCTGAAATTCTTACCTTCTGGCCATACATGAAACCTACTGTTACTGGCTTTAACTAAATTCTACCAGGTTTAAAAATTAAATAAATCCTCAGCTTGTTTGAAAGAATTGGTGCCAGATAAACTAGTTATCTATAGCCAGACATGTGAACATCCTTCCTACACACTGCCAACTTATTAAAAAGGAGTAAATTCCCAGATGAGTTCTGAAATTTGCAGCCCTAGAACCTGGTGTAAGAGCCAAGACCCTTGGCCCCCTAAAGGTTCATTGAAAAATCAACTCATTAGCTGGGCACAGTGGCTCATACCTGTAATCCCAGAACTCTGGGAGGCTAAGGCAGGAGGATTACTTGAAACCAGGAGTTTGACACCAGCCTGGGCAACATAGCAAGACCCTATCTCTATTTTTAAAAAATTAGCCAGATGTGGTGGCACACACCTGTAATCTCAGCTACTCAGTAGGCTGAGGCCCGGGGATCACTTTAGCTCAGGATATCAAGGCTGTAGTGAGCCATGATCACACCACTGCACTCCAGCCTGGGGGACAGAGTGAGACCCTGTCTCAAAAAAGAAAAGAGAAGAAAAGAAAAGAAAAATCAACTCACAAAAGGCAGATTAATAGGCGAAAAGGCATTCACATTTATTTAATGTGTATACATGAGAGGCTTCAGAATGAAGATCCAAAGACACAGGAAATTGTCTATGTTTATGCTTAGGTTCAGCAAAATATAAACATCATGTAGAAATATAATTGGACAAAAAGGGTAAGATCTAATGCTAATTAACATAGTGGGGAAATCTAGCAAGTCCTGTCTAGATTCTTCTTGGCCTCTCTGTGCAGTATTCCTTTCTTCTAAGTGTAGGGCAAGATCTTCTCTGGAATAGGGGTCTTATGATGTACAGTCAAACAAAGTAAGTAGGTCAGATAATTTTGATGACCAGTTTTTGCATAGAATATTTTTATGTTCTATGGCTGACTTTGAGGAAAGGAGTTCTGGTCTCTATGACATGCATTGGGGAAGAGGGATTCTTGTTTCCATGACTAACCATGGGGAAGAATAGGACAGAGACATAAGGGCAGGAGAAGCTCAAGGAGAAACTTTTACTTCTGAAGCTGCTTCTGAGGCCTTCATTTTGGGGTATTGTTTTCTGACCCCAACACTGGCGAAACTGCATTCTGTCCTTTGTATTAAATTTGTCTATGCCCAAACCAGTAATGATAACGACCCAGCCCTCAAGAATTCACTTTTCTTTGGGAACAAACTCTAATGCCCAGGTAAGGCCAGAGCCCAGGGGCATTCTCTATGCTTCATGATCCTGTCACTCAGATGAAGCTGGCTGGGCGAAGGCAAACAAGCAACCTTAGCTTGGCCAATTGCATTTTCCATCTCAGGAATCTGAAATTTATAACAAAGTGACTGGGAGCCTGTTTCATTACTGAGTCCCATAAATAGCAGTACCCTTGAGAGAAAGCACGTGGATTTCTGCTGTCAAAGTTCCCAGAGTTCCCTGATATCCGCCCTTCTGAGGCTTTACCCATTCTGTGAGCTGTCTCTGTGTCTTTTTCTTAAGCTGCCCAGAGACCATTTTTGTTTTTAGCCACAAAACAGCAAGAACAAATACACATCTCTGTCCGGTGCTATCCAATATCATTTCCCATTTTTACTTTCAAACAGAACTCTAATTTTGTTCAGTATAATAATGTTTCTATTACTTATTTCCCATCCTCCCTTACAGCTGAAAGGAGTCATGTGACCCAGTCCTGGCCAATGAGATGAGCAGAAGTCACTGATGGCGCTTCCTGAGCCTCCTTTAAAGCAGCTAGACACTGGAGCTTTTATCTTTTGCCCTTTGCTCTCACTTGCCTTCTTGACTGGAATGCAGATGTGATGCTCAGAGATGCAGCTGTCGTTTTGTAACCCTGACCTTGAAAGCCTCACACTAAGGATGAGAACAGAAATAGAGAAGGAGCCTATGTTCTTGAAGACATCCTTAAACAACTACACTAGCCCCACCTCCTGACTTCTTAGGTGAAAATAATAAACACCCTGATATGGTTTGGATCTATGTCCCCACCCAAATCTCATGTTCAATTGTAATTCCCAGTGTTGGAGGTGGGGTCTGGTGGGAGGCAAGTTGATCATGGGAGCCTTTTCTCATGAATCATTTGACCCCATCCCCCTTGGTCCTGTTGTTTCAATAGTGAGTGAATTCTTGCATGATCTGGTTGTGTAAAAGTGTGTGACACCTCCTCCTTCACTCTCTTGCTTCTGCTCCCACCATGTGAGATGCCTGCTCCCGCTTTGCCCTCTGCCATGATTGGAAGCTTCTCAAGGCCTCCCCAGAAGCAGAAGCTGCTATGCTTCCTATACAGGCCGCAGAACTGAGCCAATGAAACCTCTTTTCTTTGTAAATTACCCAGTCTCAGGGATGTCTTTATAGCAATGTGAGAATAGCCTAATACACCCCCCGTTTGGTTAAGCAGTTTGGAAAGTCTGGAAAAGTTTCTGAAATAAACAGTTGAACACAATCCCACGGGAAGCACTACCTAGCCTCTGTGAAGTCTATTGTATGAATTCAATTCAGTGCAGGTATTAGGAGAGAGCCTACTGTTACAAGCAGAGGCAGGAAAGGAAATAATGACAAGTTCATGTCCCCCATCTTGTGGGCAAAACACTAAGATACATAACCTGCTCTAGGGCCGGGCACAGTGGCTCACGCCTGTAATCCCAGCACTTTGGGAGGCCGAGGTGGGTGGATCATGAGGTCAGGAGACCGAGACCATCCTGGCTAACATGGCGAAACCCTGTCTCTACTAAAAATACAAAAAATTAGTTGGATGTGGTGGCGGGTGCCTGTAGTCGCAACTACTCGGGAGGCTGAGGCAGGAGAATCGCTTGAACCCGGAAGGCAGAGGTTGCCATGAGCTAAGATCACGCCATTGTACTCCAGCCTGGTCGACAGAACGAGACTCTGTCTCAAAAATAAATAAATAAATAAATAAATAAATAAATAAATAAATAAATAAATAACTTTTCTAATAAAAGGTGGAGTTAGAGAAGTGATAAACAGATGTGTAAACAGCTTCTATTGAGACAGAGGCAGAAAAAATGAAATCTGCCTGAGAGATGAGGGAAAGTGTAATAGCAGAGTTGGTAACTAATCTGGGCTTTAAAGAATGAACAGAATTTTGATAGGCAAGGGGCCTGCAGGCCAGGGACAGAGCATGAATGCAGGCTTATATGTGTGGGGAATGGAAGCAAAAGAGCTCCTTATCTGCCATGATAATCTAAGCACTTCCTGACAATGACGGCTGCCATTTCTGAGTACTTACCCACGGCCAGTTGTTGTATGTGCATTTTCTCAGTAAATCCTCAGTACAAGCCACCAAAAAGTAAGGTACTCTCATTATCATCCTCATCATACAGATGAAGAAAGTGTAACTTCAAGAAGTTAATTTCTCCAGGATAACAGAGCAGAGTCATAAGGGGCAAAGATGAGATACTGGCACAAATCACTCTAGCTCCAGAGCCCTGCCTCTTAAGTCTCTGCTTCAATGCTTGATAATGTTCCCATGAAGGACATTACTAAAAGATGAGAGTGGCTACTGGCATGCGGAACTAGTGGAATCCAATGGCTAATGTGACTGCAAAGTTTTTAAGAGTGTTGTGTTGTCGAGAGTCTGGACTGAAACTGACTGTTCAAGATCTAAAACTACACTGGGGCCCCCAAACATCATTGGTCAAGACAAGAGCTTAGCCAGTTCCTAAGTAAGATGTAAAATCCCTATGCCCACAACCCTTGTGGCCAAGGAGAATAATGCAAAGAAAAGAATTTCCTGTAAAGCAGAGCAGGGACAAGGAAGAAAAATTTACAATAGAAATGTTCCCAGGGAGCAGAATGGAAGCCTGTGAAGGAATATGCTCCAATAACAAGATAGGAAGCCTTCAAAATGTGGTCAGAATTGCTCCAGACCAGTGACTACTTTGTGTCTTCATTTCTCCTTATTCCAAATGGGAATGATTATTAAAATTAATCTGATTCTCCCTCTTTTATCACTGTATATGGCAGACTTAAATGAGAGAAACTTTGTTTTTTAAAAAAGGTCACGAAACAGAATCAAGAATAATCTTCTGTTTCCAGCAGCATTATTGACAAATTCTGAAAGACCCATTCCCTCAAAACAACTAGATCCTATGTAAAGCATACTTCTAATTGCATTGAACTCACAGGATGCAAGAGTAACTCACAAAGGGAAGCCAACAGACATGTATTGAACTTAAAGCCATGAGCAGTAAGCACATAGGAGCAGTGTGGTTGCACACAATCAGTGTTTCAATTTTAAGACAAGACCTGAAGCCAATAGCAAGCTGGGGGTGGAAGCGAAATCTGAGTTAGACAAAATAAGCCAGGGACCCTGGAATGAACTAACATGGTCCTATTTGGTAGCACACCTTGATTCACAACAGAAGCAAAATAATTGCAGGTCCTCTCTGGAGGAAACCATCTCCAATTTAACATCAACCCCATACTCTCACAACCAAAGATTACCAGACATACAAGGGAATGAACCACCATGAGTGAGAGTCAGCAGGACAAAAACAGTATCACATTTAGACTTTTTTGTCTCCAAAAACTTGAGAAATTAGAATTATCAGACTGAGAATTTACAATGACAGTGTATAAAATGATTTTATAAATAAGAGATGGACTCAGAAAACTATTTAAAAATGAACCAATTCTTAGAAATGAAAATCATAATATGCATTTATAATATAAATGATAGTATAGTTTACATATATATTTTTCTGCATATGAATTCTGCTACAATTGCTATATATTATTAATGAGTGGGACAAATAGAGATTAATCATCCCTGATGAGAATACTTGTGGATTAAAAGATAGATCTGAAGTAATGACTCAGCATGTAGCATTGAAAGACAGAAATGAAAATTCCCAAAAAAGAGATTGCAGGATAAAATAAGATATGCAAAACTTCTAAATAAACTATTAGCAAAGTCATTTTATGAATAAATCAAACATGCCTATATGAATGCAAGAATTAACAGAATAACAGAGGGGGGAAAATGATCTTAACATATACAGAGAAAACTTTGATAAAAAATTAAGATTTTCTTATGATAAAAAACAATCAGTAAAATAGGAATAGGAATTTCTTAATTTGATCAAATGCATATATCAAATATTATGCTTAGTAAGGAAAGGATAGAGACATTTGCTTTAAAGTCAGAAGATTTATTACTGCTTCTATTCTATATCAAATTGAAAATTCCAGCTGGAAGAGTATGACAAAAAATAAAAGGTCCACTCTGTCCACTGAAAGGACCAAGACTGAAAGACATCCCACTAGCAATGGGTGCACCTAACACTCAAAACTTAGTCTGAGTTCTAAGGATTTTCCACTGAAAGAAATCAGAGCTTCTCAGAGAAATGACTGACTCCATGATTTCAGGATTTAGGTCAGGTTAGGGAACAAGATGAGCTTGGAATATTTTGGGATATATAAGAAAGCAAAGTCTTAAATAAATGATAAGGGCATATTACAAGGACACAGGAATCAGCTTTGGACACCAAAGTAGTAAAGGACAGTGATGAACTATAAACCTCTGGGAGAAAACTAAGGGAATCATGAGTTCATTCCCATAAAAAAGCAAATAAAGTAGCATAATGATAGTAGAATGCTAAGGCTGACTGGTGAATATGGAGGGCATACCAGAGTTGGGAAATTAGCATTTTGGAACCATCCTAGTAAAGGTCAGATCCGGCAAGAAGTGTCAATGAATGTTAAATCTATAGGAAAATTTTAATGAGGACTAGAGTAATTGTATGGTCTTTATTATGAGTCGCAAGGGAGAAAACAAATAACAGTAGATAAATAACTAATATATAAATCAGATAGCACCTTAACTGGGAATTCAAAATTAATATCACTAAAGAGGGAGACAGGGACATCTATACCTCCAGATGTGATGCCCTCAGAAGGACAGATCACATATACAGTGTCCTGGCCACAAATGTATAACCTAAATATAATTGCAAGGAACCATCAAGCAAATCCATGCTGAGAAACATTGTTTTTTTTAATTAAAAACTTTTTTTTAAATTATACTTTAAGTTCTGGGATACATGTGCAGAATGTGCAGGTTTGTTACATAGGCATACAAGTGCCATGGCGGTTTGCTGCACCCATCAACCTGTCATCTACATTAGGTATTTCTCCTAATGCTATCCTTCCCCTAACCCCCACCCACTGACAGGCCCCGGTGTGAGATGTTCCCCTCCCTGTGTCCATGTGTTCTCATTGTTCAACTCCCACTTATGAGTGAGAACATGCAGTGTTTGGTTTTCTGTTCTGGTGTTAGTTTGCTAAGAATGCTGGTTTCCAGTTTCATTCATATCCCTGCAAAGGACATGAACTCATCCTTTTTGTGGCTGCATCGTATTCCATGGTGTATATGTGCTACATTTTTCTTTATCCAGTCTATCATTGATGGGCATTTAGGTTGGTTCCAAGTCTTTGCTATTGTGAACAGTGCTGCAATAAACATACGTGTGCATATGTCTTTATAGTAGAATGATTTATAATCCTTTCGGTATATACCTAGTAATGGGATTGCTGGGTCAAATGGTATTTCTGGTTCTAGATCCTTGGGGAATCACCACACTGTCTTCCACAATGGTTGAACTAATTTACACTCCCACCAACAGTGTAAAAGCATTCCTATTTCTCAACATCCTCTCCAGCATCTGTTGTTTCCTGACTTTTTAGTGATCGCCTTTCTAACTGGCGTGAGATGGTATTTCATTGTGATTTTGATTTGCATTTCTCTAATGACCAGTGATGATGAACTTGTTTTCATGTTTGTTGGCTGCATGAATGTCTTCTTTTAAGTGTCTGTTCATATCCTTTACCCACTTTTTGATGGGGTTGTTTTTTTCTTGTAAATTTGTTTAAGTTCTTTGTAGATTCTGGATATTAACCCTTTGTCAGATGGATAGATTGCAAAAATTCTCTCCCATTCTGTAGGTTGCCTGTTCACTCTGATGATAGTTTCTTTTGCTGTGCAGAAACTCTTTAGTTTAATTAGATCCCATTTGTCAATTTTGGCTTTTGTTTCTATTGCTTTTGGTGTTTTAGTCATGAAGTCTTTGCCCATGCCTATGTCCTGAATGGTACTGCCTAGGTTTTCTTCTAGGGTTTTTATGGTTTTAGGTCTTACATTTAAGTCTTTAATCCATCTTGAGTTAATTTTTGTATAAGGTGTAAGGAAGGCATCCAGTTTCAGTTTTCTGCATATAGCTAGCCAGTTTTCCCAACACCATTTACTAAATAGGGAATCCTTTCCCCATTTCTTGTTTTTGTCAGGTTTGTCAAACATCAGATGGTTGAACTACAAACCACTGCTCAAGGAAATAAGAGATGACACAAACAAATGGAACAACATTCCATGCTCATAGATAGGAATAATTAATATCGTGAAAATGGCCATACTGCTCAAAGTAATTTATAGATTCAATGTTATCCCCATCAAGCTACCATTGACTTTCTTCACAGAATTAGAAAAGACTACTTTAAATTTCATATTGAACCAAAAAAGAGCCCATATAGCCAAGACAATACTAAACAAAAAGAACAAAGCTGGAGGCATCACACTACCTGACTTCAAACTCTACCACAAGGCTACACTACTGGTTCCAAAACAGATATATAGACCAATGGAACACAACAGAGGCCTCAGAAATAACACTACTCATCTACAACCATCTGATCTTTGAAACGTTGTCTTAAAAATGGGGTTTGGGGCTTCAGGGAGAAAGATCTAAATACAATATGATATTCTAGATTGTATATTAAAACAAAAAATAGATATCTGTAGAAAAAGGTAAATCTGAACAAAGTCTGTAGTTTAGTTAATAATACTGTACTAATGTTAATTCTTAGTTTTGACAAATGTCCTATAGTTATATAAGATACTAATATTAGAGGACACTGGGTAAAGAATACATAGTAATTATCTGTACTGTCCTTATAACTACTATGTAAATCTAAAATTTATTTATTTATTGAGAAACAGTCTCATGGTGTTGCCCAGGCTGGAGTGCAGTGACGCCATCTTGGCTGACTGCAACATCTGCTTCCCAGGTTCAAGAGATTCTCCTGTCTCAACCTCCTGAGTAGCTGAGATTACAGATGTACACCACCACACCTAGTTAATTTTTGTATTTTTAGTGGAGACGGGTTTCGTTATGTTGGCCAGGCTAATCTTCAATTCCTGGCCTCAGGTGGTCCTCCTGTCTCGGCCTCCCAAAGTGCTGGGATTACAGGTGTGAGCCACTGCACCCGGCCTGCTATGTAAATTTAAAATTATTTCAAAATAAAAGGTTTTAACAAAAAATGAAAGTAGAGAAGGTTTTTTTTTTAATGCCCATGTTATAAAAGAAAAAATAAAGTGGTAGAAATGTTGCTGGTTGAAGGAGGCTAAGGAGACAGGACAACTAAATGCCATACCTGACCTTAGACTGGATCCTGTACTAAAGAAATGAAATAAAAGATCTTGGGTCAAGTGATAAAACTAGACTATGAATTGTAAAGTACAACATCAATGTTAAATTTACTGATGTTGATAACTGTACTGTGGTTCTGTAAGAGAATATCCGTATTCTTCAAAAATACCGCTGAAGTATTTAGGGAGAGGTAAAAAAGGAGAAATAAAGGAATACAACAAATGATAAAGCATGCAGGGTTAGATGTTAATGACAGATGAATCAGAGTAAAGGGTACTGCAATGCAATTCGGGCCCTAACTATCCAGAGTTGAGTCAGATTTCACAGGCTAAGGACACAGTCCTCTCCAAGACTGCCCTCACTTCAGAGACCAGCTACAAGCTCTGGGGTTTCCAGGCCAGCCACAATTCTGACCAATTAGATATTAACTCAGGAGATCCCACTATGCCTTCAGGTTTGATAACTTGCTGGAACAACTCCAGAACCCAGGAAAATGCTATGTAATAATACAAATTTTAAAATGCAGTGTAACTAGTATTTACATTGTAATTGGCATTATAAGTAATCTAGAGATGATTTAAACTCCACAGGAAAATGTACATAGGTTACATGCAAATACTATTCCATTTTATATACAAGACTTGAACATGTGTTGGTTTTTAATATCTGCTGGGGTCCTGGAACCAATCCCCCAAGAATACCAAGGGATGACTTTACTTTCAATTACAGGTTTTGGGACCAGCCAAATGAAAAAAAAAAATGCATAGGATCAGGTCTAAGAAGGCACCAAATGAGAAGCTTCCATGTCCTCAGGACACATCACCCTCCTGGTACATCCATGTATGATTACCAATCAATTACCAATCAGGGAGGCTCTCCTGAACCTCAATGTCCCGACTTCTTACAGGGGTCTCATTACATAGGCATAATTGATTCAATCATTGGCCATATCCTTTAACGCAATCTCCAGCCTGTCTCCTATTCCTAAAGATCAGGCTGATATCACCTGACTTAAATCTCAACCATCTAATCACAAATGGTTTTTCTGCCATAGCCAGCCCCACCCTGATTCTTCTCCTTAAGCCTGAACTCAGGCAGGTGCCAGGGACCCACCATGAGTAACTAAGACACTCCCATTACTCAAGACAATCTAAGGATTTAGAGGTTACCTCCCAGAAACCAGGGACAAATCCAGCCAAATTCTTTATTATATAACACTATGTAAGTATACTGTATACCATTTTAATTTTGCAACTTTCCTGTAAATTTTCCAAAGAACACATTGTTTATGTAAAAAATGAAAAATATCTAAGCAGAAATGATCAACACAAATAAGAATTCAAAAGGTTTTGAGGTATAAGTCAATACCTCAAAACTGACATCAACTGACATCAACTCTGCTCCTATATGTGAGCAACTGTTAGAAAAGGTAATACTGTACGAATCCCCTTTATAATAGCAACAGATACTTATAAAGTATAAAACATTAATAAAAAGAATTTTTATAAAACATTCAAGACCTAAATAACGAGTATATACTGTGAACGTGACATATTATGTTGTATTATAAAGATATCAGTTCTTCTCCAAATTATCCTGACAAGGCTGTTGTTAATGTTTTAGTAGTTATTATTAACTTTTAAAAGGGTGTATGTTCGTTTGTATGTGTAAATATAGAAGATGAATCTCTTAAATTTGTATAAAGGAGCAAAGAACTAAGAATAATCATGGCATTTCTTTAAAAGAAGAGTAAAATACAGGGATTGCCCTACCAGGTATCAGGACTTTCTATTAAGCAATGATAATTAACACAATGTGTAATTTGGTGTGGGAACAGATAGAGTAAATGTTAGTAATTATTATGTCAAGTGGATGCTTTTGGCTGCAAACAATAGGAAAACTGACTCAAATTGCTTAAACAATAATTTAATAAGAAATTTAAAAGTAGAGCTATTTTCAGGGTTGATTAATGTCACGGCTTGGCAGAGACATCAAGGAAAGAAGTTTGTCCTATCCCTCTGTTCTGCCATCCTCAGTGTGGTGACTTTGACCCCATGCTGAAGCCCGTCATAGCCATGAGGTGGCTGCCACAGTTCTAGGTATCACATAGGCAGAAAGGGTAAATGCCTTCTTATGTTTCTTTCTCAGGGGTTAGGAAACATTTCTAAAAGTCCCAAGAGAGGACTGGGTCACTCACTCAATTCCTAAACCAAATACACTTATTCTCCAAATACTAGCAAGGGAATTGAGGTCAGTATAATTGCCTTAGACAAATCATTCTAGGTAGAATTGATATTGGGGTGTCAATGCTCAAGACAATAATGTTAATTCTATTTGATGGGGAAAAAAGTGATTATTCTTTATACATTGGGATTTTTTTCTCAAAATTAAAAAATAAATTTACCTCCAAATGAAACTAGATGTCCTACTTAATGAGCATCGTATTCAATCTCTCTCTGAATAAATGTGGAACCCACTGAGAAACTGACATTTGTTGACTGCCTGCTGAAGGCCAAGTACTAAGCTAAGTACACCATCACATCTGTCCTTACAATACCCCTGAAGGACCATTTGCTGAATGATGAAACTAAGTCCAGAGAAGGAAAGTGACTGGGATAAAGTCACTTGTTGAATATGAGGTAAAGCTGGGGACTCTACCTTGATTTTTAGACAATTACCCCATACTTCAACCCAGACCTATGTTCTCTACCCTTTATTGTGCCAGAAAAAAACATATCATTCAGATATATGGATTCAGGTACCAAAAAGAGCTGGCAAATATTTCTATAAATGTTTTCTTCTCCACAAACCATATAAGAAAGAAAGATGATTAAATTTCAAAACTCTTAGGACCTGCTCTCAACCATCAGACCAATGTTGGAGTGGGCAGGTGGATTTCTTCATTGGAAATAGCTTAATCTGTCAAACAAGCTTAAAAGAATTTCCCAGGAAACACAGCAGGTCTGGCATTCCCATTGTGTCCACTCATGCAAATCAGATTTCACAAATACATGGACACCTTGGCTTCCTTACAGGGTACATTCAGGATGTCAATACTCAAGGTGACTTAAGGTTAGACAATTAAGGAAGGAGCAGCAGTGTGGCAGGAAAAAACTTTGAGAAGACAAAGATGAACTTGGCCAATTGGATAGAAATGAAACAGCCCAGTGTTGTGGAGAATTGCAGGGCCAGTGGTGTGGTCATGATGGACAGTCTCCTCCAAGGCCACCTGTGATTGAAGCCCGATTGTCAAAAACAGACAGTAAACCAGGAGAGAGAAGCAAGAAGTTAGATGGTGCTGTCAACTTGCCACAGGATATGCAGCAAAGGGTATCGGACTTGCATGAAGAGTGAGGAGAAAAAAACCAGGTGGGGGTGGTAAGAGGTAGTGGATGAGTTCTTAAAACAGCCTCCAAGAACATCTGGAAGAAAATCTTGGGCATCTGATATCCTAACAATGATTTTGCAAACAGTCTCATTGTCTTCCGGGATGTGAAGTTCTCTCCTAGTACCAGGGCTGCAAGCCAGAGAAGAGCCAGCTGTGGGTCCCCACCTCTAGTGAACCTCAAGAGACTCAAAGGGGATGCTCCAGGAGACAAGAAGCTCTCTCTTCAGGAGCTGACCAACAGTGGGTAGGCCAGAACCCTTGGCTTGTCCACCTTACTCCATCCAGGAAGGAAGGGATGCTTCCTAACAGCCCTGGGGTGTTGACATTCCAGGGCTGTTAGGAAGGCTTGGTTCTGTTCTGGAGCCACTACTGGTGACTCCTGAGAACCATGGGGCAGCTGCTTAATTCATCTTAAAATTCAATGTGGAAGGACAAGTGTGCTAGTCCCCAATAGACCAAGGAATCTGAAAAGCCCAGAGGAAAACTAGCAAGTCTAGTATTGTCACATGGTGCTCTATAAAGTCTTAGGGGTTCTATGAAAATATTTCAGGGACACAATTAGTTGGCGGACAGCAGGGAGGGCTGCCAACACAGCGCTTTACTTTTGCACGGGGTTTCAAGTTATACTAACACTTATCAAGGACTTACAATATGCCAGATGCTGTCTGAAGCATTTTACATGTGTTCTCTCATTTTATTCTTATAACAATTGAATGAGGTGATGCAATATTACTTTTAATGGTAAAAAATGCAATTACTTTTATACCAACCTAATAATAATTCTATTATGCAGGCAAGAAAATAAAGCACAGAGAGGTTAAGTAACTTGCCCAGAGTCATGCAGCTCATAACTTATACCTGTGAGATTTAAACCCAGCTACATGCCACTGTGTTATACCAAAGTCCTCTGTTAAGATTTCCTCAGATGAGAGGGCTTTCTCCCCAACACACAGTAGAGGATTTATCTAAGGTGCCTCATTCACAGGCAGAAACCTCAGGACCAAGACAGCCTAGGGCTATTCAAAAATCTCTTTTGGCAGCTCCTGGTAGTGAGAGTCACAGCTGCTCTGTGGTTTACTCTGCCATCTGTTAAAATGAAAAGAATATTAACTATTGACCTCTTGTGGCTCAGGCAAGCTTTGTGAGTTTTAAGGATTTAATATCTGAAAATCACCTCCTACAGTTACATTGGGAGCTTCACAGTAACCCTCCTGTGGATCTCAGTCTTTTTGTCTTCACACACTCAGGGCTAATGAAGGAGCAGGTGCCAATGTGAGTGCTTTATCCAGACACACACCAGGAAGCTCAGCATCAAAAACCGTAAAAGATATAAATCCCATGGGGGTAAGGAGGCTGCTGGTGGAAACTACAAAGAAAATGATAGATAAGCATGGGGCCAGGCATGGTGGCTCATGCCTGTAATCCCAGCACTTTTGGAGGCTGAGGCAGGCGGATCACCTGAGGTTGGGAGTTTGAGACCAGCCTGGCCAACATAGTGAAACCCCGTCTCTACTAAAAATACAAAAAGTAGCTGGGTGTGGTGGTGGGAGCCTGCAATCCCAGCTACTTGGGAGGCTGAGGCAGGAGAATTGCTTGGACCCAGGAGGCAGAGGTTGCAGTGAGCCGAGATCATGCCATTGCACTTCAGCCTGGGCAACAGAGCAAGACTCCATCTCAAAAAAATAAAAATAAAGTAAAAAATAAAAACCATGGGAGAAAGACAAATGAATGTTATCATTCATATTAAAGAAGGAAACAGTCTGTTTCCTGAAGAATCACTGTTTGCTTTTATGAGTCTGTGAAAGACAGCAACGTTTTTTCTACCTTGCCTTGTGTAAGAAAACTCGGTTAAATTTTATGTTTGATTTCAGTTTATTTCCTTAGCTTAGGTTTTTAGCAACTAGCCTGTCCCTTACAATAACATTGAAAACTATCCAAAATTAGGTAACTGTGCTTTGTTAGCTTCATATTTGGGGGAGAAGTGGAAAGAAGATAAATAATGAAGTATTATACTAAGAATGGAAGAAGACACGCACTGGCCCAGGATATGAGTGCTGAAAAGAGACTTTCTCAACTGGGATCTTCCCAGAAATAATTGCCGCTTCAGGAAACAAAGCCCAAGGAGAACATAAAATTGCTTTTTACTGAAAAAATGTATAAATGTATAACATTTTAAAAATTAAAATGTTTACAATATAGAAGTCATCTGAAACAAACAGAAATAGCATCGGAGTGGTAGGCACACAGCTCTTTTTCTGTACATTTTGAAATCTATCATAATTTTATTATTTTGTTTTTATTTTTTAACTCCTACAGCTCACATATGTCATAATTTTGGAAAAAAAAATCCAAATTGCTGCCAGGTGCAGTGGCTCACGCCTGTAATCCCAGCACTTTGGGAGACTGAGATGGGCGGATCATGAGGTCAGGAGATCAAGACCATCCTGGCTAACAAGGTGAAACCCCATCTCTACTGAAAATAGAAAAATTAGCCGGGTGTGATGGCGGGCGCCTGCAGTCCCTGCTCCTCGGGAGGCTGAGGCAGGAGAATCGCTTGAACCCGGCAGGCAGAGCTTGCAGTGAGCCAAGATTGTGCCACTGCACTCCAGCCTGGGCAACAGAGCCAGACTCCGTCTCAAAACAAAACAAACAAACAAACAAACATCCAAATTGCTGAGAGAGATGATCAGCTAGCATGATCATGAGAAGTCCTGGACAGCCTGAATGGACTCTGATTTTGTCATATAAACAGCTCATATTTTGAATCTGAAGTCAGGTAAGATTAAGGTAAGAAACAAAACTGTCAATCCTACTTTTACATTTCTGTAGTCATTCAGACATTTATAGAGCTCCATAGTATACCTTGTACTTTTGCAGTATACCAGGACCACGTTACACCTGGTCCTTAAGTACCTAAGAGTGATCTAAACAGACATAGTCCCTGCCTTCCCTGAGCTTCTAGTCTAGTGGAAGAAAAACAAAGAAGTAATCTAACAAATGGATGAATAACTACACATAGTGATAAGTGTTCTAGGAAGACAAGAACAAAAACAAATAGTATAGATAGAACACAGTGGCAAGGGAGCATTGCCCAGTTTAGACCGGGGGATTACAGATGAGGTCTATGAGGAAGTTCTATTTAGCTGAGAAGTGAAGGATAAGAAACAAGGGAAGAAGCAATGTTCCAGGCTGAGGTGACAGTATGTGCAATGGTGTGAAGTAGGACAGGCTGTCGAACTCCCAAGTACAGAAGACATCCAGTGTCTGGTGCACGTCACTAAGGAGGAAAAGGAGCTCCAGATGAGGTTCAGGAGGTAGACAGAGGCCAGGCCAGGCAGAGACTTGGATATACATTAAGGAGTTAGCATTTTTACCAAAAATAAATATGGCAGCCACTTTTTAGTGCAATGTAGTGACATGCTCTGAGTACATCTTGAAAAAGATTGCTCTAGCTGCTATGTACGAAATGGGCTTGGAGGTTGGTAAGGATGAAAGCCAGGACATGAGTGAGTACAGGTATCAGCAAACTGCAGCCTGCAAGCCAAATCTGCTGCACCGCCTGTTTTTGTAAGTAGAGTCCGATTGCAACACTGCACACTCATTTGTTTATGTATTATCTCTGGCTAGTCCCACACACCACCACCAGAGTTTAGTTGTTCCGACAGAGACTATATGGCCTACAAAAAATATTTAGTATTTGGCCTTTTGAAAAAAAAAAAAAAAAGCCAACTCCTGAGCTAAAAGTCTGCAGCAGTAGTCAAAATGCTATATGGTGGTAGCTAATCAGCATTTGTCCAACAAGAACTATTGAGCACCTACTGTATGCCAAGGAGACCAGATCCCCATAACTATAAATACTATGTAAGACTAGGTCTCCATTCTCCAAAACTCTCCATCTCATAAGACCCATCTTTAAAATATTCTACTTTTCCAGTGCCTCAATGACTCTTTCCCAAAACTGCAAGTCTGCCTTGAGTTCTAGCCTCTCTGTAAAGTTTTCCCTTACTTACACCTTACTCTGTGTTTTTGAACTCCAGCCATAAGTATCTCCTATGTCCAATACTTTGGGTGTGATTATACTGAGCGTATTTGTGGGTTTGGATAACGAAAACATTTTCTCCTGCAGTTATGAGAACAATCTTCTCCACCTTTTCTCCTAACCTCCAAGGTACCACTCAATCCTGCCCAAAGAGAGAACCCCAGCTCCAAGGCTACAGTAGTTCATTCAGAGATGGACTAGGATGGACTAGGACCCTAACAATCTCCTCCAGAGGTGGATGGTGGGAGGGTGGGTTCTGCTGGAACAGGTAAGGAAGACTGCCTTTTTTCTCTGCTGTGATGGTACTAGAAGGCTATGAGTTTGGGGTGGCCAATGACTCCACCAAATGTGCTCATGGGGACCAACAGAGTCTGCCTTCAGTGAGGGGGGAGACAGTGGAGAAGGAAGCAGGCTGAGAGCTGGGAGTCCTGATGGCTGTCCTAAGCCATGCATTCCACAGTACCTCTCATCCTTCCTAATTGCAGAAGCCAATAAATTCTTAATGTTTTGCTGACTGAGTTTCTGCCATTTACAACAGAAGGAGTCCTATCCCCTATAACAGCCTTCATCAAGTAGGCAATTATCTCTACCAAAAGACGACCAAGTCAGGGCCATTTGGTATCTCCACAACTCTTAGCTTGGCGCCAGTGTAGGAGACCAAAATAGGCTGCCCCAAAATATGAAGGGCTGTTGAGTTAACGACAATAAAGAGGAAGCAGGTGCAGGAGAGTTCTCTGCCCTCCCTCTGCCTGTTTAAAGGTAGAACATCAATTTAAAAGAAAAAAAGTGTCCCCTTCACCTGCCCCTTACACCAGGGAGAACAAAGTTAATCACCAACTTTGGTTCCTTTTCAGCCTGCAGATGGTACAAGCTTTACTAACAAGCCTTTATCTGCCTTTCCATAAGGTGCTGCCCCTAAAGACTCAAAGTTCTTTTCCTTCATCTCATCACTTCTCTAAAAATGTACTGCTCTTTGTTGAAGATGCTGTATAAACTAGAATTCAAAGCCACCACATCAAGAACAACTTATTCTCTGGGTGTCTCCCATGTATATATATGAAATATACATGTTACTAAACTTCTGTTTTTCTCTTGTTCATCGGCCTTTTGTTTCAGGGGATCCATTACAAACAAGAACCTGTGGGGTTGTTCTTCCCCTGCCCTAGGGAAATTCAGATCACTGGCACACTGGAAACTGACTGGTTGATGGACACATAGGTCCTTCACACTTTGCCTGGTCTGTTAGAGCTTCTCCCATAACCAGCTTCTGCCTGGGAAAAGAAACCTGGAAAGGGTCTGGTACAAAACCAAGATACTGTACCCTCTAATAGCTGTGATGTTGTCTTGGCCTGTACCTTGCTGTGTGATCTCAGATAAGTCCTCCTCAACTTCCCTATCTATAAAAGAAAATTGGCCTTCCTGAGCAAACTTCCATATTCTCCAATTCCTTGTGCTTAGGTTATGGTTCAATTCTTCCCAGAAAAGGAACATTTTTAGCCCATCATTTTGGGTCCAAGGTGACTGTTTTCATAGAGCATTATTTGATTTTGTTCTGGAAAAGTTAATATCTGAACCACACACAGAAGCAGGAGTCTGTTATTTACATCGCACTTCTCATTCCATCCTACACTTGGGCAAGCTCCACACACCAGACAAGGACAGGTTAAGGGGAATGAGAACACTTTGTTTTTTACTATGGTTATGTGTGTCCCATGAAAGACCTCAGGGACTTCTTGAAAAATGTAACAAGGAAATATGAAAAGATTTACAAATGTCTTAGAGGCTGGCATGACCTATAGGGAATTCCAAAGCTGGTGGAAAGTGTTATTTTCCTCTTTTCTATGAAAGCACCTTGTTAAAAATAAATAAAAACTGATCAAGAAGTTCTCTGGCGATGGGGCCAGGCATGGTGGCTCACGCCCGTAATCTCAGCACTTTGGGAGGCCAAGGCAGAAGGATCTCTTGAGCTCAGGAGTTCAAGACCAGCCCGGGTAACATAGCAAGACCTCATCTCTATGAAAAATTTTTTAAAAATTTAGCCAAGCATGGTGGTGCCTGCCTGTGGTCCCAGCTACTTGGGAGGTGGAGATGAGAAGATTGCCTGAGCTCAAGAGGTGGAGGCTGCAGTGAACTGTGCCTCCAGCCTGGGCAACAGAGCAAGACTCCATCTCTTTTAAAAACAAACAAAAACAAAACCCAGAACTTATCTGGCAATGGTTTCTTGTTTTCTGTCCTTAGCCCAATTTCTCACAAACCTATCACAGCTACAGTGCAGGTCAAGATCATCACAGTGTTTCTCAGCTGGGACACTATTAGCATTTTAAATGAGATAATTCTTCTTTGTGCTTCAATGTGCCTTGCATTGCAAGACATTTACTTTCCCCAATAAATGCCTGGAGCATAGTCCAACCTCACTGTGATATTCAGTCAAAACATACCCCCGTGCATTGCCAATAACCACGACAGGGTGCCAGTACCACCTCCTAATCATACTCTCTTTTTGTAAATGGGTTAAATAACATCCAGAGATGTGACATGACTTCCCCAAGATCACACAAACAAAAGGGTCAAGGCTAGATCTGAAGCTGCATATTTGGACATCCAGTCCTAGTGATCTTTATACTACCTTATTCCATCTATAATATCTGTGGGTTTTCATTCTACAGCTTGATACTGCTATAAAGCTTAGAACCAACTTACTAATATTAATACCAACCATTACCTCCCTATTATAATTTAACTGCACTTAATACATTCTTGCACTGAGCAACTTTTTTCATATTCATGAGGGTCTTCATTACCTTAAGTGGCCTCATCATGCTTGCATTTGTTCATGGACAAAGGATAGCACACTGGAATCCAAAAGCAGAGTTCTAATTCTTATCCATTGGCTCTAAAGGAGCAGAGAGGAGTTGATGGGAATTTACCCAGAAGGCAGAGATCAATTATATTCAGCAACTCAGAAAGCTACGTTGCCCAGAAAATCATAGCATTTCTGACATTTGGAGCCCTTCTGGATCAATGTTTATATTTTCTTCTGTGTTGCTCCTATTGGGTGACTCCACTACTAAGAGTAGGGTGAGTTTTTACCAGTAATAAAGTATCATGACTAAATATGCTGATCCCTTATCTGTTACAGCTCCCCAAATCCCATCCTGTTACTAAATTCTAGAGGAGGTGTGAAAAGAAAGATGCTATATTAGAGTTAGTGGTATTTGTATTACACTGTCCTGCTACGTTTAAGCCACTGGCAACAAGGACAAAAAAATCTGCCCGCACGTAATCTGGCTCTGACTCCACCTCACGCTCACGCACACCTGATCCATCAATATTGTGCAAAGGTGAAAAAGGACAGAGCCTTCAGGACTCTGTGTTCTCATGGTATTTTCAGAGCAATTCATGAACCTCTTTTAATGCATTTGCCTCCTCCAAGATGTGCTTCAGACAAGCCCACATGATCAATAATCAAGTGATGCCCCGTCACTTTTTCAGAGTTTTGGTAGACCAGCAGGCCTGGAGTTGCATTTTAATAGCAAGCCTCATAATCCAGGGAGTCTTTTTTTCTGCATAAGAATATTGTAGACACGAAAAATAGACTGCTTTAAAAGTTTAATATGATGTGAAAAGTTTGAGTACTGCTTAGCCAAAGGCATTTAAAGCAGTAAATACAATTGCAGGGAGACACTAATTTATGGCTAATGACCATCAGGGAAAAATGGGGAAAAAATGTGTATACCCCAGAGAAAATATGCGGTAATGGCAAAGTGGGTTTTTTTCCCCTCATTTTTAGCAGTGTTATTAGGAACTCATTAGGAGTCAATTAACATTTAATTTCTCTAAAATACCCAATTACAGTTTTGTTGTCCAGGAAAATAATGTTTAAAAATGTTTCTTCATATCATATGGGCTACTTCAAACAAAACTAAGTCTTTCCTCCCCACTTCCACCGCCACACACCAAAAGAGGGTCAGTTGTGGGTTTCAAGTTCCAAAAGCCCCTTTTCTATTTTTGAGAATAATCTTCCAGGGGAACCAGAGAAACTTGTCTGAGTCCTATAAAAATGCTGGCAGCTAAGCAGAATGCCCTCTTCATCTCCCCTCCTTTTGTAAAGCTGAGCGCTACCCAAAGTGTTTATCCAAATTTATTCTTCACCAAATATTTGTTGCCAACAAGGAAAAGGCACACAGAAATGTACTGTTAGCAAGGAGAGTAAAAAAAAAAAAAAAAATCTTTCATGAGAGAGGGGAAAATAAAGACCCTAAAAGATGCAATTATCGGGCATGCCTTAAAGCTAGTCATAACTATTTTAAATTACTTTGCATATAAATATCAGTTATCCCAATAGGAAAATGTAAAACCCAAAGAGAAGTGCCTAGCAATGATTGACTTATAAATCTGGCATTATTGTTGGTAGAGTTATGCAATAGAAAAATGCGTAGCACCCTACCCTATGTTCCCAATCCACCTTCAGTTCTCTCCTCTGAAGCACACGGGCAAAGTACAACTTTCTAGCGGTTAAAAACAACAACAATAACAATCAAAAACCAACAACAACAAGAAAACTTGGAAGCAAATCAAATAACTGCATCAGACCAAAAAAAAATCAATAAGACTGATCTTCAACTCAATTATTTCCTCTCTGAGGATGAATGTCTTTCACAATGAAGTATGTGTAAATACTCTATTGGTGTGTGTGTGTGTGTGTGTGTGTGTGTGTATAGTTCACTTGAACATAGCATCATCTCTCAGCTCATGCCACTATTTCATTCTTTTCCTCCCAAAGCCTCACCTCCATCTTCCAAGAGGTAGTAATAAGAAAATAATCAGAGAAAAGGTTGTTATCTTGTAGCAAACTGCAGATGGTAAAGGAGCAGTATATCTTATTTTGAAAAGCTTGCCAGAATGTGGACAGAAGGATTTTCAAAGCTTAATTCAATAAACTTCAATAAGCTGAGCTCCAGTGTTTTTTGACTAATTAATAAAGAAAAATGTCAACTCATCTGACCTCAAATAATCAAAATCCTCAAGCAAAAGAAAATCCTTTTTTATTCCCTTGACCCCAATTTTTAGTATGTAAACCAGCCCAGGGCAAAGCATGCCTTGTGCTACCAAACCTTTTTTTTTTTTTTTTTTTTTTAAATATACAAGGAGGACCACTGTTTAAATAAATATCAAGCTATATTATAAGAAACATCAGTATTGTAAGATTAAGGTCAGATGCAGTGGCACACGCCTATAATCTCAGCACTTTGGGAAGCCAAGGCAGGAGGACAGCCAGAGTCTAAGAGTTCAAGACCAGCCTGGGTGACATAGCGAGACCCTGTCTCTACAAAAGTGTAAAAAAACAAACAAAAAGAGTTGGGTGCAATGGTGTGTGCCTGTAGTCCCGGCTACTCTGGAGACTGAGGTGGGAGGATTGCTTGAGCCCAGGAGTTCAAGGTTGCAGTGACCTACAATGGTACCCCCGCACTCCAGCATGGGTGACGGAGCAAAAAAAATTAAAAAATAGAATTAAGCCAGATGCAGTGGCATGTAATCCCAGCCCTTTGGGAAGTTGAGGTGGGCAGATCACCTGAGGTCAGGAGGTCAAGATCAGCCTGGCCAACATGGTGAAACCCCCTCTCTACTAAAAATACAAAAATTCACTGGGCATGTGGCACATACCTGTAGTCCCAGCTACTTGGGAGGCTGAAGCAGGAGAATCACTTGAACCTGGAAGGTGGAGGTTGCAGTGAGCCGAGATTGTACCCCTGCACTACAGCCTGGGCAACAGAGCCAGACTCTGTCTCAAAAAAAAAAAAAAATTAAATTAAATTAAAAAAAAATTTTTAATGAAAATTTATTATAGCCATAGGACTCACCCAAACCTCTGTCAGGGCTGACACTACATGTTATTTAGCAGTATGAAGCAACCTGGCCTGGGGATTTCCAGGAGACAAAACCACCTCGGCACAGATCCAACTCTCATAAATCTTAAAACAAAGCTTACCCTAATAAGAATAGCTTAAACTCCCTTTACAAGCAAAACACCTGGTAATTGATCCAGACTGAATACAGATATCAGACAGGGGAATGATCCCCTTAAATTCTACAAATGGTCCCCAGCCATAAAAAGGAATGGGATCATGTCCTTTGCAAGGACATGGATGGAGCTAGAAGCCATTATCCTCAGCAAACTAACGCAGAAACAGAAAACCAAACACCACATGTTCTCATAAGTGGGAGCTGAATGATGAGAACACATGGACACACAGGGTGAACAACACACACTGGGGCCTGTCAGAGGTGGGAGGTTGGGGTGAGGGAGAGCATCAGGAAGAATAGCTAATAGATGCTGGACTTAACACCTACTTGATGGGATCATCTGTGCAGCTAATCACCATGGCACACATTTACCTATGTAAAAACCTGCACATCCTGCACTTGTGCCCCCAAACTTAAAAGTTGATGGAAAAAAAGAAAATTAATCCAGAAAATGGCAATCCCCAGACATTGTGGTTTATTAAGGATATGGAGTTTTTGAAATAGTTTTGTATTAAGGATGAAAAGCTGTGAAATAAATGAAGAAGTGAAGAAGATTCAGATTTGAGCCACTATTCTGACCATTTTGATAGAGTAGAGGCCACTCTGGGAAAAAGTAAGAGCTAAGCCAGGAAAGACAGGGCAGATGAGATGGATTGGGGTTAGGTGGATGACAGCTCACAGAGCCCATTCAATGCCCGGCTAAGGAGTGGTGATGTATCCTCTGTGCTGGATGGGCCATTAGAGGTTTTGGAGACAGAGAGGGCCTTAGTTTGAGTAGTGTTTAGAAAGTTCTCTGGAAGCATTCATTCTTGATAAATTGACCACAGGCAAAAAGACCAGCTAGGGGACAACTGTGGCCCCACAGACAGGAGATAATGAGGGCCTGAAGCTGACAAGACAGTGGGGATGTGGGAGGTCGGATATGAGAAAGCCTGGAAGGAGACGCTAGACAACTGGACGCTGTCTTTGAAACATGCTGGCTTCCAAGTGCCAGTGAGTGTGAGGGTGGAAATGGCTAGCAGGCTGTTGGAAATACTCAGAGAACCAGGTAAAATTCACAAGTTCATGCCAGGCTCCAGACCCCTTTAACTAGATATGATGTATGGAAACAGAGCAAATTCATATGCACAAGCAAACCTGGGCAACCTTCTGCAGAAACAGAAACAAAAAGAACAAATGGCTCTGAGGAGCCGCTCTGCTCAGTCAGCCAAGCTGAAAAATGGCTTCACATGAGCCTCAGCTTCATTCATTTAATAAAATCTTCCTCCTTATCCTCAGGTTCCTCAGCAACAGTGCCTGGCCAGCAGCTAGGTTAATCCAATCACCTGTGGCCTCTCTCCCCAGGTGAGGGAATAGTCAGCTTATAAACGCTGCTGCTGAAGCAAGAGGCAGCCTCACCATGGCCCCCAGAATATGTTCACTTTTCTGCTCCCCTCTCAGCCCATCTCTGCACACTTGAACACAGACTGTTCATTCCCCTGCCAAAACAAGAGCCTTCTTAGTTCTCCCTCTCTTCATGGCCCTCAATTTGAGAGAAATCTCTTCCTCTCAGTAACAATGTCTCAAAAACTCAAGAAGAGACCCCAAAGCCGAGAGCCAGCTAGCTTTGACAGACTGCATTTCATCTAGTTTCAGGAGCCACACACTTCCTTCCCTTTCTCCCACTCTATTTCTGAAAACCACAGGTTAAAAACACTGGGAAGCATCCTGAATGTCCATCAGTAAGTGAGCAGTTAATAAAGTCTGGATTCTCCATGCAGCCAAGCACTATTCACTTAATAAACGATGCAGACGTATGCCAAATCAGAACCATCTCTATACTCACTGTTAAATGAAGACACAACATGGCAAAACAGCGTACATTGCATTCTACCATTTAAGCCAGGAAAGGGACTCTAACTGCTCATATTTGTATCAAAAAGCTCTGGATAAACACTGTTTTTAAATAGATCAATTTCAGAAAGCAGTGCCCATAGGTTTGCCCCAGTCACGTATAAGTTAGGGGTAAAGGAACTTATAATAAAAATTATTTCAGTCACTACTTCTATATATGAAAACTGAAAAAGACTAGTTTTCTGCTAATGTTTTGATACCATACCTTTTTTTTTTTTCAATTGCACACGAAGAGATTACTAACTCTGATTTTATTCCACTGGGACTGTTCAACATTGTATTTCCACCATCCACAGCAGTTAAATAATGAGTTATAAATGTCACAATCATAATGAAATTCTCAGAATGAATTCTGTAAGGTCCAAAATAGGTTTTCCTGGCAGGATGGAGGAGGCCAAGGAGAGGGAAGGTAAGCATTCACAGTGGAAATGTCTGATGTACTCAATTTGATTTTACAGAGCAATGGAAGCCCCCACAAACCTCAATCTCAGAATTTACCATAATTCCATTCAACAAATATTGTTGAGCCCCAGTGTCTGGGAGAGTTTAGAATTAAATGCAATAGGAATCATTTGCAATGTTTGGCCAGGCGCAGTGGCTCACACCTGTAATCCCAGCACTTTGAAAGGCCGAGGTGGGCAGATCACTTGAGGTCAGGAATTTGAGACCAGCCTGGCCAACATGGTGAAAACCCGTCTCTACTAAAAATATTTTTAAAACGTAGCCAGACATGGTGGCAGACACCTGTAATCCCAGCTACTTGGAAGGCTGAGACAGGAGAATCACTTGAACCCAGGAGGCAGAGGTTGCAGTGAGCTCAAATCGTGCCACAGCACTCCAGCCTGAGCAACAGAGCAAGACTCCGTATCCAGTATCCAAAAAAAAAAAAAAAAAGAATCATTTGCAATGGTGCTTGCTGCCAAATTACCTTACCGGGAGCCTCTTTGGAACTTCCACACAAATAGGGAATTGTTAGCAAACTCCGACCTGGGCAACTCTCTCTGTGCAGAGAGGAAATATGGCTATAAATAGCCACTCCAGCCTCATTCTCCCTATGATGAGTTCACGAGGGATCTGTGAGGCCCTGCATCAGGTGAGTCCACCAGATGCAGGTCCTTGAGAGGCAGAAGGCATGCAGCAAGTCCTGGGAGTGGCTGAGAAGGGCTAAAAGTTGAGCCTGGGCCCTGACTGTAGTAGGGACTAGTAGTAAGCCATGTCAGTTGCTATAGCAGCATCTGAGAGCTTGTTAGAAAAGCAGAATCATGGGTCCTATCCAAGCCCTGAAGGATCAGAATCTGCATTTTAACCAGACATCAGATGATTGACGTGCATAATAAATTTGAGTAGCCTTAATGTTGAGTGGCACTAATGATAAATGCTTGCCGTGTTGAACACAAATAAGCAAGAAAGAAGAGTCCCGCCCTTTTGAATCTAGCCATGTAAAATGTTCAAAACTTACTTTCTCAAATCATGGCATGATGCAGATGCTTTGGAAAGATACTTCTGCAGAGAAGCATGGCATCCCTACTTAACCCAGGTCAAGGGGAGGGGAGCTGCAACAAAGGCTCTATTCCTAACTTCCTCACTGTCTCCATCTGATGGCAGGCAAGTTCTTTTCTTTTTAATGTCTGTTTGCATTGCTATAAAGCAGGCAAGTTCTTTGCCCTTTCCAGGGACCTCATTTCCCCAACATGTAACATGAAGATTTCAGAACTAGACCATCTTCTAATCACCCTCCTAGGCAGTGACGGTCTCCAGTCTACTCATAAGAAGAACTGTCTCTGCTGTGAGGTCTCCAGATCCCAGATAAAAACATCCTCAACCTCCCTTTTTCATTCACCCTTGAATTAGACAAGCCCTTTCTTGCCAGAGCCCTCCTTTGATCTTTTTGGCTTTCTTGGTTGTGTTTAGCACCCTTTACTCTGCCAGAGGACCTCACTTTTTCTTTGAGGCCAGCTGGTCTGTTTCCTGGACTCTTTTCTTCAGTGAGTCGTGTTAGACATGAATGCCTGGAAGTCAAGCTTTTGTCAGGAGAACACACTGTTTCCCAAAAAGAAAGATCACACACACAAACACACACATTTGTGAAGATGAGTAGTTTATCTTGTTTGGTATTTGTGACAGTGTTAATCATCGTAGTTTTCCAAAACCCACGGCGGCTATAACACAGCTGATTATTCTTTACATAGAATTCTAAGGTTAAAAAGTCTCCTTAAAGATCAAGTACCCCAAATTTTATTTAATTATCCCCTTTACATACCCTGACACATTATCTTTCAGTCTCCATTTGACCACCCCATAGAGGCAACCAGTACTATTTCACCTGCTCTCTAGAAAGTTTGTTCAGTTTATGAATCACTCATCTTCCCTCTGGTCCCTTCTACTCACTGGGACTGGTTCTTCCTCACAAAGCCTCAGCACACCCCTCTTCTTCAGAGGAGGCATCCAGTTATTGTTCTTCTGTTAAGCATCCCAGTTCTTCCATCACTGTTTAAACTCTTTTTTTTTTTTTTTTTTGAGACGCGGTCTCACTCTGTCCCCCAGGCTGGAGTGCAGTGGTGCCATCTCGGCTCACTGCAAGCTCTGCCTCCTGTGTTCACGCCATTCTCCTGCCTCAGCCTCCCGAGTAGCTGGGACTACAGATGCCTGCCACCATGCCCAGCTGATTTTTTGTATTTTTAGTGGAGAAGGGGTTTCACCGTGCTACCCAGGATGGTCTCAATCTCCTGATCTCATGATCCACCCGCCTCGGCCTCCCAAAGTGCTGGATTACAGGTGTAAGCCACCGCGCCCGGCCATTAAACTCTCTTTAGTAGGTTCACAACACTTTTAAAGAGTAGCACCTGGACTTGAAATCAGTATTTCAAGGATAGAAAAGAGCAGGATCCAATCATGAGTGTTTTGCTGATTCTCTTCTTTGCAAAGGAACTGAAACTATTATGTGGCAGGATGATTTACTGAGATACTAGGTAACGTTTTGTTCTTCCTGTTTGTCACACCATGCCACCTAGACCAATTAGTGAGACCTTTGTTCTCCCATACCTCTGGGGCAGTTTGTGTTGCAAAGTCAAGAGCTATGCTGTCCTCCCAACACTGGCATACTTGACTTTGGTTTCCCAGGATCTTCTACACCTTGGCAAACTTGAGGGATGGCAAGAAAAGCAGAGAGATAGCAGTGCCTTTGAAGCAAGAGAACTAAGAACAGATGCCCCAAGAATGAAATGAGATGAAGGTGATCCACAAGGTGTTGGAAACCTTTGCAAATGTGGTACTTAAGAGATGTGAATGATGTTTGATAGGAGAATAGCTGTCTGGGGAAACTAGGGAGGCTGGGCTGTAGTCATTGGAGATTCCACCTAAGCTTGGCAAAAAAAGCAACTGAAACATTTGTCTTCAAGAGACCCCACCTACCCCACCTCAGGCTTGGTAATGAAGAGGCCATGATGGATTGAAAATGAAGGAGTCTTTCCACCATTTTCTAGCCACAACTTACATCCCCAAAACTTGGATGTGACCCCTGCAAAGGGGAGGGGAGCCTCCAAAAATCACTGTAGGTTACTTTTCTTACAGCCCTTCTGTAGGTTTAAAGTCTAAGATTTAGAGAAAATGAAATACTTTCATTTTTTTACACTTGCACTTACTGTTTAAATTGTTTTTCCATTATAACTGTGTGAAGTATTATAAAGGGACTCAAAGAAAAGGCTTCCTGTATCAATGAAAGTACTGTCTAATCTGGAGATAGCTAGTACTTTGATTTTTCTTGGTGATGACAGGAATTGTAACCTAATATAAAGCAATGTGACCCCTTGTCATGTCATTTTAAATCTCTTTATCTTATTTCCCTCCTCTAATAGAAGTAAAAATGCAATAACTTCATAAAATTAATGGTAGAATTCTGGACTCCCATGCAAATGGACATGTTAAATTTTTACTAACCATAGGATTTGTTTAGGATATGGGTTCAAAGCTTAGACTCCAGGCCAGAGCACCTGTGTTTAAACCCTGGCTCTGTGAGTCTCTGTGTGGCTCTGGAAAGGCTAGTTACCCTCCCAACACTTCAGCTCCTTCATCTATAAAATGGGGATAATAGCAGTAGCTAGTTTGTAGGCTTTTGTGAGAATTACATAATATCCATATAATGTTCTTAGCAAAGTACTTGCTACATGCTAAGTGATAATTAACTATTATACATCGAGGACATTGAGGTGAAAACATTTTGCAAAATTAAGCACATCACACAAATGTAAATCATCGTTATTAAGCACTTACTATTCCAGTTGATTTGACATTTTCTCATTTTTAAAAATAAATTAAACATCTGGACCAAAAACATATATAATTATAACAACAAAAGGAGAGAAAATATTTAAATCCACAGATGGGGCATGTTACTTATATTGGCCTAAAAATAACCCAACACTGTGATATAACTCAGATCCAATTTCCATAAATATTCATGGGATAGTTAAATGATAAAGTACAGTACTCAAAACTTCTTTTGTGCATATATGTCTGAATGTGAACATCTTTTTTCTTTATTTATTTACTTTTTTTTGAGACAGGCTATCACCCAGGCTGGAACACAGTAGCATGATCTCGGCTCACTGCAACCTCCGCCTCCCGGGTTCAAGCGATTCTCATGCTTCAGCCTCGTGAGTAGCTGGGATTGCAGACATGTGCCACCATGCCTGGTTAATTTTTATATTTTTAGTAGAGACAAGGTTTTTGCCATGATGGCCAGGCTGGTCTCAAACTCCTGGCCTCAAGTGATCCACCTACCTCAGTCTCCCAAAGTGCTGGAATTACAGGTGTGAGTGACTGCACCCAGCCTGGATATGAACATCTTTAAAATTAAACAGTTTTCCTTCATCTCCTGGGCAGAAGATGAAAGATCTAATTAATTATTCACCCCTGGCAAAGAAACTCATTATTCAGCCAAGGCTATAATGCAAATCCTGTCAAGAAGCTTTGTTTTGGCTAAAAAAAAAAAAGATAATTTAGTACAAAGTGAATGATCCAGCTCTTTAAAAAATCTTTCATTCCAGAATTAAACATTATAGATTACTCCATTTAATATGCATCCCAGACCTGGACATGTATTAACCTCTATATTGGCTGGGCGCCATGGCTCACACCTGTAATCCCAACACTTCGGGAAGCTGAGGCGGGTGGATCGCCTGAAGTCAGGAGTTCGAGACCAGCCTGACCAACATGGAGAAACCCCCATCTCTACTAAAAATACTAAATTAGCCAGGCATGGCGGTACATGCTTGTAATCCCAGCTACTTGGGAGGCTGAGGCAGGAGAATCGCTTGAACCCAGGAGGCAGAGTTGGCAGTGAGCCGAGATCACACCATTGTACTCCAGCCTGGGCATCAAGAGCCTGTATCGCTTGGCCCTAAGCAATGGCCAATCCAGTGTTCTTGTAGTCTCTTTGAAGCTACCAAGTCCACTGGGCAGAACACAAGCAAAATCAAGTTTTGGAGGAGCCAAGAATTTAAAGTTGGAAGTCCTCAAAGCCAGCCTTTCACATAATCTGGGCATCCCTTCCGTACCTACTGTGAAGGCTGGTCATCTCCTCTGTGTGGAAACTACTGTGAATGCAGTGTTCACTACCCATTTTAGTTAAAACTTTTCACTTCAAATGGCAGAAAACCCAGCCCAAACTGGATTAAGCAAAATGGGAATGTATTTCCTCATATCACAGACCATGAATCTTCTAGGATCTTAATTTCAGTCTTGGCATGATCAAGACTCAGCCAACATCACCAGGGTCTGGTTTTCATTCCCATAGCTGAGCTCCACTTCTCAAATAGGCTCTCTCCGTGTGATAGCAAAACGGCAGCTGTAGCTTCCCATTCTCTTCTTCAGGGTCAGCAGGAAAAGATCAGCATCCTAAATAACTCAAACAAAAGTCTTAGGATTGCATCTTTTGGTTCTAATCGGCCTAACTTAGGTCTTACAGTACCCAGTCACTATTGTCAGGGTTATGGTGGGTTATGCAATGCTCTGACTTGCCAGGCTTAGCTGTCAGATGGATGGGGATGAGTCAGTTTCAAGGGAACTACGAATAATAAAAGGACAGAAAGGAGGTATCGAAGAAATCCAAATGGCCAAGCGTGGTGGCTCATTCTTGTAATCCCAGCACTTTGGGAGGCCAAGACAGGCGGATCACTTGAGGTCAGGAGTTCAAATCCAGCCTGGCCAACATGGTAAAACCCCGTCTCCACTAAAAATACAAAAATTAGCCAGGCTTGGTGGTGCATGCCTGTCATCCCAGCTACTCTGGAGGTTGAGGCAGGAGAATTACTTGAACCCAGGAGATGGAGGTTACAGTGAGCCGAGCTCACACCACTGCATTCCAGCCTGGATGACAGGCACTCCAGCCTGGGTGACAGAGCCAGACTCTGTCTCAAAAAAAAAAAAAAAAAAAAAAGCCAAATGAAAAAAATTGAACAAATGAATCCTGGATTATCAAAATCCTACCCTTCACAACATTCACCACTGTAAATTATTCTAGTAATGTATTTTAGTGAAATAGAAATTAATTTCTGGAATTTTGATTCCTAGTCCTAAATTTATCTTCTGGAATCACACAGAACAAGGCTACTTCCTCTTCCTGATGACAGTCCTTCAACTCTTTGTAGATAGACATCAAATCTCACTCAGTCTGCTGTCTTCCCAGTTAAACATATTGCATACCAGGTGGTAGACTTTTTGGACTGAAAATAAATCAACGCATCCTATTAGGTAGATACCAGAGTTGATTTTTTAAATTAATTTTTTATTTTTATCTGTTTAATTTTATTTTGAAATAGGGTCTCACTCTGTCTCCCAGGCTGAACTGCAGTGGCACAATCTCAATTCACTGCCATCTCTGCCTCCTGGGCTCAAGAGATCCTCCCACCTCAGCCTCCCACAGGCATATGCCACTACACCCAGCTAATTTTTGTATATTTTGTAGAGATGAGGTTTCGCCATGTTGCCCAGGCTGGTTGTGAACTCCTGGGCTCAAGCAATCCACCCTCCTCAGCCTTCCAAACTGTTGGGATTACAGGCATGAGCCACTGTGCCTAGCCTGACATCAGAGTCTTTTTGTGGAAATGAAATATAATGTTAGTTTATATTCTTTTTATCTTCATCTTGAAGAAAATAATAATAATATAATAATAAATTTGATAATGAAAAGCATTGGCAAGGCTATTGGGGAAATAAACATTATCAAGGAGAATCAGTTCTGGTAATGCTGATTTGGTAATTGGGACCAACCATCCTACATTAGACACACAAAAGATGAACAAAATATATTAAAATATTTTTAAAATATCAAAAAGTTAATAAAATTCAAAATGAATAGAACTCAAACTAAAGAATATGCTAATCCACATGAGCTCAAAGTTGCTTTGGCCTTGGAATCACTTTCCAATCTGGAATGAATATCAGCAAAATTGAGCTGAGGTTCTGGCTGCCTCATAGAGCTAGAGGAAAGTGTCCAGGCAGAGGACTCACCAAAGTTAGGGACCTTGATAAACCACTACCCATTATAAGCAAGGACAAAAAAGGCCATACCCTTAGAGTGAGTGTGAAGCAGTAGTAACTATTCTCAGATGGGCTTGTAACCTGGTTCCAGGTCATCTAAGTAGTTCATGGAACCTAAAGCCTTGAACTTGAATTAAGATGTGACACAAAAAGATGCCTGATAGAAGCAAATGCAAGTTTCTGCAGAAGATCACATTATTATCAGCCTCAAATTATTCCTACGAAAAATTTTCAATTGCAATAAGCTCCATACAATCAAAGATAACCAGGCACACAAGAAATTAAGACACATGAGTAAGAGTCAGCAGAGACCATGACCTCAAATGGTGAAATTACGAGACAAACATCCTTAGTATCTTCAAATAAATAAAGCTAACTTTGGGGTCTAAGTCCATTTAGTGGAGGAAAATATTTTTTGTAGGAGTAATTTGAGGCTTGGAATAATGTGTTCTTCTTCAGAAAACATGCATTTGCTTCTGTCAGACATCTACTTGTGCCACATCTTAATCCAAGTTCAAGGTTTTAAGTTTCATGAATTACTTATATGACCTAAAACCAGGTTACAAATGGAACAAGTGGATTTCTAACGAATGCAAATGAATGCGGTTGGACTCCTACTTCTGTGTGTGTGTGTGTGTGTGTGTGTGTGTGTGTGTGTGTGTAATTTTTTAAAATTTTTTTGAGACAAATCTCGCTCTGTCACCCAGGCTGGAGTGCAGTGGTGCAATCTTGGCTCACTGCAACCTCCATCTCTCAGGTTCAAGCGATTCTCCTGCCTCAGCCTCCCGAGTAGCTGAGATTACATGCATGTACCACCATGCCTGGCTAATTTTTGTATTTTTAGTAAAGACGGGGTTCCACCATTTTGGCAAGGCTTGTCTTGAACTCCTGACCTCAGGTGATCTGCCCACCTTGGCCTCCCAAAATGCTGGGATTAGATTACAGGCATGAGCCACCATGCCTGGTCAATATATTTTTAAAAGCTCAAAATGAATCAAGGATCTAAATTTAAGACTAAACCAAAGCACTCTTAAAAGGAAACATTGGGTAAATCTTCATGACCTTGGATTTGGCAATGAATTCTTTGATAGGACAATGACAGCATGAGCAATGACAATGAACATTTCTTGATAATGTCCTTTGTGCATTGAAGGACATTATCAAGAAAGTGAAAAGACAACCTACAGAATGGGAAAAATTATTTGCAAATAATATATCTGATAAGAGATTAAGATTTAGAATACATAAAGAACTCCTGAAACTCAACAGCAAACAGATTAACAACCTGATTTAAAACTGGGCAAGCAGTTGAAGGGAGACAGGAGAAAATAAATAAATAAAATAAAATGGAAAAGGGATTTGAATAGATACTTCTCCAAAGAAGATATACAAATGGCCAATAAGGATACAAAAAGATGGTGAACATCATTACTCATTTGACAAATGCAAATCGAAGCCATGAGATACTGCTACACACCTATTAGAATGACTATATATATATTTTTTTTTAAAAAGGAAAATACTGTCCTGGGTACGATGGCTCACACCTGTAATCCCAGCACTTTGGGAGGTCAAAGCAGGTGGATCATTTGAAGTCAAGAGTTCAAGACCAGCCTGGCCAACATGGTGAAACCCCATCTCTTCCAAAGATACAAAAACTAGCCAGGCGTGGTGGCACACATCTGTAATCCCAGCTACTCAGGGTGCTGAGGTAGAAGAATTGCTTGAACTTGGGAGGCAGAGGTTGCAGTGAGCTGAGATTGTGCCATTACACTCCAGCCTGGGCAACAGAGCAAGAGTGTCTCAAAAAAACAAAAAAAAAAAACCCAAAAAACAAAAAAAGGAAAAATACCAAGTGTTGGCAAGTATGTAGAAAAATTGGAACATTCATACATTTCTGGTGAGACTGTAAAATGGCGCAGCCACTATGGAAAACAGTATGGTGGTTCCTTAAAAAGCTAAGCATAGAATTGCCATATGACCCAGCAGTTCCATTCTTATGTATATATCCAAAAAAATTCAAAGCAGAGACTCAGATACTTGTATGCCAGTGTATTGCACTATTATTCACAATAGCCAAAGGGTGAAAACAACCAAAGTATCTATCAACAGATGAATGAATAAACTAAATGTGGTACATATATACAATGGAATATTATTCAGGGATATTATTAAAAAGGAATAAAATTCTTATACATGTTAAAATAGAGATGAACCTTGAAATCATTTTGTTGTGTGAAATAAGCCATATACAAAAGGACAAATATTGCATGATTCCGCTTATATAAAATAGCTAGAATAGGCAAATCCATAGAGACAGAAAGTAGAATGATGGTTGCCAGGGCCTGAAAGGAGAGGAATGGAGAGTTATTGCTTAATTCTTACAGAGTTTCTGTTTGGGGCGATAAAAATGTTTTGAACATAGGTAGTGATGATGGTTCTGCAATATTATGAATATAATTAATGCCATTGCATTGTGCACTAAAATGGTTAAAATGGCAAATTTTATGAAAAATTTTAAAACGTTGGCAGGGAACTGGGAACTATAAAAATGATGTAGCAGATTTTAAAAACAACCAAATACAAATTTTAGATCTAATTTTAAAACCTAAAATCAAAAACCTAACCAGTTAAACAACATATTAGATTCCGTTTAAAAGATAATTTTGACCTTAAAGATAGAAGACACTGTTCATAATGCTCCTGAGAGAGACAGAATATGGAAAATACAGAAGAGAGGTTAAGAAACAAGGAAGATTGCTGGGTGCAGTGGCTCACGCCTGTAATACCAACACTTCAGGAGGCCATGGCGGGTGAATCACTTGAAGCTAGGAGTTCGAAACCAGCCTGGCCAACATGGCAAAACCCTGTTTCTACTAAAAATACAAAACAGTGGCACACACCTGTAATCCCAGTTACTCAGGAAGCTGAGGCATGAGAATCACCTGAACCCAGGAGGTGCAGGTTGCAGTGAATCAAGATCATGCCACTGCACTCCAGGCTGGGTGACAGAGTGAGACTCTGTCAAAAAAGAGAGAGAGAGAGAAAGAAAGAGAGAAATAGAGGAAAGAAAGAAGAAAGAAAAGAAAGAAAGGAAGAAAAAAAGGAAAGAAAGAAAGAAAGAAAGAAAGAAAGAAAGAAAGAAAGAAAGAAAGAAAGAGAAAGAAAGAAAGAAAAAGAAAGAAAGAGGAAGGACATCAGAACAAGGTCTTTTCTTTTTTTAAGTTAGCACAGACAAAAGAGAGAAAGAACTGAGGCAAAATTTTGAAGTGATGATAGCTGAGAACTTTTCAGAATTAATGAAAGACATGAGTCTATTGATTCAAGAAGTCAAACATCCTGAACAGGAGAAATAAAAAGAAATCCATGTCTAAACACATCATATAAAATTGCAGAAAACCAATGACAGGAAAAAGTCTTTAAACAGTCCAAAATAAAAACATGAATTAACTTCAAAAGAGCAACTGTTAGACTGTTGTTGTCTTCTCTGCAGAGATAATCAAGCCAGAAGAGTACTATGTTATCAAAAATCTGAAAGAAATTAACTGCCAAACTAGGATTCTAAACCCAGGGAAAATATTCTTTCTAGAATGAAAGTCAAATAAAGACATTTTAAGAACACAAAACTATCAGAGATGACTACAAATAAATTTGCACAAAGAAAATGCTAGCATGGGTGCAAAGGCTCATGCCTGTAATCCTAGAACTTTGGGAAGCCAAGGTGGGAGGATGACTTGAGCCTAGGAATTCAAGACCAGCCTGGGCAATATAGGGAGACCCCATTTCTACAAAAAATTTAAAAATTAGCTGGGCATGGTGGTGCACACCTATAGTCCCAGCTGCTCAGGAGGCTGAGGTGGGAGGATTGCTTGAGTCTGGGAGACAGCAGTTAAAGTGAACCAAGATCATGCCACTGCACTCCAGCCTAGGTGACAGAGTAAGATGCTGTCTCAAAAAAAAAAAAAAACAAAAAAAACAGAAATACTAAAGACTGTATTTTAGGGGGAAGAAAAAGAAAAAGAATATCAGATGGAAAGTCAGATATTCAGAAAGGAATAAAGATCACAGAAGCTGGTCAAAACAAAGTAAATGTTGACTATATAAAACCACAACAGGCCGGGCGCAGTGGCTCATGCCTGTAATCCCAGCACTTTGGGAGGCCGAGGCGGGCGGATCACGAGGTCAGGAGATCGAGACCATCTTGGCTAACACAGTGAAACCCCGTCTCTACTAAAAATACAAAAAATTAGCCGGGCTTGGTGGCGGGCGCCTGTAGTCCCAGCTACTCGGGAGGCTGAGGCAGGAGAATAGCATGAACCCGGGAGGCGGACTTGCAGTGAGCCGAGATCGCACCACTGCACTCCAGCCTGGGCAACAGAGCGAGACTCCGTCTCAAAAAAAATTAATAAATAAATAAAAAATAAAACCACAACAATAATATCATGTTGAATTAATAAATTTACATATACTTAAAATGCAGAACAATAGCATATATCAAGAGAGGATTAAGTGAAAAGAAAGTATTTTAAGGTCCTCAATGGTCCAGGAAGTTAATGGTGTTGATCAACATTAGACTTTGATAAGATAAAGATGTATGTGATCAGTTGTAGAGCAAACACTAAAAAATAGATATACAGTTATAATTTTCAACCTAATGGAGAAAACTAATGGGAAATTTTTAAAAAATCAATCCAAAGAAATTAAGAAGAAAAAAACAGCAAGCAGCACAAATAACACAAAATAACATCATATATTTAAATCTAAATTTTATCAGTAATTCACTTAAATATAAATAAATTGTTCCAGTTAAAAGGTAAATATTGTCAAACTGAGAAGCAAATCTAATTGTGTGTTGCTTATGAGGAAAACAGGCATTTCATAATAAAATTAATGGAAGTATAAATTGGGAAGGTACTTTGGACCCTTCCAAGGTATTTTCAATGAACAAACTACCAAGACTTTAACATACGCTTCGAGCCAGGAATTTCACTTATTGCAATTTACCATCCAGTTTTGCTCTTATTCATGCACAAAGATGAACATGTGAGACTGTTATTGCAGTGTAGTCTATAACAGCAGAGGACTGGTCTTCGTGTAACTACTTACCATCAGGAACCTAGTTACGTCGTAATAATCTATATAATGGTACATTCTTCAACAATAAAAAAAATAAATGAAGTATATCTTTATGTGCTGATAGAAAAAGATATCCAAGCTGTATTACAAAGTAGAAAAGAATAAGATGCCAAGCAATCTGTAGGGTATAATCCTTTCTGTATAATAGAATATATTAATGTATACATTTTGCTTATTCATGAATGAAGCATTTAGGAAGAATACACAAACACATACCCAAAACAGGCAAGGGTGGTTTCCCCAGAGAAGGAGACTGCAGACGGCAGGAGGAAGGGAAAGAGATAAAATATTTAAATTGTGTGTACAACTTTTATATAATAAAATAATACAAAAATGATGTAAAAATTTTCTTTTGTCACAGTAAGGAGTTTTGCAATTGAAAGCTGTCTCCTGGCCAGGCACGGTGGCTCATGCCTGTAATCCCAGCACTTTGGGAGGCCGAGGTGGGCAGATCACTTGAGGTCAGGAGTTCGAGACCAGCCTGGCCAACATGGCAAAACCCTATCTCTACTAAAAATACAAAAGTACAAAAGAAAAATTTGCCGGACATGTTGGTGCATGCCTGTAGTCCCAGCTATTCAGGAGGCTGAGGCAGGAGACCCGCTTGAACCCAGAAGGTGGCTGCCGAGATTGCACCACTGCACTCCAGCCTGGGCAACAAAGGAAGACTCTGTCTCAAAAAAAAAAAAAAAAGAAAAGAAAAGAAATAAAGCTGTCTCCTATTTGGCTAGAGCATCACCTTTGCCTTTCATTTTCCATTTCTGCCTATCACACACACACACACACACACACACACACACACTTTCTGTCTCTCTCTCTCTCTCATACTCATCATCCACAAAAGTCTTCTTCCTCCAGACTATGCCAGAATCCCAGCTACTCAGGAGGCTGAGGCAGGAGAATCACCTGAACACTTAGGTAGTGTTCATACTTGTAACAATGTACCAGCAACATAGGCCAGAGAAACTTTTTTTTTTTTTTTTTTGGAGACAAGGTCTGGAGCACAGTGGCATGATCTTGGCTCACTGCAACCTCTGCTTCCTGGGCTCAAGTGATCCTCTCACCTTAGCCTCCCAAATAGCTGAGACTACCATAGGTTCTCCATCATGCCCAGCTAATGTTTTTTTTTATTTTCAGTAGAGATGAAGTCTCACTAAGTTGCCCAAGTTGGTCTTAAACCCTGGGGCTCAAGCTATCCTCCTGCCTCGGCCTCCTAAAGTGCTGAGATTATATGTGTGAACCACCATGCCCAGCTGCCAGGGAAACTTTAATCACCACAAACTCAGTATAAAGTAACTAGGTGAGATACTGCTGTTTTAAATATGATTGTCGTCTTAGGTTGCATTGTAGAATAATGTGATGGCTTTATTCTATTCTATGGTGGCCAGGCCTCTGCATTCATTTCAAGCAACACTTGGCCAGGCTTGATGATGTATGCCTATAATCCCAGCACTGTGGGATGCCGAGGTAGCGGGATCACTTGAGCCCAGGAGTTTGAGACTAGCCTGGGCAACATAGCAATGCCCCATCTCAATTGAAAAAAAAATAATAAAACAAACAACATCATTTTTAAGATCCTTATTAAAATATAAACTACATACCGTAAATTCACCTGTATTAAGTGTTCAATTCAATGGTTTTTAACATATTTACAGATGTATGCTACTATAGCTATAATCTAATTTTAGAAGATTTTCATTGCCCCTAAAAGAAATCTAGCACCCATTAGTGGTCACTCCCCATTTTTTGCATCCTCCGCCCCACATAACCAAAAATTTTTCCTTTTTTTTTTTTGAGACAGGGTTTCACTCTGTCACTCAGGACAGAGTGCAGTGGGCATGATCATGGCTCACTGCAGCCTTGATCTCTTGGGCTCAAATGATCCTCTTCCCTCAGCCTCCCTAACTACTGGGATTACAGGAGTGAGTCATCTTGCCTGGCCATAAGCACTAATCTCTATGTCTCTACAGATTCACCTATTCTAGAAATTTTGTGTAAGTGAAATCATACAATATGTAGTCTTTTGTATCTGGCTTCTTTATCATAATGTTTTTGAGGTTTATCCATGTTGCGTGAATCAGTACTTATTTTATTTTATTTTATTTTAGACAGAGTCTCACTCACTCGGTCACCCAGGCTGGAGTGTAGTGGTGCAATCTTGGCTCACTGCAACCTCTGCCTCCTGGGTTCAAGTGATTCTCCTGCCTCAGCCTCCCGAGTAGCTGGGATTACAGGCACCTGCCACCACACCCAGCTAATTTTTGTATTTTTAGTAGAGATGGGGTTTCATCATGTTGGTCAGGCTGGTCTCGAACTCCTGACCTCAGGTTATCTGCCCACCTCAGCCTCCCAAAGTGCTGGGATTACAGGTGTCAACCACCGCACTCGGCCCATATCTTTTTATTGCCCAATAGAATTCCATTGTATATACCACATCTTCTTTATCTGTTTATAGGTATTTGGGTTGTTTCTACTTTGGGGCTATTATAAGTAATATGAGCTCTACTATGAGCATTTATGTACAAGTCTTTGCTGTATCATATAGTAACTATGTCTAACATTTTCTGAAACTGCCAACTATTATCCAAAGCAGCAGCACCATTTTACATTCTCACCAACAACGCATGTAGGTTCCAATTTCTCCACATCCTCCTTAGCACTTGTTATTGTCCTTTTTTTAATTATTACAGCCATCCTAGTGGGTGTGAAGTGGTATCTCATTGTGATTTTGATTTGTATTTTCCTAAGTGACTACTGATGTTGAGCATCTCATGTTGTTAACAGCCATTCATATTATCTTCCCAGAGAAATTTCTATTCAAATTGTAGGCCCATTTTGAAATTGGTTTGTTTGTTTTCTTATTAGGAACCCCATCTTAACAGGGAACAGTGACAAAGCAAGCACATTCAAAGACCAAGAAGAAAGTAAAAGTGTTGTTAGGAACTAGAAGAGAGAATACCCGGAGGCAGAGAGAAACACAACCATTGTCTTCAAGGGTCTGAAGGGCTGTCATGTGAAAGAGAGAACAAAAGCCTTCTAGTTTATTCCAGGTGGGAAGAGGGATCAGGAGACAGAAGCCACGGAGAGGCATATTTTTCCCTACTTACAAAAATATGTTTTTTACCAGTTAGAGCCACATAAAAATTAAAGAGGAGATACTGAGTTTCTAGTCACTGGAGGAATTCAGTAAAATCTGGCTACCTATTTGTCAGAGGTGTTGTAGAACAGACCAACACATGGGAAGAGAAATAGATCTACCTTCTTTCATTCAAAGAATATTTGAAAATATAGTGAGGCTGGGTGCAGTGGCTCACACCTGTAATCCCAGCACTTTGGGAGGCTGAGGCAGGTGGATTGCATGAGGTGAGGAGTTCTAGACCTGACTGACCAACATGGTGAAACTCCGTCTCTACTAAAAATACAAAAATTAGCCAGGTGTGGTGGAGGACCCTGTAATCCCAGCTACTGAGGAGGCTGAGGCAGGAGAATCACCTGAACCTGGGAAGCAGAGGCTACAGTGAGCCGAAATTGCACCACTGCACTCCAGCCTGGGTGACACAGTGAGACTCCATCTCACATACAAAACAAAAAGTAAAAGAAAAAGAAAAAAGAGTGCAGGCCAGATACTGCAAAGCAATGGAAACAGAGAGGCCATGACAAGCCTCAGTCAGGTAGGGGCGTTCAAGGAACTCAGCTGTGAAACAGGAGCAATAGCTGAGGGTACTAGAGCTAGAGAAAAAGAGAGCACTGTCTTGGGGTTAATTGCAGTGGACTGAGAAAGAGAATAAAATGAGACCTATGCACAGGGTCGAAAGACAAAGGTAAATAAAGCTGAGTGAGAGTTCAGAAACGCAGGGCAAGACCAGAGAGGCTAGGAATTGAGATGGCTGATATCAGCACTGTTTAAATGTGAGCCTCTGAACCACACTCTCAGAGCGTGATCCTTTGTCCCCCTGCTTCAGAATCCCAGTGGGCAAGGTGGAATTGCAGGGCCCCCATCCAGCATCACAGAATCAGCATCTCTGAGGGTCAGGCCCAGATACATGGATTTTAGCGTGTCCCTGGATCATTCTTATGCTCTTTAAAGGATGAGAACTGCAGGCCAAGAGACACATACTCAGCTTCTGAAACAGAGCAGAAACCCCCAGGTTTGACATTCTTGTTTTGCAAGTATACCGAATGCATCCTCAGTGGGAAACTGTGCAGGTCCTGCCAGCAAATATCCACAAACACATACTTAAAACTCTAAACTTGCTAGGCCCAGACAGTGAACAGCAGCATCAGCAAGCAGCACCTGCTAATCATGGGGCACCTGCCCTGTGCCAAGTACTGTGCTGTTTGTTTTACTGACATTAACACATTTAATGCTTACTTATGAGGAGGGTGCCATTATTATTCCCAATTTATAGATTACGAAACTGAGACTGAGAGAAACTGAGCAACTTGTCCTGGGCCACCCAGCTGTGCTATAGCAGCTTCATGTTCTAGGCCAATATGACTCCAAGACCTGTGCCCTTTCCATTTGCCGACAGGTGGCAAAGTTTTTCAACAATAGTTAATAAACGGCGGTGGAGGTCGCAGCATCATCAGTTGATGATAAGTCCTTGGCTAATTAAGAAACTTTATTTATCCCGGGATACCCAGGACATTATGGTGAAGCAAGCCTCTGCTGTCTTTTCTAATCATCTTGATCCCTGAGCAAAAGGTATTGTCAGCATTTGTAATGTTGTTCAGACCTTTCTTTCATCTCAGTGGAGAAGGGTCTAAGATTAAGTTTGGGAGATTGAAAATCAAAGCTCATAGGAACAGATTAAAATGATGTAGAGTCATCCTGAATCTGGAGGGAAAAAAATAATACGACTGTGTTGGTGGAGCTGCTGAAGGGAGATAAGACACTAACCTCATCTCAGAAGGAGGAGAGAAGGGGAAAGAAAGAAATAGAACAGAGGGAACAGAATAAACAGGGTGGAGAATGAATATAAGAGGTGGAACAAGGGCAAGGCCAGGGAGGAGGATTGTGAGACCAGGCTTCTCTAAAGGAGAGTGGAACCCAGGCCACCTCCTTTTTTCTTTCTTTCTTTCTCTCTCTTTTTTAAGTCTTTTTGCGTATTCTTTAAAAAACGAGAGGTGACAACATTTCTAGTATAGTTTTTAATGTTTGAACCTGATCATTTAATCTCTGTGCTTTAATATGTGACTTCATTTGGAGATCTGGGTCTAAACTCGGGTCTCTTCAAGAAGGTGAGACCCAGCCAGGTGTGGGTGGCTCATGCCTGTAATCCCAGCAATTTGGAAGGCTGAGGCTAGAGAATCACTTGAGCCCAGAAGTTCGAGACCAGCCTGAGCAACATGGCAAAACCCTATCTCTACCAAACACACACACACACACATACACACACAAAACTTAGCCAGGCCTGGTGGCTTGTGCCTGTAGTCCCAGCTACTCAGGAGGCTGAGGTGGGAGGATCACTTGAGCCTGGGAGGATCACGCCACTGCACTCCAGTCTGGGTGACAGAGTGAGACCCTGTCTCAAAACAAACAAACAAACGATGCGAGACCTAGACCCAAAGAACTTTCTAGCTCCATGCTTTTCACTCCTCACCCATCTCCATATTGGTGGCATTCAGAAAGTCTAAGGATGGAGAACACGTTGATACAGGCGTTAAGAAGAAATCACTTAGGCAGATAGCAAGGGTATGAGAGTCCTCAGTAAGGCTTATCTTTTTAATGAAGAGCAGCCCCAAATAATTTTCTAACAAAGAGCAGCCTGCAAGCTAGGAGCTTGCATGGGTGAATGCCGGCAGAACTAGGGACTAGACATGTTCAAGATGGTGGTTCCATCATCCCTTCTCTGCCAGCCACATGTACAGTAAGAAGCAGACAAGATGGCCATGATCAACTGGAAAGTCCATTTGCATAAGAAGATTAGGGTGGGGCGACAAGCCTTCCTCATGCGCTATGTAAATGTCATACCTGATCAAACCAATCTAAGAGCCCTATATAAATAAGACACTGCCTCCTCAAACCAGACTATAAAATTCCGCATATTCACCACCAGCAGGTCTTTTGCGCTGGGAGACTCCTTCCTCTACAGAGGCAGCTGTTTCTCTTTCTCTTCTCCTCTACCTATTAAACCTCTGCTCCTAAACTCCTCATGTGTGTCTGTGTTGTAAATTTTCCTGGTTCGCTACAAGGAACCCCAGGTTATATACCCCAGGCAACGCAGTCGCTCCAGCATCATCTTACTAAGGTGATTAGAGGGAAAATGGGAACAACCTAAAAGTCACAGCTGAATAGTTCCTTTCTACCTTCCACATGTATGTAATCATTAAGAGATCAAAAAAGTGCTTTTATATACCTGAAGGGACAGGGCACATGGGTTAAGGCCCTGGGCCATGGAGGTGCTTCTTAGTTAGAATCCCAGCTGACTAGCCTCTTTATCTGACTGAGCTTCCATTTCCTCATCTGTCAAACAGAGATAAAAGTGACAACTACCTCAAAGGGTGATTGTCATGATTAAATTTAAAAGCGTATTTAAAGTGCTTAGGGCAGTGTCTGACTTACTGTACATGCTCAAATAATATTAATGATGATGATTGGCCCTGTTATGAATTCCAAGCACAAAGCCAGGGGCACATGGTGAGCATCCCATAAAGATGGCATGGATCCGTTGATTTGAGAAGGAATCAGGACACTTGATTCTAGTCCTGTCTCACTAACCATGGTGGGAACACAGTCACTTTGCTTCTCTGTGCTTCCATTTTGCTCCTCTATGAAATGGGGATACACTGTCCCTCTGACACAGAGCACCAATGTTTGAAAATGCCTAGAAAAGTATGAAGCAGCATAGAAATATAAGGTGAGATTTCTTTCTATTACTCTCACATCTGTGATAAAGCCAACTGTCTTCCGCCAAGCTAAGAAAGTTCTGCCATAGCTAAGAATTCTTGCTCTAATTTGCCTTCACCACCTAGGTCTGAATGTTTCAGCCCCTTCCTCCATTGACTGGTGACCCTTACAGCAAAGGTACAGGTCCACAAGTTCAAGAACGTATCTATATATATGCAGAATTTCTAAGCATATTATCCCTTCACTCTTTTTGTTTCTCAGGCACATCAGAAATTATCCAAATAATTGGAATCATGAAATGGGTGATAAAGATAGAAATGGCTTTGCAGACTGTAAGCTGCTTAGGATCAGGGACTGGGACTCTCTTGTTCCTCACAATGCCCCAGCTCCCCACAGGGCCCTTTGGCACATAGGAGACAACCAGTAACCTTGTGGTGGATGAGTGACTATGGCAGAAATCAAGACTGTCCACCCCACAGCCATTCCCAGTTTCACCCATGCTAACAGATCCTAGTCAATATGCATAGCCTAGAGAATGAATAATGATTGATTAATATAAGTCATCTAAGCAGTTGCATTTCCCTTTGCCAAGGTCTGGGTATGTGACCCAGTTTGGACAATCAAACACAGGAAAGTCTTTTAGTAATGTCCCTTTTTGATAAAGCATCATATTAGAAGAAAAGCCCCATTTGCCACCTGCTTCCTTTCTTCCTACTTGGCTTTTCTTTTCTTTTTTTTTTTTTTTTTTTGAGAAAGGATCTTGCTCTGTTGCCCAGGCTGGAGTGCAGTGGTGCAATCAGCTCAATACAGCCTCAAAATCCTGGGCTCAAGGAATCCTTCTGCCTTAGCCTCCTGAGTAGCTAAGTGAGCAGGTACATGCCACCATCCACAGCTAATTTTTTAAAAAAATTTTTGTAGAGATGGGGTCTTGCTGTGTTGCCAGGGCTTTCTTTCTACTTGGGATGCTTTTGTGGGAGGACATATCAGAGCTGTGGCAGCCATCCTGTGACCAGGAGAGAAGTGCCAATGAAGACACAGAGACCTGACTAACACCTCATTCTTGTGAAGCTGCTGAACCCAATCCTACAACACTCCTAAGTCCCAACTCTAGTTATGTGAAATGATTCAAAGTCTTTGCTAATTAAATCATTATTTTTTCGTATTCTCTTACTTGCAAAAGAATACAGTCTTACTGAGACAATGAATGACTGCTTGTTCCCTACAGAAGATCTCCCATTATATCTAAGTACAAAAGAAAATATAGTTGCCTTTTTACCAAGTTCCTTATTGTGCAACAAAGATTACCACTTAACCAATCTCCCACTTTTCTCTTACAATCTTGGTGTCAAGACATCTTTCTAGTGTCTTCTGAAGAGATTCATAGTGCCACCCCGACCCTAAGGACATTCCTTCTCTGATTATCTTTTGTCTTATTATCACTTTCCATAGACTAAATATTATATCTTGGTTTGTAACTACTTTAGGGGGCCTCTTCCAGAGTAATTGGTCATTATCTTTATGCCTCAGATCTTCTTGAGCGATATTGATGATTTCCATATGCAAAATCACATGGGGTTAGTAGAGCCACACAAACTTAGGCCAAGCTTTGTTCTGATTAATTAGAAACATTATTTTCTGGTGCAAAGCTACCCCCTCTCTAGGGCTGAAGTTTGCAAACATTGCTGTATATTCAAATCACCTGAAGTGCTTTAAAAACTGATGCCCATGTCTCCTCGTTGTGAATCAAATCAGGACCTCAGATGGGAGCCAGGCATCAGTATTTTTAAAAATGTTTTAATTATTTATTTATTTTATTATTTTACTTTTTGAGATGGAGTTTCGCTCTTGTCACCCAGGCTGGAGTGCAATGGCGTGATCCTGGCTCACTGCAACCTCCACATCCCAGCTTCAAGTGATTTTCCTGCCTCAGCCTCCCGAGTACCTGGGATTGCAGGCGCCTACCACCATGCATAGCTAATTTTTGTATTTTTAGTAGAGGTGGGGTTTCACCATGTTGGCCAGGCTGGTCTCGAATTCCTGACCTCAGGTGATCCACCCTCCTCGGCCTCCCAAAGTGCTGGGATTACAGGCGTGGGCCACAGCATCTTGCCTAAATTTATTTTTAATTGACAATAATTGTGTATATTTATGGGGTACAAGGTGATGTTTTGATCTATGGATCAGGCATCAGTATTTTTTAAGTTTCTCCATGTGATTCCAGTGTGCAGCTGAGTTTGAAAATCAATGCTTTAGACCAGGACTTCTCAAACTTTAATGTGCACATGAGTGACCTAGAGATCCTAGATGTTACAAGGTGAATTCTGATTCATAGGATCTATGGTAGGGCCTGGGATTCTGCATTTCTAATATGCTCCCAGGTGATGACAAAACTGCTGGTCTGAATCTCACACTTCGAATAGCAAGGGTCTAGATATAAAATGTAGATCTAGTAGTAGTCTATTCTAACAGCGGATCTGAACAAACTAAATTCCATTTGGGTTCAACTGCAAAGTCACAGGAAAAGTGATCACTGCAATAAAGTCAAGAGCAGGGGCTGTGAGTGAGAGAACTGAGAGGATGGTTGTTTTTGATCTCTAGTTTATAGACTTAGGTTGACCAACCATCCAAGAGAAGCCATCTTTGCAAAATTATAACGATGAGAGAAATCTGACACAGTCGACCCCATTTTGCATAACTGACATATTTTGACCCCATAGTTTCCACAATCCCTTATTGCTCAGGAGTCATATGGCCAGAGATCACAAGGTTTGCGACTTCCCCAGTTGCTCATCTAGGTAACATCACTACTGTAGAAACTAAGATTGGTTTTTTGAAATATTTTTTCAACAGATCCCACCCGGCCTTGTGACTCATGATTCACCCGGTCCTGTGGCCCCACCCAGAGTTGGACTCAGCACACAAAGAAGTGTTCCACACCCCTATGATTTCATCCCCAATTTATCAGCAGCACCCTTTCCCTAGACCCCTGCTCTCCAAACTGTCCATAAAAACCCTAACCTTCAAGCCTTTGGGGAGATTGATTTGTATAATAACTCTATTTCCCATGTGGCTGGCGTCATGTCCATTAAACTTTTTCTCTACTGCAATGCCGTGTTCTCAATGAACTGGTTTTGTCTGTGCAGATGGCACAGGAAGAACCTATTGGGTGATTACACCAGTTTGCCCAGGACTGAGGGGTTCCTGGCATGTGGGACTTTGAGTTTTAAAACCAAGAAAGCCCAGAGCAAATTGAGACAAGTTGGTCACCATAGTTATGGTGCTGCTAGGAGAGCAGCAGAGCAGCCAAGCTGTGCGCTTTTTGCATTCTGATTCCTCTTCCTGGGGGCAGCAGCCCACTATAAAGCCAGGGGTGTGCTAAGATAGATGGCTTACGGAAAAGGAACGCTGAATTGCATGGCCACACCAACAAGAACTTAATTACATGACTCCAGAAGGGCAATAACAGGGCAGATTCTGTGAAAACTCCAGAATCTTAGCCACAGAGACAAGTCTAGAAAACACAGTTTAGTGCTTTGCTCTAGCACTGGTTAACTGTGGGACCTGGGCAACTCATGCCCCCTTTCTGAGCCTCAGTTTCCTTGGCTGAAAATGGGAGTGAAACTGACAGATGTGTGCGAGTCTTTGCTGTGCTCCCACCCCATTATTTCACATACAGTATGGATAATGCATATAACCGCACAATAGCACCTTTTCAGCACAAGCAGCAAATCCACCTTCTGTTTTGCGAGCAGCCATTTCCAGTGCTCCCCAAACTCCCTCTGGATAGCATTAGCATTCATCTTATTCGGGAACACTTCCCTTCACTGTCCTTTGATGCTCAGAGAGCTGAGAACTCACAGTGCTTTTTTTTTTTAAGGCTGTAACATATTTACAAATCTAAATGAAGCTCTATTTCCAGACCCAGTCTTTCGGTTTTGAGTGGCTTCCTCCTTCTGCTCTCACCTCCACCCAGGGAGCCCACTTCTCAACTTCCTGTTTTCTTTAGAGAGACAAAGAGTCTCCCCAGCCACCCATTGCTGGATTCCTGTTAACCTTTCATTAAGCCTGCTGACAGCTGGCTTTAGCTCTTCATGAGTTAGTTCAACACATTCCCATTTAAATGTGTCCCACCTGGCTTCATTAAGTTTCCTGCCAGGTTCTCCCTTTACAGCTTCCTCTGCAAATGCAAATCAGATTCTGAGTAAATAATATGGGGACAAGGGAAGATTGAGCTATAATGGGGTTGTAACTGGAAAGCCATTGATATACTCAGGTTGCTGTGGATCAGAGGACACTGAAATCCATTTGAGTCCAATGCAGGTCAGTGTTACAGAGCCATATGCATGAAGTCTGGAATTGGAGCCCTCACTGTGAAGTACAGGGTAGTGGTTAGAGTGTGGAGTCCTTCAAGCCTGGTTCAAAACCTGGCTCTGCTACAGGAGATTGGACGACGTGACCTTGAGCAAGTTCCTTCACCTGCCTGTGCTTCTGTTTTCTTAGCTCCAAAGCCAAAATAATATACCCGCTTTATTGAGCTGCTGTCAGGAGTCAATGAGATAATTGCCTTGAAACAGTTAATAGAGTACCCAGAATATAATAGGTGCTCATTACAAATTGATAGTATCTCCTGTGTTTAGCCTAGAAAGGCCATGGTGAGGAATTAGGTTGCTTTAAATTGAGCTTGCATGCGGCCCAGGATGGCTTTGAATGTGGCCCAATACAAATTGGTAAACTTTCTTAAACATTATGAGATTTTTTTTGCGATTTTTTTAGCTTATTAGTTATAATTAGTGTTCGCGTATTTTATGTGTGGCCCAAGATAATTCCTTTACTTCCAGTGTGGCCCAGGGAAGCCAAAAGATTGGAAACTCCTGCTTTAAATTGTGAGGTTTGATTGTGGATCCACCATATAATCATTAGCTGTAAGAAGCACATACTGCATCACATTCCTTCCTTATGGAAATGGAAAAACAACATTGATTCCATTCGATTGCATTACCTTTTTGTTTGTTTGTTTGTTTTTTGAGACAGACACAGTCTTAATCCGTTTCCCAGGCTGGAGTGCAATGGTGCGATCTCGGCTCACTGCAACCTCCTCCTCCCAGGTTCAACCGATTTTCCTGCCTCAGCCTCCCGAGTAGCTGGAATTACAGGCACCTGCCACCAAGCTTAGCTAATTTTTGTATTTTGGGTAGAGACAGGGTTTCGCCATGTTGGCCAGGCTGGTCTCAAACTCCTGGCCTCAAGTGATGTGCCACCTCGGCCTCCCAAAGTGCTGGGATTACAGGTGTGAGCCACTGCACCCGGCCTATTCTATTGCATTTCCCATGTGTGTTTTGTCTCATTCAGAAGTGAAGCTCCTTAAAAGAAGCAATTCTCTCTCCTGGGCCCCACATACAATAGATACCAAAAAGTTATTTATAGATGCTAACAATTCATCCTGATTACACAAAGAGGGAATGAGAGGAGCAACTACATCCACAGCCTCCTCTGATCAAGGAGTCTCAGTATAAGAATTATATATTTATTTTAATTCATCTTTTACTAAAATCCACCCTTTATCCCCAGTCTCAAACTGGCTACCTTGTTTTAGCCCACAGCCATGTTTTGCTTGCCCAGGAAATCATTTTAACTAATTTTAAATTTTAATGCCCTTAAGTGGACATACACTCCGATTTATCATGGGCCATGTCATCTCCCTTTGACTCCCTCAACTGTATCAGCTGCCTGGCCTCTAAATTCATCAGAGTTTGCCACCTCTGCCCCAGGCAGAGCTAAGTGTGCTGCTTCTAGGTAGGTCTAGGGGCCAAGGATGAAAAGGGCTGGAAGACAGGAGACAGGAGACCCATACCTGTATTGAAAGAGGGTATCTCTGCCACAGCATGGAGAACAGACAGGAAAAGGAGTAAAGTCAGAGATTATAATTAGGAAGATACTGCAGGAATCCAGCCAGAAAGTGCTATCAGCTTAAAGGAGATGAAGCAGCAGGACCTTTGCCCCTGGTACTGGAAGCTCCTGACCCTCTGTCTGGCCAAGCCCACCACCACACAGCCCTGGTAAAGGGAGATTGTTTTCTTGAACACTTTATCTGTTAGGAATTACTACAGTGCAACATTTCTCAAACTCTAACGCACATCAGAATCATCTGGAGGGTCTGTTAAAACACAGTTTGCTAGACTCTACCCCCAGAGTTTCTGATTCTGGAGGTATGGGGTGAAGGACATGAATCTGCATTTCTATCAAGTACCAGTGACACGGAGGCTGCTGGTCTGAAGTGCATAGTTTGAGAGCCACCGGGCTAGACCAGCATTTTTCAGAACTTGGTTCCATATTAGAACCACTTTGGGACATTTTTCAAAAATTCAGATGCCCAAGTCATACCCTGGACCAATTACAGAAAGAATCTCTTAAAGGGTAGGACTCAGGAATTGGCATTTAAAAAGCTCCCCAGTTGATTATTCAGCTAACATTGAGAACTACTAGGACAGAGGCTCCTGGAGGCCATTACGAGCTCTAAAATACTATGATTGCTCATGTTAGTGTTTCTTAGTCGGTACAAGGAGTTTCAGAAATACATTTGGGAATCGATTGAAAATACCCCTTTGCAAAACAGAAAAGTAATATTCATTGAGTTTAAATGTTCTGTTTAGGAAGTGTCTGTCGTCTTCTTTTTCTAGTCAGACCCAAGCTGGTAGTGACATTGATAATGGCGGTGGTTTTGGAAGGTGGATAGGGAGCATGAGCTAAGTTAGGGTTGGGTGTATCATTACCTCACAAGATACTATAACCTGACTACATACACAAAGCCATCTGGCCCCACTCCATTTTCTAGATGGGGAAATTCAGGCCCTGAACCTGGCTCTAGACCCACTTCCCCAACGTTTCTAAATAAATGTTTGAGTTTAGCACACTAGACAAAGTCACTTTAAGTATCTTAAGCTGACATCAAAGCCAAGTTGACCAAAAAAAAAAAAAAATTTTTTTTTTAAAAAAAGGGCCAGGCACAGTGGCTCACGCCTGTAATCCCAGAACTTTGGGAGGCCAAGGCAGGCAGATCACCTAAGGTCAGGAGCTCGAGACCAGTCTGGCCAACATGGCAAAACCCATCTCTACTAAAAATATAAAAAATTAGCCAGGTGTGGTGGCGGGCGCCTGTAATCCCAGCTGCTTGGGAGGCTGAGGCAGGAGAATCGTTTGAACCCACCAGGCAGAGGTTGCAGTTAGCCAAGATCATGCAATTGCACTCCAGCCTGGGCAACAACAGCAAAACTCCGTCTCGAAAAGACGAGAAAAGAAAAGAGAAGAGAAAAAGAAAAGAAACAGCTGCCAATCTGCTGCTAATTGTTTTCATCATTGGTGCCAATCATTCTGCCCAACTGCAACTGAACAAGTCAGAAGTCAGGCTGCCTTGGGCCAGTTTTTCCAAGTACCCAGGTGAGGGGGATTTTTACTAACTGTTGGATCAGTGTTGTGTGAACTAATAGGACAAAAAAATCTATAGGCTTCACCAGTCAAGTAATTAGACTGACTTTTTTCTCTCTTAAATGTAATGTCAAGAGAGTTGAAATCCAAAGATGGCTACATTTAGAGAACCACGTACTTATTCCATTAATGTTGCTATTGCTGTAAACATGCTGGGAAGTCCTTCACAGAAATGTCTTTCAGATCTGGTTTACTTTCCACATTTCTACCCAGCCAGAAGCCCCTCTCACTCAGGCACACATGTTTTTTATACATTCATTCAACAACTGTTTGCTTTAATCTCTCTCCCATGGCTCCTCGTGTTAGCAGTTATTAAAGTTTTAAAATAAACCTGTTGTTGCTGAGGAGCACATTTCCAAGATTATATTTAGAGAAACTTATTTGGATTGCCTTGCTTTCACATCCACGCACTGCCCCTGGTTGAATATTCCTGTCATTCACCACATTTTACTCCCACGGACTCTTCCCTGTTTCCAAAATTAAATTCCCCAAGCAAGAACTAGGATGTGACACTATGGTCACCTCTAAAGACACTCAAATGTGAAAAGAAAATAATAGAAAATTTAGGAGTTTTAGAAGTGAGTCAATGTTGGCCAAGTGCAGTGGCCCAAGCCTGTAATCCCAGCACTCGGGGAGGCTGAGGCAGGCAGATTACCTGAGGTCAGGAGCTAGAGACCCACCTGGCCAATACAGTGAAACCCCATCTCTACTAAAAATACAAAAATTGGTGGTCATGGTGGCATGCACCTGTAAGCCCAGCTGCTCAATCAGGAGGCTTAGGCAGGAGAATCGCTTGAACCCGGGAGGCGGAGGTTGCAGTGAGCAGAGATTGTCCATTGCACTCCAGCCTGGGCAACAGAGCAAGACTCCGTCTCAAGAAAGAAAATAAAGAAGTGAGTCACAGTTACGGTGTGATTCCATGTCATTTCCTGCATTGTTAATGAACCATAGGCTCTGTGCTGCTCATATCATACCTGCAGTGAGACAATGAACTCTGAAAGCTGGGCATAAAAGGAGAGATACGAATCCATACGAGATGAAGGCAATTAGGGTAACAAAAGAACCAGAAATTGTATCCCAGAAGCAAGGAAATTTGGAGAAACATGAGATTCTCCTTCTAATACCTGAAGAGTTAACAGCTCTCCAGTACTTCCCAGCATGCTTAGAGCAATAGCAACATTAATGGAATAAGCACATGTTTCTCCAAAGGTAACCATCTTTTGGATTTCTACTCTCTTGACATTACCTTTAAGAGAGAAAAAAAAAAATCAGTCTTATTGACTGATGGAGCCTATAGATTTTTTGTCCTGTTAGTTCACACAACACTGATCCGGCAGTTAATAAAGGAGATGTTCTGATAGGCATAAGGAGCTCAACTATGACCTATGGGCAGATGTCATCCGGAGACAGATTTTGCTATAAATATTTCTTAATCTCAGAACTGCTCTGAGATTGAATGGACTCCCTTGCGTGTGGTAAGGAGTTCACTGTCACTGAAAGTGTTCAAGTGTACTGTGAAAGATCACTTAGCGGTGATTCTACAGAGATGATTAGAGCATGGACAGAGAAGTTGTGGTCTCTAAAGTACCCTTCATTCATGAAACTAAAGCAAGCCTGGATCAATGACATCCATGGAATAAGTGAGTCTTTTTTATGAAACAAGGAAATCTACTAAGACTTATTTTGACACTGGAGTGTCATGCCCCCATCCTCAATCTAACATGCTACTGCGTTGTTAGAGGGTAAAAAGGCCGTCTTCGTCTTCCCTTCCATGCTGCACGTCATTGAGGACATTTTTACTATCTCCAATGTAGTCTAGCCTGTAAACAGAAAAGAGGGGCTCATAATGGGAAACACAAGACTAGAAAACAAAACAAAACAGATGCTGCTAAGTTACAGTGCAATTACCCTTAAAGTTCAAAGGGCTCACAGTTCATTTAGTCTAAGCTCCACATTTTACAGATGGGAAAACTGAGGCTGCAGGGGAAAAAGAGTTTCTGCCAATCCATTATAATGAGATAAAAAAGATTCTTAGCAAAATATAAAATCATGATTTCAATACGTTTATTTACCAAAAGGTCTCTAAGTGTGACCTTGAAAGGTCACCTCGCTGGGTGTCAATTTTCCTTCTTGCTAATACATATTGTGGTATTAATGCAACTAATTAGTGAATGCAATTAATTAGGCAAGGACTTCATTAATAATTTATGCCTTTTTTAAAAATTTCTTTTCCAAAAGCTATAGAATAGGGCAAATAGCTAAAATCCCTTACTAGAGAATCTTCAAATACTATTTTTAAAAAGGCCCCAAAACAAGCTGCTTCCATGGTCTAACTGGGCAGAGGAACCAACTCCCAGGAATAATATTCTACATGCTTTTTTCATTTTCCATATTGCCAACGCTCCTCAATAAACTCCAGTTTAACAATGGCCTCTTAAACTAACTTACCCATAGGTGAACAAAAAATTTCAGAGTAAAGTGCCATATCACCTTCTTTCTTTTGCGTGCTATACTTCTATTAATCCCACCTGCCTTGGTACTGGCATTTTGCTCAGAGTGTTAACCAAGACACAGGTTAATGTGAGCTAAATCTGCACAACTTTTTCACTTCTAATGTCACATCTTTCCAACTCTATGTGTAATCGTAACACAAGCTCAAGTCATTAAACCACTGAGTAGTAGCTAATCATTTGTAACAGCTTGTACAATCATTACAACACCCATTCATGCAAGATAGATTACCTTGTGTGTTTCTGCGAACAATAGGTTTCCATGAGTTTCCCTGAAAAGACAAGGCCACAGTGTGAGCAGAGTGGCTGCGGTGCATAGAACATGCAAAATGCTGGGGGAATTCCAGTGCTGCCCCGCAAAGAGCAGATATGGGCCAAAGGTGAGAACCAGTGGCTGGCTTTGGCAGAAAAAGCCATTCCCTTTCCCAGGTCAAACACTTGCTATTTTAACCACAGTTAGTGCTCATCAATTACCAAGTTGTTCCAACATTCTGGGCAATGGTGTTAAGCTATTTCATTCTGAGTCATCTGCCTATCCAGAATTCAAGCACTCACTTGGGTTTCAAAACACTTCTTTACGAGACATACTCAGAATTTTCCAAAACTGTAATCATGCCTTTGTATGAAGGCTAACAGCAGGATTCCAGTAAATTTTAAATTTGCTTTTGCACCTGGGGCAGGTGTTGAAATATACAAGTTTCATTATTATTCAAATCAGCTGAGATGGTTACTAGTCTCATCTCCTGACATACTGCCCTGAAACAGCTTTTGTTAATGAGTACAGAACAATTTATCCCCATTTTACAACAGTACCAGGTGCCACGTGCCTATAATTTGCCTGAAAACCATAAGCTGTTTCATGGCTGTTTTTGTAGCATTTTAAAACTTTTGGGGGCGGGGGGCAGGGGTGGGATGGAGGTGCAAGGTCATGGAGCAGCTTGCTAACTTAATGAAAACTACAGACCTTGTCCCCTGAAAAATGCAGGCATGAACACATAAACACTTTTGCATGTGATTTCAAAGGATTCACATTACCCTTGAAGTCCATCTGTGGCCTCCAGGTTAAGAAAGCTTGCTTTTAGGGAACATATAAGAAAACCAGGATCACGCCAGGCATGGTGGCTCATGCCTGTAATCCCAGAGCTTTGGGAGGCTAAAGTGGGTGGATCACCTGAGGTCAGGAGTTTGAGTCCAACCTAGCCCACATGGTGAAACCCCCTCCTACTAAACATACAAAAATTAGTCCCGTGTGATGGCGTGAACCTGTAGTCTCAGCTACTCAGGAGGCTGAGGCAGGAGAATCACTTGAACCCAGGAGGCGGAGGTGCAGTAAGCTGAGATCACGCCACTGCACTCCAGCCTGGACAACAGAATGAGACTCTCTCAAAAAAAAAAAAAAAAAAAAAAAAAAAAAAGAAGAAGAAAACCAGGATTGTTCATGGTCTTCGTCCTGCAACAATCCTAGCCAAAAGAAGAGACAAGCTAGGGTTTTCCCAACCAAAGAACAGAGAAAGTGAACAAAGTAGGAAATAGTACTTTCCTCTTAAGGCAGTAATAGGGATAAAATGAATTAGGCACATCAAGAGTATACCATCAGGACTGGCACAGAAATGTCCAATAAATGAAGGTGCTCTTCTGCTTTTTTTCCTTTTCCAAAACGTAAACTCTACCAGGAGGTTAATACACAGAGTCATTAGCAGCTTGGGGAGAATGAACTTACCTGTTACTTCCCTGGCTGGGATGGGAACAATGGCAGAACTGAGCCTCTTTGGGGAGGGATAAAGGGGAAGGAAGTGGAGACAACTCCAGATCCTCCTGCAGTCGCCAGGGTTCTGAAGTGCTCCATCACCTGGCCCTCCCTCCTTACCTCTCAGGAGAAACGCCACAAACAATGCGAAGAGCACAAATCCCAAGGAGGGGGCGATGATCATCAGTAGTTGGGAGATGGGCATTTCATTCTTCATTGACATGGGTATTCCATCCATCTGATGGGACACAGGCAAGGAGATGGACCCAGTCACTGCTAGATGCCACCCTCACAAGATGACATCCCAGCCCAATAGCACCTTACAACCACCAGCAGTTTCACTACATTTCACCACCTTTTGTCAAAAATCTCTGAAAACCCAAAACACGTGACCCATATCCCAAAATTTTCCGAAGTGTTAGACATCAGGCATAAGGAGCTGTGGGGCTCAGGGGTCTGAGGATAAAAAATAACTGTTGTGAGCTGTGTTCTCCATGGTCAAATCTCTTTCCTAGCCGCTGCTCAAATCCTTTGAGCTCTCCCTAGCCCTGTGCTACTCTTTTCATGGCTGACTTAGGCTTCTAGAGAAAACAGGATGAAAGAGAAAATGAAACTTAATTTCACATTTTCTACAGCAGTGGTTCTCAAAGTCTAGATGGGGGGCCCATGAGATCAAAATGATTTTCATGAGACATTTTTTGCCATTTTCACTATCATTCTCTCATGAGATATACAGTATACTTTCCCAGAGGCTATGTGATGTGTGATGTCATTGCTGTCACTTACACAGAATGTGGAAACAGAGATGAGAATCCCTCTGTCTCCTATTAAGCCAGATATTAATGAGATTTGCAAAAAATGTAAAACAATGCCATATTTCTCAGTAATTTTTTCATTCATTTTTCTCACTAATATTTTTTCAAAATAGAGTTAGTTAGTTGCCATAAAACATGTTATGTTAGCACAAAGTGAGTTTGTTGTTATTTTTAAATAAATTGATTTTTTTAAATGTTTTAAATACAGATACCTGTATAACAAACTTGCACATGTACCCCTGAACCTAAAAGAAAAGTTTAAACTTTTTTTTTTTAATTTTAAAAAATGAGATGGTGTCTCGCTATGTTGCCCAGGCTGGGCTCAAGCTCCTGCCATTGCTGGGATTAAATTTTTTTTTTTTTTTTTTTTTTTGACACAGAGTCTCACTCTGTCAGCCAGGCTGGAGTGCAGTGGTGCAATCTCAGCTAACTGCAACCTCTGCCTCCCGAGTTCAAGCAATTCTCCTGCCTCAACCTCCCACGTAGCTGGGGTTACAGGCATGCATATCCAAGCCCGGCTAATTTTTTTGTTTTTAGTACAGATGGGTTTCCACCATGTTGGCTAGGCTGGTCTCGAACTCCTGACCTCAAGTGATCTGCCCACCTCAGCCTCCCAAAGTGCTGGGATTATAGGCATGAGCCACTGCACCCGGCCTAAAAAAATTTTTTAATTGTAAAAATGTCTCAGTTTTTTCTGCTGAGCAGTCTAGAGAATCAAAAACCAAGTCTCAGTTTTAAGAAACTGATTTTTTTTTTCTTTTGTAGAGACAAGGTCTTGCTCTTGCCCAGGCTGGAGTGCAGTGGCAATGATTACAGCTCACTGCAACCTTGAATTCCCGGGTTCAAGCAATCCTCCCACCTCAGCCTCCTGAGTAGCTGGGACTACAGGCATGCATCACGATGCCTGGCTATTTTTTTTTTTTTTAATTTTGTGTAGAGACAGAGTCTCACTATTTTGCCCAGGCTGGTCTTGAACTCCTGGGCTCAAGCAATCCTCCTGCCTCGGCTTCCCAAAGTGGGATTACAGGAGTGTGCCACAAGACCCAGGCTGTTATTTTGTTTGAGACAGGGTCTCTCTCTGTTGCCTACGTTGTAGTGCAGTGGCACAAACAAGGCTCACTGCAGCCTCAACCTCCTGGACTCAAGTGATCCTCCCACCCCAGCCTCCCAAAGTAGCCAGGATTATAGGTACATGATACCACACTCGGCTATTTTTTTTTTAATTTTTATTTTTGTAGAGACAGGGGTCTCGCCCTGTTGCCCAGGCTAGAAACTGAGTTTCAAACGTTTAAAAAGACCTTGTGAAAGTCCCCACTGCCAGTAACATGTTCAAGGTGGTTTAGAGGTCCATGGGGCTGACCAGCCTGAGCCTACTCACCTTCAAAGTCTATGCAGCACCAAAAAAGGACTTCCCTCCCCAAAATCCCATGAAGGTTTATGAGTTTTACTCTACTAAGTTCTCGAGGGCTAATCTAAACATGCAGATGAGTCAAGGACCCAGCTTAGGAAAGCATCTCTCAGCTTTGACATTATCAAGAGCTATATAAAAGTTGGTGTCAGGAAAGGTACTCCTAAATGAAGCCAAAGATGTAAAGTTTGGTTCAATGGGGGTGAGACAGCTATGAATATCTCCAAAATGCACCTGCTGGATTTTTTCCAGGACTGGGTGTTATTGGTTTTGCTGGCCTTGTTGGACTTGTTTTGGCTAGAGGTTCAAAAATAAAGAAGCAGGCATTTCTACCCAGTTTCATAGGATTAGCAGCCTCTATCCATTATCCACAGCAAGCCATCGAGTTTGTGCAGGTCAGAAAGGAGATATTATATGACCAGGGTTTATGAGGATACATAGTCGTGGAAGATTTTTGGAAGGAGAACTTTCTAAAGCCAGGAAATGTGAGGAATTCATCTGAAAATAAATAGAAAATTTCATGCTCTACACATTTTAATCAGTTACAGGTAAGCAACAGAAACTTCAAATGGTCAATCATTATTTTTACAGAAAAATAGCAGAGAAGTCAGTATTGAATATATTAAACTGGCTTTCTTCTTCAGGAAAAACTATACTAGGTCTCTGTTATCTTGGGTGATGCCATCCTACAAGCAAACAAATCTGAAATCCTTTCACTTAGAGATAAGGCACAAGGCTTAGAACTCCCTGTACTCATGTTGCTATTTACATACATGATTAAAATCCAAGTTAAAAAAAGAAAAAGAGAGAGAGAGAGAGAATATAGGCCAGGCATGTTGGCTCACGCCTGTAATCCTGGCACTTTGGGAGGCCAAGATGGGTGGACCACTTGAGGCTAGGAACTGAAGACCAGCCTGGCCAACATAATGAAACCACATCTCTGTTAAAAATATAAAAAATCAGCCAGGCATGGTGGCATGTGCCTGTAATCCCAGCTACTCAGGAGGCTGAGGCAGGAGAATCGCTTGAACCCAGGAGGCAGAGGTTGCGGTGAGTCAAGATTGCACCACTGCACTCCAGCCTGGGCAAGAGTGAGACTTTGTCTCAAAAAAAATTGAGAACTGCTGCTCTGCAGGCAGGCATTGGGGCATCTTGCTGGGGCTATGCCATCTCCATTGACCAAGATATGCTCTCTCCCTCTCTTCCTGTTCCATTCTGTAACACACAGAATCCCAGAGACAGTGGGCACAGCAACCAGGACAGGACAACAGACAGTGTCTGAGAGAGAGATGGGGAAGAAGAAAGAGGGGATGGGGAAACTTTACTTATCCTTTACAGACTTCTGTACTGCCTGAAGCTTTCACTTAAAATGGCTTGAATCACTTTTGTAATAATAAAAATAGCACCCTCAGAAAACAAGAGAAATATTGATGGCAGGTGTTGATTCTGCAGTATGTCATGAACTCTGGGTCACGCAGACGGAACACACAATGATCTTGCATGTTTTTTATATTTTTTTCTTTTTGCTTTTCAAAGTATTGGCACATACAGATGTAACAATCAAGGTTATTTCTGCCAAGAGTACAAGTCTATAAATTATTGGGCTGTTTCATAATTGTTGCAATGAATTTTGCGACAGCAATATCCTGCTTTTCCTAGTCCATCTCTGCAAACCTCTGCGGATTTTTTGTTTGTTTGTTTTTTGTTTTGTTTTGTTTTAAGAGACACAGTCTCACTCTGCCACCAGGCTGGAGTGCAATAGCGCCATCTTGGCTCACTGCAACCTCTGCCTCCTGGGTTCAAGCAATTCTCATGCCTCAGCCTTCTGGGTAGCTGGGACTACAGGCATGTGCCACCACACCTGGCTAATTTTTGCATTTTTGATAGAGATGGGGTTTTGCCGTGTTGGCCAGGGTGATCTCAAATTTCTGGCATCAAGTGATCTGCCCACCTTGGCCTCCCAAAGTGCTGGGATTATAGGCATGAGCCACCGTGCCTGGCCACTACTGTGGATTTTTACTATTTAAGTGATATACTGCAAATACTTCACAGATTTTTTACCTGTCCTGTTTTTGTTGTTTTGTTCTGCTCAGGAACTGCTGTATCAGATGCTGGGAAGGAAAAGAGAAGAAAATGGTTATATGTCTGGTTGGGGAATAAAATATCACATCCTGAAATAGGTAATTAAGAGTCCATCTGGAACTGCAGCTGATGTGTTTAATTATTTAATCCCGTGTTTTTTGTATAATCTATTTATGCATATTTGTTTTGATATGGTTTTAATGTAAATTTTATCTGCTATACAACGTTATCCCTGGGAACATCACCATTTTACAGATGAGTAGAGTCAGGCATTGGGCCAGTAGGCAATTGGCTCTAATTTTTCTGTAGGCTTCAGCAATTCATTCAGGATTTTTATCCGGCAAGAAAATTTGTCAGTTTTCTAGTTAATAAATATTTACTGAGCACCTATTATAGGCCATGCAGTGTGATAGCTATACCTTGGACCTCATAGAATTTACAACTTAGTGCAGAAAATGAAATGTAAAAATGTAATGTAAATAGTTGAAAACATAATTAGTTACAAGTACACAATTCTGGGAAAAATACAGTATAAGGGACATATCATGAGGATGCCAGGCTTGTTCTGGAGGGTCAAAGAAAACTTCCTTGAGAATGGGAGTTTATGCTGAGAGGTGGAGTCATGTATTCATAATCTATAGTTGAGTTACAAGGGAACCATACTGAGAATCTACCAAATGCTAAGCACTGTTCCAGGCACTAAGAATACTGTGAGACTGCGGCATGGCCCCTACCCTCAAGAAATTTACAGTCCATTAGAGAAGAGAGACCGAAAGATGATTTCAGCCTAACAGGCCAAAGGTAGTGATGGAGCACACAGGCTGCTGGAAGGGCAGGTAGAGGGAGAAGCATTCAGCTCAACTTTGTAGTTCATTGAAAGTTTTATTAGAATAAAGTGTCATGAGGACAGAGTCCCTGTCTGCTTGTTCACTACTGAGACTGTGATACCACCTCACATATACTTGGTGCTCAATAAATGTTTGTTGAATAACACTTCTGAGTTAAGGTCGTGTAAGAATTAGCCAGGCAAGGAATGGTGGCAACGGTGTTTCAGGTGGACAGAACAGCATCAGCAAAGCTGTGGAAACAAGAAAGAGCATGGTGCCCATGTCAGATGGCAAGTGGCCATGAAGAGGTGAAATGAGGGGTGGTAGCTGCAAGAGATGAGACAGGTGAGCAAGAGCCAATCAGGGAAGGCCTTTGTTTCCTGATGGTAAGTCTCCATTGGATTCTGTAGGCAATGGAAAACCACAGAAATGTTTAAGCATGATATGGTCCAGTTAGGAGGATAAGGGAAGAGCCAAGAAGAGAGTTGTCATCTAATTCCAGGTCTGAAATTCAGAGCTAGTAAAACCAAAGAGAGAGAGAGATTTCAGAAATGCTTAGAAGGCAGAACAACAGGATATGGACATTGAATGTGGGGGTAAGAAAGAGAGAAAAGTCTTTGATACCTCACCAGTTCCTACTTGAGACACCTGGCCATGGCCTGAGCTGTCCACTAAGACTGAGAACAGGGGAAGGAGTGGAGAAGGGTAAGTCTAGGGGAGAAAAGTGATGAGTTCACATTTACAGTCACTGAGTGACCGTGGGGCACATGCAAGCACAATTCCCCTAACAAGCAGTTGATGCATTTGAATCTAAATCAAACTCAGGAAAAAAAGGGTGCAGTTGGAAATACTGATTTGGGAGTCATCAGTATCCAGGGAGCAGTTGACCCCCTCAGAGTATATAAGAAATCTGGCCCGGGCACAGTGGCTCATGCCTGTAATCCCAGCACTTTGGGAGGCCGAGGTGGGCAGATCAAGAGGTCAAGAGATCAAGACCATCCTGGCCAATATGCTGAAACTAAAATACAACATACAAAAATTAGCTGGCATGGTGGTGTGCGCCTGTAGTCCCAGCTATTGGGGAGGCTGAAGCAGGAGAATCGCTTGAACCCAGGATGGGGAGATTGCAGTGAGCCGAGATTGCCCCACTGCACTTCAGCCTGGCAACAGAGAGAGACTCCATCTAAAAAAAAAAGACAGAAAGAAATCCATGGGCTGCATGTTCAGAGAGAAGAGCAGGGATCCTGGAAAACATCAGCATTAAACAGTAGGCAGAGGAGGTGGAGGAGAGAAAAAAAAAGAGAAGAAATGGTCAGAGAGATCAGAAAGTAAGAGCAGTATCAGAAGCCGGGGCAAGGAAGAAAACATCCAGGAGGGATGTAAAGTCATATGTACAATAAAGTCTTAAAATAGAAACAGAACTTAAATAAAACACACAGGGAGAGGTCCTGGATATAATAAATACCTAAGCTAATAATTAATGAAATTGATCATTGTTTCCCCAGAGCTTCCTTTGTACTTAAGGCAAAAGGATAAATGTGGTAGATTTTGTAAGGCTCATAATTTGGTATCAGAGAGCTGATTTGTTCATCAGGAAAGTGACTTGTTAAATGTCACTAGGAACAAAGGGGAAATTCAGCATGTTTTCATATCCTAGAACTAAGTTATTGTTGTTTTTCTCTCTGCAATTATCCCCTAGAGCTGAAAATTGCAGGTAAGAATTCAAAACTCCTACCCTTGTTCTGTCAAAATCCTGTTGTATTACAATCATTTGTGATGAATAAGCCTGAAATTGAAACTATCAAACAGAAAAGCCAGCCTGGGTCAGTTTTGTCAGAGCTAATCTGTATTTTAAATTGGAATCGTCCAATGGGAGAGACATTTTGCAAACACAAATGCTGCTGCGTGATACCAAACAGCACTTTTTTCTTTCTTCTTCTTCTTCTTCTGAAGATGCTAAAAGCCCAAATGGGAAGCACTCCAAGGGCTACAGTGTCATACACAGAATGGCAACACTGAGAACAAGTTGACTGTGATTTTTCTTCCTTGTGAAAAGTAGCCATGCCAGTGGCAAGGGGATGGGGTTAGACAAGGCAAAACTACTGATTTCCAGGTTGTCTGTGTTCCCCCAGCCCTTAGATTCTCAAGGCCCTGAGCTCTGACACATGTACATTGAGACAAAGGCAGGAGCCTCCCAGAACTTGGGAGTAAAGCAATTCTGCAAGAGGGAAGTATAATGAGTAGCATAGTATCACTACCCCCTCTCCCCACCAAATCACATCCACCCAGAACCTCAGACTGTGACATTGTTTAGAAATTGTGTCCTTGCAGATGTAATTAGTTAAGCTCTTGAGACAAAATCATTCTACATTTAGGGTAGGCCCTAAATCCAATGATTGGTGTCCTTAAGAGAAGGGGTCACAGAGAGACACACACAGAGAAGGTCATGTGAAGACGAGAGAGATGGGAGTGATGCTGTCATAAGCCAGGGAATCCCTGGAGTACCAGAAGCTAGGAAGAGGCAAGGAAGGGTTCTCCTTTAGAGCCTCCAAGGAGAGCATGGCTGTGCCAACCCCTTGATTTGTCAGACTTCTGCCCTCCAGAACTGAGAGAGAATGAAAATTTCCGTGGTTTTAAGTTTGTGGTACTTTGTGTTACAGCAGCCCCAGGAAATAAATTCAAAGGAATCAACACACAAAGAATGAAAGCAACCTTAAACAGGGGTAACCAACCTAAAAAAAAGTCAGGAAGTGGGTGCTGAGCACAGGTAAGAAGACTAAATCCAACGAAAGATCCTAGTATTAAACTCCAAAGAGTATAAATCTAATGTCATATTGTTATTAAAATTCCATTGAACATTATTTATTTATTTATTTTGGAGACAGAGTCTCGCTCGGTCACCCAGGCTGCAGTGCAGTGGCACGATCTTGGCTCGCTGCAACCTCCGCCTACCAGGTTGAAGCGATTCTCATGCCTCAGCCTCCCAAGTAGCTGGGATTACAGGTATGCACCACCAATTTTTTGTATTTTTAGTAGAGACAGGGTCTTGCTATGTTGCCCAGACCAGTCTCAAACTCCTGGCCTCAAGTGATACGCACGCCTCAGCCTCCAAAGTGCTGGGATAACAGGCATGAACCACTGCACCCAGCCTCACACTGAATATTTAATCCTCACAAGCAACCCTATGAGACAGACATTATGCCATATTGCCAGTGAAAAAAATGAGGCCCATGGGGTTGAGCAATGTGATGGAGGTTGGACAGGTGGTAGTTGTGGAGCTGGGATTTGAACTGTTTGACTGACATAAATACCTATACTGTTAACAACCTCATTATGCTGGAGTTCAAGTGCCTTGTACCATATAAATAGCATGTCCTACTGACAGAAGAAAGGAATGTTCAGGACAGTGATTTGCACTGAATGTAGAAAAAGGATAGTTTAGGACAGTGGTCTCTAAAGAGGGCTCGGTACTCACCATGAGTGTAGCAGGCAATCCACTGGCTGTGGGGAAAATGACAACTTCTATTTACATTTATTTATACCTTATCTTTTAAACATTTTCCAGAAGGATATATTTCATAATGTACTGAACAAATTGGTAAACAAATATAAATAAGCATCTTAATAACAAGAATACATTATTTTTCATCAGAACACATTATTAGTCTGGTCTAGAGAAGAAGGAGTCATTCATCTCTCAAATGTAGTTTGGAGACTGTGGTCAGCAAAATAATGACACCCAAATATGTCCATGTCCTAATCTTCAGAAACTGTGAATATGTTCTCTTCCATGGCAAAAGATATTTTGCAATGTCATTAAGCTAAGGATCTTGTGATGAGAAGATTATCCTGGGTTATCTGGTGGGTCTCATGTAATTACAAGGGTCCTTATGAGGAGGTGGCAAGAAAGTTAGAGAAGAAGTCAGAGGATGTGTGATAAAGGAAGAAGAGATCACAGAGAGAGAGAGATATTTGAAGATGCTATGCTGCTGACTTTGAGGATGAAGGAAGGAGTCACAAGCCAAGGAATGCCTCTAGGAGCTAGAAAAAGCAAAGAAACAAATTATCCCCTAACAAATCCAGTATGAATATAGCCCTGCCAACACCTTGATTTTAGAGCTTCTACCCTTCACAACTCTGAGATAATAAATTTGTGTGTTAAGCCAGTAAGTTTGAGGTCATTTGTTACAGCAGCAACAAGAAACTAATACAGAGACAGTGGTTCCTAAGACCTTCCAAAAGAACAGTTGTTCTGGGACAGGCACAAGATATGAAAGGAAGATTGACTTTTCATGTTAACATTTTTTGCATGCTTTGTACTTTTTCCATGAGTGTGTATGATGTATCTTAAATTAATTAAAATTTAAACATTAACAAAACAATCTTAACATTAACTCCACTTTTCCTGGGTCCATGGATTCACCAAACCTTCTGGTTAATATTAGATGTTTCTATAGGATGAGAATACATTTACAGGAGGATTACAGGTTAGATCTCTTGGCAGCTAGAATTCTTACTGTAAGTTAGTAAATTGGCTTTCTAGCTTGTATTTTGGTCTCTTGAGTTCTTGGTAGGCATGGGCACTCTGGTAAAATGAAATTCCTGTAACACTTAACCTTAGATCTTGGAGTATTGCCAAGGGCTTGCCCCTCAGCCTTCCTCACTGTGGCATCCTGGGACTCTCTGCCATCACTAAGTATTTATGTCAACTTTCCTGGCTATGCGACCTTGGCTAAGATACTTTCCTTCTCTGAGCCATAGTTTCTTCATCTGAAAATATTAATATTTCACCAACTGATCTCCTATATCCTTTTTAACCTTTCTAATTCTGGATATCTTTTTTCAAAGAATTTTACTGAGAAAAATTATCATTACACAGTATTCTTTTAAAAGGATATAAAACTACGCTTAGTATAGGGAATGAGTATGCAAATACTTAAAAATACATACAGAAATACAATTATGTATTCTTAAATATTTGCATACTTATTCCCCAAAGAAAACTAAAAAGAAACATAAAGACTAAATACACCTGCTTTCAAGTAGAAATATCAAGACAATTAAAATTATTCTTCCTAGTACCATTTTAATTTTGTCTAATTTCTAAATTTTCTCAAATGTGACTTTTCAATGGTAAAATATTATTTGTATCATGTGTTCATCACTGGAAACTCCACGATGCTTGAGGCAAGAGCAAACTCTTGGGGTGTTTATCATTTCCCTGAAGCAGCGTCAAAGCGACCTTCTATGTGAAACTTTGAAGACAGGTGTTAGAAACCCAGTAACCCACAGCCAAAAAAGGACACCCTCCAGATCTAAAAGTACTGACATGGAAAGCTGCACAATAGATATATACTGCTTGTTTTTTAAGTCCAAAGAATTTTTAACAGTAAGTACATATAAAACCCAACAAAGGCCTGCGAGGGTTAATATACTAGTTAATTACATTGTGCCAGTGTCAGTTTCCTGGATTGGACAATGTTCTATAGTTAGGTAAGATGTGATCATTGGGGGACACTGGAGGAATATATAGGAGAACCTCACTGCACTATTTTTGCAAGTTCTCGTGAGACGAAAATTATTTGAAAACAAGCATTAAAGAAAACGGTTTAAGGGCTGAATGCAGTGACTCACGCCTGTAATCCCAGCACTTTGGGAGGCCGAGGCGGATGGATCACCTGAGGTCAGTTCAAGACCAGCCTGGCCAACATGGTTAAACCCTGTCTCTACTAAAAATGCAAAAATTAGCCAGGCGTGGTGGTGGGTGCCTGTAATCCCAGCTACTCCGGAGGTTGAGGCAAGAGAATGGCTTGAGCCTGGGAGGTGAAGGTTGCAGTGAGCTGAGATCGTGCCACTGCACTCCAGCCTGGGCAACCGAGTAAGACTCTGTCTCAAAAAAAGAAAAGAAAAGAAAAGAAAAGAAAATGGTTTAAATATCAGCCATTTCACATTGTTCTATCGAATATATGAATGGTATATAGCAGCTTTGTGGTAAAGATTTCTTGAATGAAACTAATGAAATTTAAAGTGAGTTTAAAAGAATATAGAATGATTTTGAAAAGAAAAAATTGAAAGTTTTTGTGAAAAACAATAATCTATTGTTATGAGGAAAATTAAAAAGACTGGGCAAGGGTGGTGACTCATGCCTGTAATTCTAGCACTTTGGGAGGCCAAGGTGGAAGGGTCGTTTGGGGCCACAACTTTGAGACCAGCCTGGGAAACATATCAAGATGCTCTCTCTACAAAAAATTTTTGTAACAAATTAGCCAGGCATTCTAGGCTGCAGTGAGCTATGACTGGTTCACTGCACTACAGCTTGGGCAACAGAGTGAGATCTCGCCCCCCAACCCCCCCCCAAAAAAAGCTGAAAAGTGAAAGGATATAGTCCAAACTGTAACAGTGATAATCTCTTTATCTGTTCATGGGTGAGAGTGTTGTTTTGTTTTGTTTTGTTTTGTTTTGTTTTGTTTTGTTTGAGACAGAGTCTCACTCTGTCTCCCAGACTGGAGTGCAGTGGTGCGATCTTGGCTCACTGCAACCTCCACCTCCCAGGTTCAAGCGATTCTCCTGCCTCAGTCTCCTGAGTGGCTGGGATTACAGGCCCAGCTAATTTTTGTATTTTTGGTAGAAATATGGTTTCATCATGTTGGCCAGGCTGGTCTCAAACTCCTGACCTTGAGGAGCTGTGATCCACCCACCTTGGCCTCCTAAAGTGGTGGGATTATAGGTGTGAGCCACCGTGCCCGGCCCTTTCTGGCCCTTTACGGAAAAAGTTTGCAGATCCCTATTGGTCTACTGGTGCAAAAACAACCCCCATGGTATCAAGGAATTAATTTAATTGTAAGAGCCTTCAGAAGTTAGGGTAATAATAGACTTCCTTTTCAACATGGCTATGCTTACCGTGGTACACCAGAACCTGCTTTGTCACTTAATTAGAACTGTGCTATGTGCAGTTCTGAAATGGCATTACAATTTTAGACAAGAAGATCTTTTAAGAATCCACTTTTAATATCATCCCCGTTCCCATCCTATTCATAGAAACTTGCTTTAAAATTAGCAGAGACTTCCTCTTTGAATACATTTATTGAGCTCTTACTATGTGCCAGGCACAGTTATAAGCACTTTGTATAAATTATAATTTTTTAAAAACCTAGAGACAGGGTCTTGTTCTGTCGCCTAGGCTTAAGTGCAGTGTGCAATCAGGGCTCACTGCAGCCTCAACCTCCCAGGCTCTGGCTCACGGTATCCTCCCACCTCACCTCTGCTTCCCAAATAGCTGGGACTACAAGTGTGTGCCACCACACCTAGCTAGTGTGTGTGGTTTTTTTTGTTTGTTTGTTTGTTTTGTTTTGTTTTGTTTTGGTAGAGATGGAGTTTTGCTATGTTGACCAGGCTGGTCTCAAACTCCTGGGCTCAAGTGATCCTCCCAAGTCGTTCTCCCAAAGTGCTGAGATTACAAGTGTGAGCTACCATGCCTGGCCAAATTATCACATTTAATGTTCATAAACCCATTTTACAGATGGTAAACTGAGGCTGAAAGAAGTTACATTGATTGCCCAAGGTGACACAAACAAAGGAAATTTGAACCCAACTCTGAATGACTCAAAAAAAAATGTTCTTAACGAATCTGACAGAAAAGAAAAAAAGCATATTATAATCCTACTTGAAAACACAAATTCTCGAATGAGTGAGCTTCGAGCCAGAAATCAACGGAAAAGAAGAGCACTCTGTCTTCTCAGTGGGTGCATTTTAAAACAGATATCACATATGTTGACTCATCATTGAATTCATAGATGCTGGGACTCATCTGTCCTATGTTTAAAACAAAATTAGTTCTGAAATAAGTCAACTCAAAGATACAACTTCAACGCAATCCTAGAATTTTAGAAGTGACAAGTGCAAGCCTTCAGAGAACAGTTTCTTTTCTTTCATGGGTAGCCTCGGGCTTACGCTGCCCCCTGTGGATCATGGGCGATATGGTCTTAAAAAATCCAAAAGAGCAAAAGAATCCAAAAATCACAATCTGAATGTTTAAGAGTTGGGAGGGATTTGAAATTGTCTCCTCCAATTTCTTTTTTTTTTTTAATTTGTCAAGAGGGAAGCTGAAATCTAGAGAGAAAAGTTCATTTGCGCAAGATTTTACAGTAAATAACAAAGGAAGGGACTACGTATTTTGCTGACCTCTACTCAGAATTCATATTTTCTGACCTTTCCCAGCAGCACTAATACAAATCCGGAATTTCAAAACTCCTTTTGAAAGTGGAAGCACACATTTATTGAATTCGCATGCTTGCTTCAAATTCTAAAGGACTTTACATGTTTTTATACACTTAAATGAATATATACACTGAAATGAATAAATCAACAGAGCATTACATACATCAGTCAGGCGTTCCTTAGTTCCAAGGGAAGAATTGGGTGGGGTCCATGTTGGTAATTTTGAAAGAGAACAGAGAGCAAGTTCTGTTGGCACCCAATGTGGTTCAGAAAGAGAAAGAAATGGTGAGATACTGTCACATTTCACGCAGATTAGGTAGATAGAAGGAAACCAGGGATTCTAGAACACCATTGTTCAAGAGGCACCTTGGTTCTGAACCTTGGCCTCAACCTTCCACTAGCAACAAAATCTCATCAACCTTGAGACACCCTAGCAACAAAATCTCATCAACCCTGTGAGAGCCTAGAGTCACCTCCTTAGGCTTCTGTTCTCATGTGCCAATAGCTGAGGGTCTCAGTAAAGCACAGATAAGACCTCATTCCTAATCCTTCATCACTGGACTCTCCTCTGGAGGGCAATGTCTAGCACTGGGCTTTGCCCACATTAGCTGATCAATAAATCTTCAATGAGACCAGGCACGGTAGCTCATGCTTGTAATCCAGCGCTTTGGGAGGCCGAGGCGGCCAGATCTCTTGAACGCAGGAGTTCAAGACCAGCCTGGGCAACATAGGGAGACACCATCTCTACAAAATAAAAAAAAATTAGCTGGGCATGGTGGTGCATGACTGTAGTCCCAGCTACTCAGGAGGCTGCGGCAGGAGGATCGCTTGAGCCCAAGAGATAAAGGCTGCAGTGAGCCATGATCACACCACTGCACTCCAGCCTGAGCTGCAGAACGAGACCCCATCTCAAAAACAGAAATAAATAAATTAACTAATCTTGATTGAGGGAGGTGGGAAGATCTGCATTTGACCTAAAACACTCAGAATTATTGATAACAACAACAATAATAATAAATGGCTACCATATACTGAGCACTTACTGCATGCCAAGTACAATGTGAAGTACTTCTCATGTTCTTAGTTAATTCTCAGAAAATGCTCGTCAGTAGTTCCCATTACTGCCCTCATCTCACAGTGGGAAACTTGTGGCCTGGAGAGGTCAGGCAACTTGCTCAAGTTGCATAGTAGGAAGGGACAGAGCAAATCTTGGAGCCAGGATCATTTAACTTCAAAGCCCAAACTCCTATCCTCTGGGCTCTATGGACTTTGGAAAATGTGGCAAGATGAGTGCTGGAGAGTGAATACAATGGGAAGAGTGGCTCACGCCTGTAATCCCAGCAGTTTGGGAGGCCGAGGTGGGCAGATCACCTGAGGTCAAAAGTTCAAAACCAGCCTGGCCCACATGGTGAAACCCCGTCTCTACAAAAGTACAAAAAAAAAAAGAAAAAAAAATTAGCCAGGCATGATGGCGGGTGCCTGTAATCCCAGCTACTCAGGAGGTTGAGGTAGGAGAATCGCTTGAACATGGGAGGCAGAGGTTGCAGTGAGCCGAGATGGCGCCCTTGCCCTCCAGCCTGGGTAAGAGAGCGAGACTCCGTCTGGAAAAAAAAAAAAAAAAAAAGGAAATGAAACCCCAGTCCTGTACCACCTGGATGGGTACAGTTTTTGGAAAAGAGATTCTAATAATCATTATTATCGATGATTATTATTGTGAGTACAATGTAAGCATCTGAAAGTGCACAAAGCACTTTCACATACATTATCTCATTGGAGCTTTAATATGAGTCTATGAGCTAAGTAAACTTGGGCAGACTTATTGAAAGAGGAGGAAATGAAAGCTCTGAGGGGTCCATATCTTGCCCAAGGCTGCATAGCTAATAATGAGAGCTAGTGAATGGTAGGGCAATGACATCTGATTCCAGGTTCCACTTCTTTTCCTCTCTAATATACTGCTGAGTATCACAGGGTTCAACAGCCCCCAGTTACAGATGGTAGATCTTACCAAAGGGCGTTTGTACCTTTATTTATTGACTTGTTTATAGGGCAGAAAACAGAGAGAGAGACCACACTGCAGAACACACTGAGGTTTACTCTTTTATTCTACCCGCTGTGAAATCAGAGACCTCTCCAGTGCCTAGAAACCCCTCCCTGGCTCTGCATCAGAGAGATGTTTTGGCCTACAGAGGGGCCACCCAGCTCAGTTTGTTAGCCATCAATGAGGACCTATCTCGGGGCTGGCTTTGTGTTCTATTTCAACAGCTCACCCCTTATTTCTTTTTCACTCTTTGTTTGTCTTACATGGACATACCTCTTTTAAAGCTTGGCAATTCTCTTTGATCTTATTTGGTTGACATTTCTGAAGGTGAGCTGTTAGATGCTAGAATTACATGGATTCAATTCCAATGTTATTAATAAAAAATTGTACAGTTGGTAGACTAGAATGCTATTGTGAGAAAAAATAATAAGAATCCAATTTTGTCTTTTTCCTTTATCCCCCAGCCGGGCTACCAACTGATTCAAGTCTGTGAACAGCACTGGGCATGAGAGATAAAACAAATCTGTTAATACCTCATGAAAGATGTTGACTTTGAAATCAAGTGCATCCAATTTCTTTCTTCCTAACAATGGCATTGGTGAGTACAAATGTGGTTTCCTTCATTCCTCTGCCTTTCTCTGTTCCTTCTGCTGAACTTGCACTGAGAATGGCAATTCCTCCTACAACTTTTCCATGCCCTTGATCAGCGAAAGGCTCAGAAAATTGTCAGGTTCTGACAGGGCTCAATTTTATCTTTACTTTATTAAAATAGTGCAATGTAGGGCAATGAGCTCTAATTTGGGAGCCAGAAGAGACTCCTACCTAAGGACGAGTGCTCACTCCTCTTTAAACTTTTTAAATGTCTCTGTGCCTCAATTTCCTTATTTGTAAAATAAGGAGAGTGTACTATACTAGGAATTCCTAACTGCCTTCTTGGGACCAGGGCTGTGGCTTCAAAAGACTCATCTGAGGTTTGTTAAACATATGATTTCTTGACCCCACTGCCAGAGGTTCTCATCTGCAAGTCTTGGGTACACTAAGGAGACCTATATTTTTACTAAGTTCCCTGTGATTCCAGCACATGATCAGGTCTGGAATTCATGGATTAGATAATCTCCAAGTTCAAGGTCTTGCTTCCCCAGTCTTCTCCCACCTCCTAGAGGTCAACACGAGATCTGATTGTTCTCACACCTTCATTTGTTCTCTCCTCACCCTCTTCTCTCTTATCTCCACGTCTAGATCAAACCTACCTCTGCCATGTTTGACTGCATCCTCCTATGCCATGCCAGAATACATCTTGCTCGTTCAGCAGCTCCTTCCTTCTCTACCCTGCCTTCCCTCTAAATTTCTTGAAAGAACGTCAAACATTCATCCTCTAGCAATTGCTCATTTTGGGATTTCATGGAGTCCGCCCACAGAGCTCATACTCTCTGTTCACTTCATGGTGACCCTGCTGCAGTACACAGCCACCTCTCTAAATGCCTCATTCCAGAATTTCCTAATCTTTAACTACAGCCTCCCTAGGCTTTGCCAGCCCAGCTTCCTCGGCCCTTGTGTGCTTATGCATCCCATTCTAATTCTGGTGTCTTCCTGTCTAGCTCCTTAGCTGGCTTAGGAGTAGCTCCTTAGTTGGCTTTTCTTCCTCCACCACAAGCTCCCCCAGTGTACTGCTCCTTTGTGGGGAGGGAGTCTCCCTTTGCACCTCTTCACCTCTCTCTTCATCTCACACAATATCTTTAGGTGATTATACAGGAGCTTCCATTATCCCTCCTGTGCTAATGAGGCAAGACAATAAAGTGTGTAAGAGCTCAGGTTCAAGCACCAAAGAGACCTGGGATTCAAATTCTGGACAATTTTTTAACCTCTTCAAGCCTTAGTTTTTCTCCTTTATCGTGGACCTTATAATAGAATCTGCCTCATAGATTCAGACAATTGCTCACAATGAGACAATGCACTAGACACGTTGAGCCAAGCCTTGGCATATAATAAGTACTCAGTAAGTGTCATTTATGAGCAATGACCTCCCAAATTATATCCTTAGTCTTGCACTACCCCTTTTGAGAGAATATACATGAAAGTATTGGTATACTGGCAAGTCTTTATTTAGCACTTATAATGTGAATCAGTGTAGTAATTATTTTGACCAGATATAAGTGCCAATTAGCAAAGACACCCACCCAAGCATCCATGAGTCAGCCCAGACCCACACTTTCAACTGCCTGTTAGACACTTCTGAGGCATTTCAAACTCAAGATCTCACACACAAACTTAACTCTTCCTCATGGAGCTGCTTTACCAGTTAACCCACACATTGACCCATTCTCCCAACTGCAGAGAATTAGCCGTCCTTCATTCTCCATTTAGGCCACCAAGTCTTCTGACTCCTAATTGCTAAATGGCTGTTACTCCGTCCCCTCTCTATTGTTGTTGCTGCTATCATTCTAATCTAGACACTCATGCTTCACCTGAAGTATTGCAGGAGACTCCAGCCTTACTCCCATCTAATACATCTTCCACACCCTTGCCACAGCAATTTTTCCTAAAACAACTGAAAATGCCATTCCCTACTCAAAAAACATGAACCCTCTCCCTCTGCCTCTCCGTCGTCTCCGTCTCCCGCTTTCCACGGTCTCCCTCTGTTGCCGAGGCTGGACTGTACTGCCGCGATCTCGGCTCACTGCAACCTCCCTGCCTGATTCTCCTGCCTCAGCCTGCTGAGTGCCTGGGATTGCAGGCGCGTGCCGCCAGGCCTGACTGGTTTTTGTATTTTTTGGTGGAGACGGGGTTTCGCCCTGTTGGCCGGGCTGGTCTCCAGCTCCTGACCTCGAGTGATCTGCCCGCCTCGGCCTCCCGAGGTGCCGGGATTGCAGACGGAGTCTCACTTACACAGTGCTCAATGTCGCCCAGGCTGGAGTGTAGTGGCGTGATCTCGGCTTGCTACAACCTCCACCTCCCAGCCGCCTGCCTTGGCCTCCCAAAGTGCTGAGATTGCAGCCTCTGCCCGGCCGCCACCCCATCTAGGAAGTGAGGAGCGTCTCTGCCTGGCCGCCCATCGTCTGGGATGTGAGGAGCCCCTCTGCCCGGCCGCCCAGCCTGGGAAGTGAGGAGCGCCTCTTCCCGGCCGCCGCCCCGTCTAGGAAGTGAGGAGCATCTCTGCCTGGCCGCCCATCATCTGGGATGTAGGGAGTGCCTCTGCCCCGCCGCCCCGTCTGGGATGTGAGGAGCGCCTCTGCCCGGCCGCCCCGTCTGGGAGGTGAGGAGCATCTCTACCCGGCCACCACCCCATCTGGGAGGTGAGGAGCGCCTCTGCCCGGCTGCCCCGTATGAGAAGTGAGGAGCCCCTCCGCCCGGCAGCCGCCCCGTCTGGGAAGTGAGGAGAGTCTCCACCCGGCTGCCCCATCTGGGAGGTAGGGGGCACCCCCGCCCGGCAGCCGCCCCGTCTGGGAGGTGTACCCAACAGCTCATTGAGAAGGGGCCATGATGACGATGGCGGTTTTGTTGAACAGAAAAGGGGGAAATGTGGGGAAAAGAAAGAGAGATCAGATTGTTACTGTGTCTGTGTAGAAAGAAGTAGACATAGGAGACTCCATTTTGTTCTTTACTAAGAAAAATTCTTCTGCCTTGGGATGCTGTTAATCTATAACCTTACCCCCAAGCCCCTGCTCTCTGAAACATGTGCTGTGTCAACTCAGGGTTAAATGGATTAAGGGCGGTGCAAGATGTGCTTTGTTAAACAGATGCTTGAAGGCAGCATGCTCGTTAAGAGTCATCACCACTCCCTAATCTCAAGTACCCAGGGACACAAACACTGCGGAAGGCCGCAGGGTCCTCTGCCTAGGAAAACCAGAGACCTTTGTTCACATGTTTATCTGCTGACCTTCTCTCCACTATTGTCCTATGACCCTGCCAAATCCCCCTCTCCGAGAAACACCCAAGAATGATCAATAAATACTAAAAAAAATTAAAAAAATGAACAATTCCTCATGACTCTGAAATAAAATATAAATTCTTTAGTCGATCATACAAGCCCCTTAAGAACCTAGACCATTACCAGCTTCCTATCTCTATTTTTGGATTAAACCAGACTGTTAAATAATCACCAAAGACATCATGCTTGTATTACATTTCTCCGTCTTTGCTCATGCTGTTCTTCCATCCTGTTGGCTCTTCCCTCCTTAATAGCATTTTCTCCTTGAAGAACCAATTCAAAGGTCAATGAGTAAAATCAGCCCTGACCCTGGTCCTCATTTTCATTTTCACCTCTTCCATCTTTGGGCCCCAGTGTGCCTTTTCTTACCTCTATCTCAAAGCAGAGCTCACTAAAGGATGGTTTGTTATGCACAAGCCTGTCCATCCCACTAAAGTGTGATCCCTTTAAAGAAGAAGGCCATGACTTACTCATTTTTACATGTCCTATGCCACATAAAGTGCAACCAAATATATTACCTACTGTCATATATCTAAACCAAATGCCAGAGTTACAAGGTACAGATTTAAAATTCCATGTGCAACCACATATCCCTCTGAGCATGCCTTAACTCCATGGAAAGGCCAGCTTGTTTTGGACCTTGAAGCTTCAACTGGCTTTGCAAAATAAAAAGATACAGTAATAGAAAAAAATGTTTCTAAACTCATCCCTAACCCACTCCCCCATATTCTTGTCCCTGGGACCAAGAAATAACTACTGTTAAGTATCGCAAGGAAAGAAAAATGTTGTTATTGTCAGAGCAATCTTCATTTTTCCCAATTTGAATATTGACAGCAAAGTCCTCGTGTGTTTTTCAGTGCATTCAACTTGAATTTGTGCTACAGTTTTTGACTTCCTGCTGATTACAGGTATAATGATTCATTTGGGGCACAAGAAAAGTGAAACCTCATATGTAAATAAGGAACCTGCCTTCAAGAAAGCTCTGTTGAGAAACAGTGGCTGCCCATCTGGGAACAAAGACCAACTCTGCACGGGGTCAGGACCACTGGCCTCTTGCCTTAGCTCTCTTCCTAACTCACTACAAGCCTTCTCTCAATTCCCTGGCCTTCTCTGGGTCTCAATTTCCTATCTTCTTAGTTTCCCAGCATTCTACAGACAAGACTTCCCCCCTACATCCCCTGGAAGTTCATAGACACAAGTTTAAAATCCCTGAAATGCGGATGTGAGTCCCAGTTCTCCCTCTGTCTAGCTGTGTGACCTTGGATAAATCATTCTACATCTCTGAGCCCTATATCTGGCATCCAGAGAGTGGAGATTAGAATTTGCCACACTAAGTAGGGCTTCTTTGGTTGATATCTGCAGACCAGCCACCTAAAAATTGGAGGAGAGCATTGAACTAGAAGACATGTACACAGAGTTGCTTTGTAAAATAAATAACACAAACCTGGAAGCATTAGAATGGCAAACTGGACCACAGCTCTTTTTCAGCTGTAACTTGATTCTCAAGCCTAAATTATAGAGTGGAGCCTCAATAGATTGAGCAACATGAGAACAAAACAACTGAGAGGCAGTTGAAAATTAAAGATATTCACCCACAGGAATAAAACCAATAATTGAGAGTTCTACATAGCCATCTAAACAGAGGTCAGTGAAAAGCTTTCAGAATCTCAGATTTATTCTAATACTGAGAATTACTACTATGAGATTGTAAAAGCTTTTGTAACTTCTCTGGGTTTGTGATTTTGTCACTCCTCAGCTGTTTCCCTAGTGTGATTAGTAGTTTAAAAAAATCATAAAACTGGAAAGTATCTATATACTGATCAGGAACAGCCAGTTATTTGGGAGCTGGCAGAAGTGGCCTCTTGTTACCCTGCTGGACTGCCTGAAAATGAAGGTTTGTGATCTGGAATAGCAGCAGAGATGTAAAGAAAAGAAAAAAATAGAAGTTCTTCCTAATGACTATTATTTACAAGCCAGTAATTATGTACTAGGCATTTTTCTCATGCATTTTCTCACTTAACAGCCCTATACAATAAGTACTACCGTTATCCCCATTTTACATTTTGAGGAAACTGAGATTCAGAAAAGGATAGAACAAATAACTCACCTGAGATTCTACAAGAAAAACAAAAATCTCACAAAATGGCAGAGGTAGGATATAATCAGGAGCCTTTGCACTCCCTGACTCAACTCTTTCAACTCCCACCTAATGCCACCCAACAGGCTATGAGAAGAAAGGACTAGAAAGAAAGGATAGGGATTTGGGATGTTATAGAGGCAGTGAACATGAGCCTGAGATACAATCAGTAGGGAACTTAATCCCAGCCCACCTGATTTTATTTAGGAAATGGCATAGTTATGTAGCTTTTTATGCCCTGGCTTTGGAGTCCCTACCCAGTAGAGAGGAGGCCTTTTGGGAGAAACTGGGGGCCATTTCACACATTCCTGCTACCAAGCAAGAAATAAAATTAATCCCAGCTGGGTGCAGAGGCTCACACCTGTAATCCCAGCACTTTGGGAGGCCAAGGCAGGTGGATCACAAGGTCAGGAGTTTGAGACCAGCCTGGCCAATATGGTGAAACCCCGTCTCTACTAAAAATACAAAAAAAAAAAAAAATTAGCCAGGTGTGGTGGTGGGTGCCTGTAGTCCCAGTTACTCAGGAGGCTGAGGCAGGAAAATCGCTTGAACCCAGGAGGCAAAGCTTGCAGTGAGCCGAGACCATGCCACTGCACTCCAGCCTGGGTGACAGAGGTGAGACTCTGTCTCAAAAAAAAAAAAAGAAATAAAGAAATAAAATTAATCCCATAGGCGAAAAGTATGATCAGAGTTCCTAGGTATCTTGAGGTATGAGTTTGTATCACTCTAATAGATTTGGGGGGAGTGGGACCTATGTCATATTTTCATGTGAGTTGTTACTGTTGTTTTATCTGTTTGTGCTTGTACTTGTTACTGAATTATAGCTCCTAGCCATTTGGGGTTTTGTAGAATATTTAGAGAATTGAATGAAAGTCCTGGACTTTGCCCCAGAAAAATGTGTGTGCACACATACATACAATTATGCATATCATTTCAGGAGGGTCATGCCCTTCCTGCAAGAAGCTCATCTACAGATATCCCCCATCCAGGAGTCCTCAGACACAGTTTAAAATCTCTAAAAGCTGGGTATGACTCCTAGCTCTCCCGCTGTTCAGCTGTGTGATCTTTTTTTTTTTTTTTTTTTTTTTTTTTGAGACGGAGTCTCGTTATTTCCCCCAGGCTGGAGTACAGTGGCGCGATCTCGGCTCACTGCAAGCTCCGCCTCCTGGGTTCACACCATTCTCCTGCCTCAGCCTCCCAAGTAGCTGGGACTACAGGTGCCCGCCACCACGCCTGGCTAATTTTTTGTATTTTTTAGTAGAGACGGGGTTTCACTGTGTTAGCCAGGATGGTCTCGATCTCCTGATTTCGTGATCCGCCCACCTCGGCCTCCCAAAGTGCTGGGATTACAGGCTTGAGCCACTGTGCCTGGCCTCCCAAAGTGCTGGGATTACAGGCTTGAGCCACTGTGCCTGGCCAGCTGTGTGATCTTAAGACAAGTCACTCTACATCTCTGAGCTCCATTCTAGGCAGCCATAAAGTGGAGGCAAGAAATTGCTACCCTGGGTCATGCTAATTTTAGAGAACAATGATTGACAAGACCCTCTTTAAGGATTTAAATCAGCCCACAACCACAGAAGCTTTGCCATCGAAAATTACATGAAAAAATGGAGAGGGAATTGTGGATTGTTAGCCAGAGAAAGAAAAACCCACAGAAGCCTGTAGGCCCTCTGAAGTGGGTTGGAAGGGTTTTCATGTGAATGAAGATGTAGTCTTATTCTGTAAGAGGCACCAGAGGGGAGACCAGGAGGAAGCAGAGTGGCACGGTGTTAGAGTGATCTGGAGTTGAAAAGACGTGGTTAAATCCAGGTCGGCCATTTACCGGACAAGTTTTTAATCTTCAAGGGCTCTAAAATGGAGGTGAGGAGATAATGGTACCCATTTCTTAGGAATGTGGGGACAATCAAAAGAGATAATACATGCAACGTGCATGGTGTTAAAACAAGGCAGACCTACAATGGTAGGTGTTAGCTTCCCTAATAAAGTCTCTGACCCTCCATTTCTTTACCTATAAAATGAGGATAATATCTGTAGCTGCCTAGGAGGTTGTTGTGAGATTCAAATAAGAAAATTAATGCAAAAACGCTGAGCACAGTACCTAATGCATAGGTAAATCCTCGGTGGATGTTAACCACAATTATCACTATGAATGTTTCATTACCAAAAAAACAGTGGGAAGAGAGGAAGTAGGGAGTGAAAGAATTTTATTTCTATCTGTTTTCATGTACCCCTAACAAAAAAGCATGCGTGTAATGTTTGTGTAATTTAAAATAAATGAATAGTAGTTAAAAGAATATGACTTTTAATTTCAGATTAGAGAACCAGATAAAATAAAATGATACCTAAAGAGTGTAGAATCAGAGCTAGACATCCCAGACCTGACACCTGAGAGCTGTGTGGCCTTGGGAGATTTTGATAAAACAAAAATATGAGCATCTGCTAACGAGGGATTAAATGAAGTGGCCCAGGAAGATGGCTTGACACAGACCTAGAACATAACACGTGCGCAATAAACCCTGCTTTTCATCCCTAATGACTAAATGTTCCATAGAGACTGACTGGCCTTCTTACACCAAGCTCCTCTTCACCAGAGCAGCAAGTGTTCTCTCTTCTGGGATTTGGTCAAGGAGGAGAGAAATGAAAACTATAAAGAAGCTTATGGAAGGTAAACATCACATGACCTCTTATTCCCTTGTAATTCAATGTAAAATAGTCCAAGATTTAAATGGAATAAAGGATGATGGTGTTAGAATGTTCTCCCTACTTTCCATCACCTTTCTAGTCACTGTCATCTCTTTCTTTGTCAGAAAATAGTCCCCCACCCTTACCCCATCCCATAGACAAAGAGGGTTTGGATCTTTGGCACCCCATTTCCCTTAAATTATCAACTCCTAATCCAGATTTTCTGTTTTCCCACTGTATGAGTTAGTGCAGGCCAAAGCGTCTTAATATCAGGGCCCCCTCGCATTTCATCCTAAGTTACAGTCTTACTTCAAAACCTATCCCCTTCCATTCACTCTTGTCTGTTTCCTCCAACTCTGAGCTTTTTTTTGTTTGTTTGTTTTGAGACGGAGTCTCACTCGTCGCCCAGGCTGGAGTGCAGTGGCACAATCTCGGCTCACTGCAAGCTCCGCCTCCCAGGTTCACGCCATTCTCCTGCCTCAGCCTCTCGAGTAGCTAGGACTACGGGCGCCCGCCACCACGTCCACCTAATTTTTTTGTATTTTTTTTTTTTTAGTAGAGACGGGGTTTCACCATGTTAGACAGGATGGTCTTGATCTCCTGACCTCGTGATCCGCCTGCCTCGGCCTCCCAAGGTGCTGTAATTATAGGCATGAGCCACCGCGCCTGGCCTCTTCTGAATTTTTGAGAGTGATGCTACATTGTCTCCTTCACAGAATTAAATGATGCCTGTTTCCTGGCTAATAAACATATAGAAAGGAACTCAAACTCTCTGTTAATCAGGATAAGAAAAGAACAAGATGGGCCGGGCAAGGTGGCTCATGCCTGCAACCCCAGCACTTTGGGAGGCCGAGGCAGGTGGATCACCTGAGCTTAGGAGTTCAAGACCAACCAGGGCAACGTGGTGAAACCCCATCTCTACTAAAATACAAAAAATTAGCCAGGCATGGTGGCATGTGCCTGTAGTCCCAGCTACTCAGAAGGCTAAGGCACGAGAATCACTTGAGCCCAGGAGGCAGAGGTTGCAGTGAGCGGAGATCGCACCACTGCACTCCAACTTGGGCTACAGAGTGAGGCTCTGTCTCAAAAAAAAAATAAAATAGAAAGAAAGAAAAAAGAAAAGAACAAGATGACATTTTCTTCTCATAAGATTGAAAAAGTTAAACAAACAGTCATATCAAGTGTAGGGAGAATATGGGAAAGCAGATACTCTGTGGGTGGAAAAATAAATTGGCACAGCCTTTTCTGAGAACATTTTTCTACAAGCTATTAAATTTAAAGGTGCACATTTCTTTTAACCAGCAATTTTTACTTTTTGGTCACCATCCTAACTACAGAAACACTTGCATGAATGGTTAGGGAGGTATGCATGTGCTAGGATGTTCACTGCAGCACTGTTTATAAAAAGGAAACATTGAAACAACCTAAATGCCCCTCAATAGACAAGAAATACTGTGAGTACTCATAATGTGAAATATTACACAGCAATTTGACATGTATCTACATAGATTAAAGAAGAAAGTGGTCCAATATATAACAATAAGTGAATAAAACAAAATGCAGAATGCTGCATATAGCATGATAACATTGTCTAAAGACATGCACAAAACTGAACTATGTATTTCTATAGCTATGTAGACACATAAGGGAATGGAAAAAAGACCTAGAATGATCATCTTCAACTAATAACAGTTATTATCTCATGGCAGGGGGCTGGGATTGAAGACAAGGAGTGAAAGAGAATTTTATTTCTATCTGTTTCTATGCACTCCTAACAAAAATGCATTAGTGTGACATTTGTGTAATTTAAAATAAAAAAACAAAATTTGAAATATGAATAGGTGGTTTTCCTACTATCATTCCTGGCATAAGGTCAGCAGTTGCTAAGGAAGAAGGAAGATTTCAACAGAGGGACTTCAGAGATGAGCAGAGGAGAGGAGAAGCCAGCACTGATGCTTGCAGCATGTTTTGCTTCCACTCCAGCTGGCGGGAGGATGTGGTACGTGGCCACGAAGGAGCCAGAATAGTTGAATCCCAAGACAACCAGATAGATGACAGATTGTTTCCACATCCAAAGACAAGCCACTCATGAGAACACAGCCCCAGGCCAGGCAAGCTGGCTCTAGAACTTTGAGAGGCCAAGGCAGGAGGATCACTTGAGGCCAAGAGATTTGAGACCAGCCTGGGCAACATGGTGAGAACTCATCTCTACAAAAAAAAAAAAAAGCAAGATTCTGTCTAAAAAAAATAATAATAATAATTAATAAAGTAAAATAAAATAAAAAAAATCACAGCCCCCCTACCTCCAGGCTGAGGAGAAGACACAGAATCACTCGTTTTCCACATTGACACGTGGGATGTTGATGGGAGATCCCAAACTTTGGACTCTTTGGAAAAACAAAGGAAAACAGAAAACAGACTTAGGTAAATGCTTGTCTTCCTGCTTTTGGTACTCAACTGTCCCTATACTGACTTCTGTCATTGAAAACAAAACAAAACAAAACAAAGTATGTGCCAGACACTGTCTTAAGTGACCTACATGCATTCTGTCATTTAATCCTTAGAAAGGTGTAAACACAGGATAGGTGTTATTCCCAGTTTACCAGTGAGGAAACTAAGGCCCAGAGAGATTAGGTAGCTTAGCTAAAATCACACAGCAGGAAAGAGGCAGGATTTGTGTTTAGGCAAAGTGAAGCCGGAGCACCCACATAAATCACTCTATCATACTGTGTCCCTGTGCTGTACTATCACAAACGCTGACTTACTTACCTTACAGATGTCTGTTTTCCCTTGCTAGATTATTAGCTCCATTATGGTAACACCTCCCATGTGAGTGCTTACAAATGTGCCAGGCACTCTTCTAAGTCCTCACATGCATGAAGTTATACAACTCTACAACAAACCTAGGAATATAAACTGAGGGCAGGGACCCCCAGCAAAAAGGAATAGAACTGGGAGTCAACCCCAAGTGCTCCTCTCTAGCACCCCAATCGTGATGCCAATCGTGTCTTATTTCAGGGTATACCCCGTCCCAGGCCCCAGTAACTACCTAAAGAAGTTTTGATGGGTAGATGACAGGATAAATAATGAAAGAGTGACCAATTCTCGCTCCACTCTAAAAACCCAATGCATTGAATTAGTAAACCCCTCAGCAGTCTCAACAAAGAAGATTTGCGTGCATGAAATCAGAATGAGACAGCTAAGTGCTACTTAGCCTAGAGTCTAAAAGCAAACATCCTAGAGATGTACCATGAGCTACTGCAGAGAATTGCACCAATCAAGAAGGGTCTTCCTTTTCCCTACCTCCCTCCTCCTCCTCCTCCTCCTCCTCCTCCTCCTCCTTCTCTCTCTCTCTCTCTCAGCCACAAGAAGGAACAAACTACAAAGGCTGCCTTGAGGCCAATTTGCCACAGGGGGATTTTATGGCACAAAAGACCCAAAGAGGTTGTCAGTCATCTGATTCAGCAAGACTTTTAGTAATTTCCTTCTCCTCAGTACAAAGGGTGAGGGAGGACAGAGAGAGTGAGTGTCTGCACACCTTTGGATGTCAGCAGGACAGTGTCAGCAGAAGTAGACTCAACACTACTCCAGGAATCACTGGGGAGGACAGTTTCTGATTCTGGAAGAGAAAAAAGTTGGATAAAAGGCAGCTGAAAAGTAGTTATTGTGTTTGTGGTGGGTGGTGGGATTTGGGATTATCTTTTTTTAATTAATTAATTTTTTGAAACAGAGTCTTGCTCTATCACCCAGGCTGGAGTGCAGTGGCACAATCTCTGCTCACTTCTGTCTCCACCTCCCAGATTCAAGAGATTCTCCTGCCTCAGCCTCCCGAGCAGCTGGGATTACAGGTACCCGCCACCATGCCTGGCTAATTTTGTATTTTTAGTAAGAGATGGGGTTTCACCATGTTGGCTGGGATGGTCTCAAACCCCTGACCTTAAGTGATCCACCTGCTTTGGTCTCCCAAAGTGCTGAGGTTACAGGCATGAGCCACCACACCTGGCCACTTTTTTTTTCTAATTTATCTAATTCTTTAAAAGACAGAGTCTCACTATGTTGTCCAGGCTGGAACTGACTTCTTGGGCTCAAGGGATCCTCCTGCGTCAACCTCTGAAGTAGCTGGGATTACAGGCTCACATCACCATGTTCCAGGGTATTTTTATGGCTGTCTTTGTGCTTCTTTATATATTTCAAGTTTTCTTCAAGGATTGCAAGTAATTTTTAGAATCAAGGAATAGAAACTACAAATGTTGTGTTTTATGGTAGTTATTTATTTTAAAACCCAAAGGAATAAAAAAATACATACAAGAATTGATTGGTTTAGGGTTCATGGATTTTAGGTACTATTCAGAGTATAATAGAATTAGCCAATTCAATTTTGTAAAGCTATTGGAATTTTCCAAGACTTATTGAGGCAGCTGAAATATCTAAGAAAGCCTTCAAGCTATCTCATGATTGCTTTCCCAATTCTTACTGCAGAATCAGAGTCTGACATAGAGTGACAGCCTTGACAAGCCCCCCTAAGCAATGGAGCAAGTCACTCAGTGAGAGGTACAAGTTGCAGGGTCAAGAATTCCAGGGGAAAAAAAAGAAACAAAGAAAAGAAACAAGGCTAGAACTAGTTCACCATCAGGGGATATTTTAAAGGCGTCTGGAGGTCTTTCCTCAACCAATCTCTAATGCTCAGGCAGCGACTTAACCCCTGAAAGAATGGAACTGGAGTCTGACCAGGAGTGACCTTTCCTGGTTCTTCAATAAACATCTCTTGCAAGACTCCTTAGAGGTCAATTGGAGAACCCAAAATGCTGACTTTTCAAAAACACTAAGGAAAAGGCAGAAGAAAAGAGAAACCATAAAAAAAGAAAAGGAACAATTTGGTGAAAACACCTCCTCGTACACACACACACACACACACACACCCATGCCTACTGTGAAGGAATAAATTGTGTCCCCTCAAAATTCATATGTTGAAGTGCTAACCCTCAGTACCTTGGATGCAAATGTATATTGAGATAGCGCCTTTAAAGAGATAGTTAAGGTAAAATGAGGTCATATCAATGGACCCTAATCCAATACAACTGGTATTCTTACAAGAGATTAGGACATGGAAGGACAGGCAGAGGGAAGACAGCCACCTGCAAGCCAAGGAGAGAGGACTTAGAAGAAACCAACCCTGCTGACACCTTGACCCAGGACTTGTAGAACCCAGAGCAGTGCGAAAATAAATTTCTGTTGTTTAAGCTACCCAGTCTGCGGTGTTTGTTTGATAGGCCTAGCAGACTAATATACGCATGTGTACACGCACACACTCACACACACACTGAGAGAGAGCAAGTCACTGGGCTGCCTCATTCAGTGAGACAGCACTGTTCTAAGAAACCCAAGATACATCTGCGTACCTGCAGTGAGGATGGGCCCTTCCTTAGAAGGCTCGGGAGTCAGAAGACCTGTGGCTTCCTCCGGAAGGGTGCTTGGGGTTAGTGAAAGGCACGTGTTTGCTGTTGTGAAGACGGCAATGGTTGTCATCTGGAGTGGTGTTCCGGTTGTGAGATCGGGTGTGGTCACGACTGTTGTTGGAAGTGCAGCTGGGGTTGTTGTCATTTGTCGGGTGGTGGTGGGGCTTGTTGTTGTTGTTCTGCGTGTGGTGGTGGTTGCTGTTCTGTGCGTGGTTGTTGAGGCTGTAACCAACAACAGACATGTTTGGCACCAAGCGGAGATGGAGGAAAAAGAAAATAATGCAAGTATATCTGGGACCCATCCATTTCTGTTGTCCTCACCTGGTCCACTGGCCTGGACGATTGTAATGCCCAATAAAATTGTGTTTCCTGCCCCCACCCTGACATGTTCCTTCCAATCTATTCTTCACACATTGGCTACATAATCATTTAAAATGTTGGCCAGGTGCAGTGGTTCACACCTGTAATCCCAGCACTTTGGGAGGCCGAGGCGGGTGGATCATTTGAGGTCAGGAGTTTGAGACCAGCCTGGTCAACATGGTGAAACCCTGCCTCTACTAAAAATACAAAAATTAGCTGGGCCTGGTGGTGTGTGCCTGTAATCCTAGCTACTCAGGAGGCTGAGGCAGGAGAATCACTTCAACCTGGGAGGCAGAGGTTGCAGTGAGCTGAGATAGTGCCACTGCATTCCAGCCTGGGCAACAGAGTAAGACTCCATCTCAAAAAAAAAAAAAAAAGTCAAATATAATTATGTCCATCCCCTGCCTAAATCTTTTACTGGGTCCTCCTTGCCCTTAAGATAAAGAACCCAGTCCTGCACCTTGGCCTGCAAGCTACAAGCCTCCATTTGACCCCATCTTGCCTTTCTTTCCAATCTCATATCTCCACCCGCCCCCGCTATCACTTTTTCCCACCCAACTGGCATTTATTTAGCTCTTTGAATATATCAGCAACCTTCCCGCTGCACGAACCTTTGTACCTGCTGCTTCCTATTCTCATTCTTCATGAGGCTGACTTCTACTTCACTCTCATGTCTCAGCTAAAGGTTACTTCTGCAAGGAGGCCATGTAGATTCTCCAATAATGATTAGGCTTTATTATATGCTCTCATAGTTTACCTCCACAGCCTTTATTGCATTTCATAACTGCACATTTATTTCATTGCTATTGTTTAAAGCCTGTTTATCCCGTTAAACTTTAAGCACCATGAGGGAAAATCTGACATTTATTTTGTTCTATGCTACAAATCCAATAACTATCACAGTGTCTTGCATATAGTAGGTGCTCCAAAAACATTGCATGAATACATAAATCAGTGCATCAAAAGTGAGCTCAAAGTATGCAACCTAGAGTGAGAATGTGGTCTCTTTCAGACAGTAAAGATTGGTTCATACCAACACCACTCACCTCCTACATATCTGATTTGAGCTTCATTAGCTACCGTTTATTCGACAGATCTCATCCTCCCTAGAATATGCCAAATTTCCATTGACTCTAATGGACCAGAAAGACACCATTTGTTCCAAGTGAACTTCGAAATGACCTCATAATATATAAAGGTCAAGTATTTTATAAAATAATAGCTGGTTATACCCAACTTGAAAAGAGAAGACTTGAGTGGGAGTCATCTAACTTCAATAAACCTCATTTCTCTCTTCTGCAAAATTGGAATAGCTTTTATCTCAGAATGTTGCCTTAAGAGAAAGACATACTAATATGTATGTAAGTTCTTAAATTAGAAGCATTTACATCAGTTGGCCTCAAATTTTAGAGTGCGTTAGAGTCACCTGAAAACTTGAGAATATAGGCCGGGTGTGGTGGCTCATGCTTGTAATCCCAGCACTTTGGGAGGCCGAGGTGGGTGGATCACTTAAGGTCAGGAGTTCAAGACCAGCCTGGCCAACATGGTGAAATCTCATCTCTACTAAAAATACAAAATTAGCTGGGTGTGGTGCCAGGCACCTGTAATCCCAGCTACTCAGGAGGCTGAGGCAGGAGAATCGCTTGAACCGGGAAGTAGAGGTTGCAGTGAGATGAAATTGTGCCACTGTACTCCAGCCTGGGCAACAAGAGCAAAACTCTGTCCAAAAAAAAAAAAAAAAAAAAAAGAGAGAGAGAGAGAATATAGATGTCTAGATTCCTGTCTTCCAAAGTGCCCATCCAGTTAGGAATAGAGCCCAAGGATCCTCCAGGTGACACTGATGCAGGTGGAATACAGAGCTCATTTTGGGAAGCTCTATACTGGACAAGCCCTAAAGGTAATTATTGTTAGCATTATTCAACCATACGCTCAATGCAGCTCAAATTTTTGAAGTCCCACCATATCCCAGATTTCATCAAAAGCAACTGATAGTAACAGAAGAAAAAGCTCCTGAAAACTGCTATGACTGTGTCCAAATCTCATGCCCTTTCTCCCCTGCCAGAAGTGGCAAACTGTTGGTTTACTGGTTGAAGGTGACCCCTGAATACATTTTATTTAGTTCATGCAGTTTTTTTATTATTTTGAAATCTGGCAACATGTAAAAAATCAACAGAGTTCACATAAAACTTGATAGGTCTGAAAACACTGGACCCAAATATCTGCAAGGTGGTAATCCCCTAGATACGTAGCAGCTGCCTTTTCAGATTGACCCTGCAATTCACGAGTTCCCTTTCCACCTTCCACTCATTTCTGTGGCTGCTTTTGTATTTACTTGCCTACTTCAAACCACGGCACTTTATTTCAAATTCAATCTTCCCACTCACTGTGAAAGCAACTCTAACCTCTTCACCACCATCCACTGATCCCATTGTCCATTAACCACTGAATCTCTCCTTCCGCAGGCATGAGGCCCTTCGTGTGCTTACCTCTCTGTAGATTCAGGCGCACGTTTATCTTTACATCGTTGAACCAGCCAGGCACTTCTATGCGGCAGCAGTACACACCGCTGTCACTTTCACTGGGGTTTAAGATGGTCAAGGAGACATCACCTCTCGGGATAGTCCCCTGAAGTCTATATTTTGCTGACTTTCTTGAGGTCACCCTCATTCCATCAGTGCGGATGAGCGCCTCCTTGCAACCGGAGTAGGGGCACTGGTCTTTCCCCCAGCACATGCTGTTGCTGTTGTGAGACCAGGATGAGTACAGACAGGGCAAAGTCACCCGGTGACCCAAAACCTCCGTCACAACAGTCTCTGAAGTGACTGGTGCTGCAAGGAAAAATGCGAAATTTAGGTCATGCAGTACTGAAATCTCTCAAACATGCTACACAGTTTTTGTGCTAATAGATGCTTCCAGGAAGATGAAGAAAGCTGTAGTCTATGTTTCTTTTCTTTCCTTTTTTTTTTTGATACAGGGTCTTGCTTTGTCACCCAGGCTGGAGTGCAGTGGTACAATCATGGCTCACTACAGCCTCAACCTCCCAGACTCAATCCATCCTCCCACCTCAGCCTTCTGAGTAGCTGGGACCACAGGTGCGTGGCAGCATTCCCAGCTAATTTTTGTGTTGCTTTTGTACAGACAGGGTTTCCCATGTTGCCAGGCTTATGTGGTTCTTTAGCGTAAGTTTTGATGTGCCTTGCTTACTCCTGTGCTCCTAACTCCACATGATTCTATCCCCTAAGTGGAACCAGGTGACCAGTTGAGTCTCTAACCGTGGCAAGACCTTTTTGCTGATTTAAATACTCTGATTTGAGTTCCATTCGCTAACCAATAAACTCTTACATGAAAAATCCTGACCTTGAAACCCAATTTCACTTATTCATATAATCAGGTGGGCTGTTTTCCACAAATAGATATTGTGGACTACAGACTTAAAAGCTTCAAATGGCTGGGCATGGTGGCTCACGCCTGTAATCCCAGTACTTTGGGAGGCCGAGGCAGGCGGATCACAAGGTCAGGAGATCGAGACCATCCTGGCTAACACAGTGAAACCCCGTCTCTACTAAAAATACAAAAAATTAGCCGGGCGTGGTGGCAGGCGCCTATGGTCCCAGCTACTCAGGAGGCTGAGGCAGGAGAATGGCATGTACCAGGGAGGCAGAGCTTGCAGTGAGCCGAGATCATGCCACTGCACTCCAGCCTGGGCAACAAAGTGAGACTCCATCTCAAAAAAAAAAAAGCTTCAAATGGGTCTCCCAATCCAGAGAGTGCTATGAGAGAAAGATAGGCTGTAAAACTGTATTCCATTTCCTTCTCTCCTTTCAGTGGAAATTACTAGAATTGGAAATTACTTAGACTATTTGTTTGCTGTTAGATAATATGAAGTTAGGTGGAGTTCATGGACTATCTATTTATTTTTAATGGACAAATAATAATTGTATATATTTATAGGATACAATGTGATGTTCTGATATACATATACATCGTAGAAAGATTCAATCAAGCTAATTAACATATCCATCGCCTTACCAACTTAACAAACTTTTGTGGCAAGAACATTAAAAATCTATTAGCAATTTTGAAATATACAACACATGATTAATTACTGTGGTCACCATGCAGTGCAATAGATCAGTACAACTTAGTCCTTCAGTCTAACTGAAACTTTGTACCTTTTAATCAACATCTCCCCTTTCACTATCCCACCCACTCACCCACCCCCCAGCCTCTGGTAACCACCTTTATACTGTTTCTATGGGATTAACTTTTTTAGATTCTGCATATAAGTGAGATCTTCTATTTGTCTTTCTATGCCTCGCTTATTTCACTTTGCAGCATGTATTTTTTGTTAACGTTAGAGCTAGAAGGAACCACAGGAATTATCTAAAATGGCAGCTGTGCCATAAAAAAAAAATGCTGGAGGGTAAGGTTTACTGCATCAGCTACTTGAGATGGAATGTTTCTCCCTTTCTAAAATGAAGCATGAGTGTGTTTTAACCACTTCTCCTCATTAGCATGACCTAGGGAGCTTGTTAAAAATACATAGTTCATTGCCCAAACCTGAGCCTGAATCCCTAAGGCCAAGGCCAGTGCATATGTACTTGAATCAAGTTCTCCAGGCCACTTTGATGTAGTTGACTACCCATCCAGTGTTTGAGAACCACTAGACAAGCTCCTCTAAGATTCCTTTCATCTCTGACAATCTGCAAAACATTTTCACTGTTAAAAATGTTAAGCCCATTGGTTTAATTGTGCATCAGAGATTATTCTAAACCATTTCCTTCCCCAAAAATGCTATTGAAGTGAAAGCCAGGCAGGCTGTAGATCTCAGATTGTTGAGACCACACCCTGCTCCCCCTTGGGTACCCAGGTCCATGCTTGTTGTTTTCTCTTAGGCACCCTCCTGTGAGATTCTCCATTCACTAACTTTGCTTATTTAGTTGGCTAAGTTATAGAAGGCATGGCCAGCAGTGCTGTGCTCCTCCTTGACTCAGCTGGCAGTAACATCCAGGCATTCCTCTCTCTAGGAGAAGGTGGACATGAGCCCTAAGAGTCACCCATATGGTAAGCAAGACTATGTGCTTCTGGGGTTTTTCACAGTTGGCTTTTTTTTTTTTTTTAAAGACAGTCTCATTCTGTCGCCTAGGCTGAAGCACAGTGGCGCGATCTCAGCTCACTGCAACCTCTGGTTGTTCTTATGATAAAAGATGATTCCCAATTTGGACCAGCCTGCAGCCTTCCCCGAATTTAGTCTCTTCACTTTGCCAAGTGGAAATGTTTCCCAGATTATAAATGAAGTGGGAGGCTGGGCACAGTGGCTTATGCCTGTAATCCCAGCACTTTAGGAGGCAGAGGCTGGCAGATCACCTGAGGTCAGGAGTTCAAGACCAGCCTGGCCAACATGGTAAAACCCCATATCTACAAAAATACAAAAATTAGCTGGGCATGATGGTGGGTGCCTGTAATCCCAGCTACTTGGGAGGCTGAGGCAGGAGAATCGCTGGAACCCAGGAGGCGGAGGTTGCAGTGAGGCGAGATTGTGCCATTGCACTCCAGCCTGGGTGACAGAGCGAGAGTCTATCTCAAAAAAAAAAAAGAAAAAAGAAAAAGAAAAAAGTCAATGCAGTGGGAAGTCCATTTTGCCTCCCATGAATCCAGGAGAAAAATAAGAAGTTTATTGTCATCACCCTCAGCTATGTTAACAACATAGAACACATGCACCTAAAATTAATAACTACTAAAATATGAACTTAGCCAAGTGTGGTGGCACATGCCTACAGTCCCAGCTACTCAGGAGGCTGAGGCAGGAGGATGGCTTGAACCCAGGAGTTTGAGGCTGCAGTGAGCTATGATCATATCACTGGACTCCAGCCTGGGCAACAAAGCAAGACTGCCTCAAATTCAAGAAAGAAAAAAGAAAAAATAGATGATCTTGTTCCTATGAATATTTGGTAAATTAATAAAACATGTACAAGAAGTATTCCACTGGAGAGTCAACATTTTATTTTCCCAAGTACTTTTGCATAAAAGGAGGCATCCTAATTGCTAAATAAGAAAAGATCTGGCCGGGCGCGGTGGCTCACACCTGTAATCCCAGCACTTTGGGAGGCGGAGGCAGGCAGATCATGAAGTTAGGAGTTCGAGACCAGCCTGGCCAACATAGTGAAAGCCCGTATCTACTAAAAATACAAAAATCAGCTGGGCGTGGTTGTGGGCGCCTGTAATCCCAGCTACTTGGGAGGCTGAGGCAGGAGAATCGTTTGAACCCGGGAGGCAGAGGTTGCAGTTAGCCAAGATCACACCATTGCACTCCAGCCTCGGCAGGGTGAGGGAGGACAGGGCAAGACTCTGTGAAAGAAAGAGAGAAAGAAAGAAAGAAGGAAAGGAAAGGAAAGGAAAGGAAAGGAAAGGAAAGGAAAGGAAAGGAAAGGAAAGGAAAGGAAAGGAAAGGAAAGGAAAGGATCCAATAGAGAAACTAGCAGAGGACATAATAGACAATTCGTAGATAAGGAAATAGGAGCAGCCAATAAATTTTACCCATTAGACTGGGAAAAGCTTAGAACACTGATAATATTGAGTAATGGCCAAGGTGTGAGTAAACAGGACTCCAAGACACTTGTGGGAAGGGACTTAGGAAATGACTTAGCCTCCTGAGATAAACCAGAGTGAAATGGGGATATGAATTGTTATAGCCACACTGTGAGGAAATTTGGCAGTTTCTATTAAGTATTCACTACCCAAGAGTCCTAGTATGCCTTAGCAATTTCACGTTTGTTATCCACCCTAGAAAAACACAAGTTGACAAAGATGCCTATTTGCAAATGTTTATTGCAGCCTCCATGTATATGTGAATGAAATGGACAATGTATATATGGGGAATGGCTAAACTGGTGCATATTTATTCCATGGAATTCTATGTAGATTGATAGCATTAGAGATAGATCTGAGTGAATTGACAGGAAGACTCCAAGCCATTTAATGATGAAAAGGGCAAATTTCAAAACAAGACATAAAATATAAAACCCTTCTTGTAAAATAAATAAATAAAACAATTTCCTTTGTTTTTGTGGGCTCAGACTTTTGAAAGTAAATGCACAGAAAAGTGTCTAGTGGGATAGACACCAAACTCATTGTGTCAGTTACCCCCAGGATCAGAGAAAAGGGATTGGAATTGGGGATAGCAGTCCAAAGGGCATTTGGCTTTATAACATTTTAATTTTTTCACCAGGAGTGTTTCGTGTCACTCATCTTATTAAAAATTAATATAAGAAAAGGAAGCAGGTGCTGAGTATGGCAGGAACAACATCCATTAAGCTCACATTGTAAACCCCATTCTGCCATTTACTGCTTTTGTGTTGTTGGAGGAAAGCCATGATAATCCTGACCTCATTATCATCACAAGGCAAAGGGGATAATACTCACCTCAGAAATGGTTCTGAGCTCCACTTGAAGAGGAGTAACAAATGCCACGTGAAATTAACAAAGTATTAATACGCGTAACAAAGGACATTAGAATTTAGAAATAAGACAAAAAAAAATGGTTCCTGTCTGTTGTAAAAGTATCCCTGAGTAAAGCAATTGTTGGTATCAAACCAGTTTCACTTCTGTGGAGCTACCTGGAATGGTGGATACAACCTAGGTCCTTATGCCAGCTTGGTTCCTTCCATAGCTGGTGAGCTTAAGCAAGGCTGGCCCTTCCCCAATCTGAGTCTCAAAATTGCCATCTACAGAGTGAAGGGCATCTTTTAAGAGTACATCCAGCTCTGATCCTTGGTGATTCTGAGCAGTCACTCTCTTTTAATTTGGTTATCTTAGAAAAGGCACATATAGGCCGGGTGTGGTGGCTCACACCTGTAATCCCAGCACTTTGGGAGGCTGATACAGGTGGATCACCTGAGGTCAGGAGTTCAAGACCAGCCTGGCCAAATATGGTGAAACCCTGTCTCTACTAAAAAATACAAAAAATTAGCCAGCTGTGGTGGCGGGCGCCTGCAATCTCAGCTACTTGGGAGGCTGGGGCAGGAGAATTGCTTGAGCCTGGGAGGCAGAAGTTGCAGTGAGCCGAGATTGCACCATTGCACTCCAGCCTGGGCATTGGAGTGAGACTCTGTCTCGAAAAAACCCAAAAATATTTTGAAAAACAAAAGAAAAAAGAAAAGGCACCTATGAAAAAAAAAACAAAATAAAACAAAAAACAGCTCACCAGGTGCTGCCTCCTTCAAGCAGGATTAGAAAATTCCCCTCAACCAGTGTCTTGCTAGTAGCAGGACATGTAGACATAGACCCCTGCAACTTTCAACCTAACAAAACCTTCCAAACTTCAAGTTTCCAGGATAAGACAAAGACAGTAAAAAAAAATTGATGAAAAGGCAGATGGTAGCTTTCTTACATCCAAACAAACCCATACCAAACCCAAAATATAAGTGTGAAAGTGACAGGGACTGCTTTCATTCTGTAGATTGTTTTTTTCTTCCCCCTTTTTTTTTTTTTTTTTTTCAGAAAGAGTCTCACTCTGTCACCCAGGCTGGAGTGCAGTGGTGCAATCTCGGCTCACTGCAACCTCTGCCTCTCTAGTTCAAGCGATTCTCCTGCCTCAGCCTCCTGAGTAGCTGGGATTACAGGCACATGTCACCACGCCTGGCTAATTTTTATATTTTTAGTAGAGACGGGGTTTCACCATGTTGGCCAGGCTGGTCACAAATTCCTGACCTCGGGTGATCCACCAACCTCGGCCTCCCAAAATGCCAGGATTATAGGCATGAGCCACCACCCCTGGCCTGTAGATTGTTTCTTCAGTGCCTATAATGTATCAAGGGTGGAACTAGGTGCTGGAATATAACAAGCCACAAAGCAGACCTGGGCTGCCCTCATGGGGCCTGCAGAGTACCTAGGAAGATAGTCAAATGAGTGAGCATTTGCTATAGAGTGACAAGTTTACAGATGCAGGAACTCCAAGGAGGATGCGAACTCATAGCAGAAACACCTGAACTATTCCAGAGGCTACAAGGTAGCCAGGAAAAGCCTGAATTAAGTAGGGACCTGAGGATGCATGGCACTACGGAGGAAAGAAAGGCAGAGAGAATAGTACAAGTTTGAGAGGTGATGAAACACATTTGTTTTCCTTCAAATATGGGTGTTTTCTCATGCACCATGTTGGAAAGGTTTCTGCACATACAAAGAGCCAAGAGGTAGAAGAAAAAATGTTTAACATTGCTAATCACTGGGGAAATGCAAATCCAAACCACAATGAGGTATCACTTCATTTCTGATAAAATGGCTACTATCAAAAAGACAAAAAGCAAGCATTGCTGGCGAGGACGCAAAGAAAGAGGAACTCTCGTACGCTGTTGGTGGGAATGTAAATTACTACAGCCATTATGGGAAACAGTATGGTGATTCCTTAAAAAACTAAAAATAGAATTACCATATGATCCAACAATCCCACTACTGGGGATATATCCCAAAGAAAGGAAATCAATTAAAGAGATATTTACTCTCCCATGTTTATTACAGCACTATGCACGATAGCCAAGATATAGAAGCAACCTACGTGTCCATCAATGGATGAATGGATAAAGAAAATGTGGTATATGGCCAGGTGCGGTGACTCACGCCTATAAGCCCAGCACTTTGGGAGGCCGAGGTGAGTGGATCGCCTGAGGTCAGGAGTTCAAGACCAGCCTGACCAATATGGTGAAACCCCGTCTCTACTAAAAATACAAAAATTAGCCAGGCATGGTGGCAGGCGCCCATAGTCCCAGCTACTTGGGAGGCTGAGGCAGGAGAATGGCGTGGACCCAGGAGGCAGAGCTTGCAGTGAGCCGAGATAGAGATAGTGCCACTGCAGTCCGGCCTAGGCAAAAGAGCGAGACTCCGTCTCAAAAAAAAAAAAAAAAAAAAAAAAAAAAGAAAGAAAAAAAAAAAGAAAATGTGGTATATAAACACAGTAGAATATTCAGCCATAAAAAAAGAATGAAACTCAGTCATTTGCAACAACATGGATGGAAACAGAGTTTATTAATATTGTGTTAAGTTAAGCTAGGCACAGAAAGACAAATATTGCATGTTCCCACTCATACATGAGAGCTAAAAAAGTTGATCTCATGAAAGTGGAGAATAGAATGATAGTCACTGGAGTCTACAAAGGATAGGGGAAAAGGGGTATGAAGAAAGGCAGGTTAATGGGTACAAAAATACAGTTAGTTAGAACATGAGGAAAAAGGGAAAAAATACAATTAAATAGAAGGAATAAGTCCTAGTGTTTGATAGCATAGTGGGGTGCCTATTGTTATTAATAATTTCTTGTGTATTTCAAAATAACTAGAAGAGAACATTTGAAATGTTCTCAGCACAAAGAAATTTAAATGTTTCAAGAAATGAATATCCCAACTACCCTGATTCGATCATTGTACATTGTATGTATATATCAAAATAACACATATGTAGCCCATAAATATGTATAGTTATTTTGTATCCATTTAAAAAAAAAATGGACTTTTGTAAAACTGCAAGGGCCATTCAATATTATCTTGTCCTAGAAGCACAGATTGTGACAACTGGTCATTTAAAAAGCCAGGTCTCTCATTTCAAATATGGGAGAGCCAGAGCAATTTAGACATATTCCCAGTGTCAACAGTTAGTGCCCGAGACGCAGCTGCAGCTCAGGCCAGAACACTTGGCTCTATACCACCAGGATGCAAAGAACTTCACTGGCCAAAACTGAGTGTGTACACTTGCATCATCCAAAACCCAAAAACAACGTGCAGAAAAGAAACCTTACATAAAGCCTCACCCCAGCAAAACAAAACAAAAAGCAAACACTTCTAAAAACAGAGGGAATGATAAGAATTATCACAATTCTCACCAGAACAAATTCTCCTGGCTTATTGATTATATGAATAACACCCATAGAGGAAATCTCTTTTCCCCAATTTATCTGACCACTTATTTCTGTGTCTCTTCTTCAGTTGCTGTTTCCAATATAAGCCCAAATTACCCCAGCCTAAAACCCCCAGACCAGTCTCTGGATAAACCTCTGTGTAACAAGGCAGGACAGAGACCCTCCACAGAAGGAAGCCTGGTAGGGAGAGGGGAGGGATGCAGAAATGAAGTGAGCTTCTGCTTCACTGAGGCCCAAACCAGTGCATGGAAATCCATCACACAATAGCAAGTCCTCTGGAAACTTCTACATAGAAGGTTTCAGAACACTTACTCAGGTAAAGCCACCAAAACTCAATCATCAGCCAGAGAATGAGAGGTTCTTTGGACATTTTGACGGTTGACCGGACCCAGGAGTCTGTCTATCTATCCAAAGCCCAACCTCTTATATCCCAGTTAATGCTGACAGGGTGGGACTCTTTAGTTTCATTTCTCTTTTTGCCTCATAATCTTCCCTTTCTCCTGTCCTACATGGCTTCCCCCAATGGGCGATGCATGATGAAATGTGCTGAGCCCTTTTCTCCTGGTGACTAGTGTGTGTGTGGAGGGATGGCGTGGACATACTTGTGCTTCTTTGTCCATGTGTATAGTGGGTTTCCTATATGTGCACAAGCATCCATGCATGTGCTGGTGCAAATATGCCTGTATAACCTGTGCATGTGCCACAGTTGTCCCAACTGCTGTACAGCCTGTCACAAAGTGCAATTGACTCTCCATACTGGCAAGTGTTTACATGTAGATTCCTCATGGGGCCAAAGCATAGTTAGACTGAAAGTTGCCTCCATTCCCATTCTAGGTTCTCCCTCACCCTGTCCCCTGGCCTCCTTGCCCTAATAATGGAGAAAGAAAAGTGAGGACAGGCACAGTGGCTCACACCTGTAATCCTAGCACTTAGGGAGGCCGAGATGGGAGGATCGCTTGAGGCCAGGAGTTTGAGACCAGCCTGATCAACATGGCGAAACCCCATCTCAATTTTTTATTTAAAAAAAAGTTTAATAAAAAAATTAAATTTTTTTTTAAGTTTTAGGAAGACACTGAAGCCCAGAACTTCCTGATTCCAAAGCTTATGGTTAATCACTACATTGTCCTTTGACCTGTGACCGTTTGGGTAATGTATCCATATGATGAGGCCTACCTGTGGCTAGCTCCTACTTAGTACCAGGAAGAAAATATAAGAATTCACAAATGTTCTAGATTTTTAAAAATCCTTAATTGATTGTAAACAGCCAGCAAACCTCAAACATTCAACATTGCTTCTACTGAAGGTATCAGTGAAAAATCTAAATATCAGGTGAGGTTCTAGACCCAGAGAAGCCAGACTAACATGAGCAGGGATGAAAATAACGGGATTCAGAGTGAATCTTCCCACTGAATGCCCACAGAACCAAGGGATCCTTTCCCCATTCTATCCCAGGAAACTGGAGGATTTAATCTCTGGATAAACTAAGTGGTCCCAATAAAACATTTTCAGATATTTATAGTTTTGAGTGTTCCCCAACAAAACCACTCAACCCTCCTTCAATAAGTTCATCAGTGCATGAGCCTCAGCCATGCATGCAGAACTGTTAATGAGTCTTTAGTGTCCCTTTCAGATATGAACAGATAACCAGGGATCATCAGACATTTGAGGAAAGCATTTAACATAAAAAAGAGACAAAAATAACAGGGAGAGCTAAAGAGAACTTCAAAAACTTTTTAAAAAGCTAATATTTTCTCAGAAAGAAAGATTTTACATTCATGAAAAAGAACATAGACATTATAAAAATGTCCCGAATTTTATGGAAGTTTTGAAAAATAAAGTTAAGAAAATTTGTTAGAAATTATAACCATCTACAAAGTCAAAGGACTAGGATTGTTTCAGAACATTAAAAAAGAAAATAGAGGAGAGGAAATTACTAAAGAAATAATAAAGGAAAGACTCTCGTAACTAAAGGAGATGACTCTCAGTATTGAGCGGGTCAATCAAATGCTAAACTCAATGAATAAAAATATCCCCAAAAAGCAAGACATTATCATGTAATATGAGAACATCAGACATAAAGAAAAGATACGAAAAGACTCCAGAGAGAAAGAACAACATATTGCACTGAATGGATTTGGAAATAGAATGGCATTGTTGTTCCAAACAACAAAGCTAGAAAATAATGCACGAATGCCTTCAAAATTCAGAGGGAAGGCCGAGTGTGGTGGCTCACATCTGTAATCCCAGCATTTTAAGAGGCCAAAGTGGGTGGATCACTTGAGTCCAGGAGTTCCAGAATAGCCTGGGCAACATGGTAAAAACCTGTATCAGCCGGGCGTGGCGGCTCACGCCTGTAATCCCAGCACTTTGGGAGGCCAAGACGGGCAGATCATTTGAGGTCAGGAGTTCAAGACAAGTCCCAGCAACATGGCAAAACTGGTCGCTACTAAAAATACAAAAATTAGCTGGGTGTGGTGGTGCATGCCTGTAATCCTAGCTACTTGGGAGGCTGAGGCAGGAGAATCACTTGAACCCAGGAGGCAGATGTTGCAGTGAGCTGAGATCATGCTACTGCACTCCAGCCTGGGTGACAGAAGGAGACTCCATCAAAAAAAAAAAAAAAAAGAGGAAAAGAAAATCTATATCTGCCAAAAATACAAAAAATTGGCCGAGTGTGGTGATGCGCACCTGTGGTCCTAGCTACTCCAGAGGCTGAGGTGGGAGGATTGCTTGAGCCCGGGAGGTGAAGGTTGTAGTGAGCTGAGATTGTGCCACTGCACTCCAGCCTGGAAAACAGACAGAGAACCTGTGTCCAAAAAAAAAAAAAAAAATCCAGAGGAGAAATTTAATTTCAACCTAGAATCCTACTCGCAGACAATCTATTTCTCAAATGTAAGATCATAATAAAGGCCTTTTTGGACATAGATTCAAAATTTACTTACTATACTTCCTTTCCTAGAAGTTATGGAAGAGAAATCTGTAGCAAAACGGGAGAAATAACCAGGAAACAGAAAGTCATGGGGTCCAGAAAACATGACATCTAACTCCAGGGAAGAAAAATTTCACAAAGAAAACTGCAGAACAGACCTAGAGGGGAACTGTTTCACTGCATCACAAACCACCCCAAAACCTAGTGCCTGAACAATGTCAATGTACTTTTCATGATTCCCTGGGATGACAGTGTTCAGCTGGGTAGCTCTCACCCAGTGACAGTGGCTATCTCAAGACTAGATTGGACTATTTGTCCAAGATAACTTTCTCACTCACATGACTGATCATCCAAAATGACACTTCTAGCTGGACTTGTATGTCTAGCAAATTAATAGAATGACTAGAAGAGATAGGGGCTGGACTGACAACTGTCTCTCTCCACATGACCTTTCTACATGGAAGCTTGGGCTTCCTTACAGTATGGTGGTCTCAGAGTAGTTGGATTTTTTACATAGGATCTGGCTTTCTCAAAAATTAGCATTCCAACATGCTCAGGAATAATCCACAAAGGTTCTTATGACCTAGCCTTAGGTAACATTCAGTATCATTTTTACAGTATTTTATTGGTCAAAAGGCAAATTATAAGGCCATCCCAGAGAATTCAAGTGGAGGGAGCAATACAAGGATGTGAATGCGAGGAAGTGTGGTTCATTGGAGTGGTAGGGGAAGCATCTTTGGAGAATAATTACTTTAATAACCACCTCAGGCTGGGGCAGAAGAGCAGAGGAATAAGCCTTGGGGTGGTGGTAGTGAGTGTCACGAATAAGCTCATGTACTTAGGTAATTTGAAAATAACTTTGATAGGTGTTTGGCAGATATGATGGAATACTTGGGATGAATTTTTTTTTTTTTTTTTTTGAGACAGGGTCTTGCTCTGTTGCCCAGACCGGAGTGCACTGGTATGAACATGGCTTAGTAAAGCCTCAACCTCCAGGCTCAAGCAATCCTGTTGCCCCAGTCTCCCAAGTAGCTGGAACCACAGGTGTGCCTCCACACCCAGCTAATTTGTTTAAATTTTTGTAGAGGCAGGGTCTTGCCATGTTGCCCAGGCTGGTCTCAAACTCCTGGTCTCAAGTGATCCTCCCATCTCAGCCTCCCAAAGTGCTGGGATTATAGGCATGAGCCACTGCCCACAGCCATGGGATGAATTTTTGATGGATACTTGGGAAATTAAGAAAAAAACACAATGAAGGCTGGGTGCAGTGGCTCACGCCTGTAATCCCAGCACTTTGGGAGGCAGAGGCAGTTGGATCACTTGAGGTCAGGAGTTCCAGACCAGCCTGGCCAACATGGAGAAACCCCATCTCTACCAAAAATACAAAAAGTTGCTGAGTGCAGTGGCACATGCCTGTAATCCCAGTTACTTGGGAGGCTGAGGTGGGAGAATCCCTTGAACCAGGGAGGTGGTGGTTGCAGTGAGTCAAGATCATGCCACTGCACTCCAGCTGGGGTGACAGAGCGAGACTCCGTCTCAAAATAACAAACAAACAAACAAACAAACAAAAAATGAGATAATTATTACAACCAGGAAAGATAAAATTTTGTACGAGAAAAGAAATGTAATTATGGTGCATTTGCTAAGTGTGAAAGATATTAATAGTTACATGCTGGTAATAATGTAAAATCTGGCTACTGGCTTAATACACCATTTTTATTTTTATTTATTTATTTTTTTGACACAGGGTCTCACTCTGTCACCCAAGCTGGAGTGCAGTGGTGCGATCTTGGCTCACTGCATGGAATACTTCGGATAAATCTCTGCCTCCAGGGTGCAAGTGATTCATGCCTCAGCCTCCCAAGTAGCTGAGATTACAGTCATGCACCACAATGCCCGGCTAATTTTTGTATTTTTAGTAGAGATGGGATTTCACCATGTTGGCCAGGCTGGTCTTGAACTCCTGGCCTCAAGTGGTCTGCCTGCCTCAGCCTCCCAAAGTGCTGGGATTACAGAAATGAGCCACTGTGCCCCAACTTAACACATATTTTGATTTGACTACACTGGAAAAATTGGTAGAGAGGAAGCGGGGTGGGGGTGTAAGAAAGCCAAAGTCTATTCACCTTTACAGGGAGTCAACAAATAGTGTCTCAAATTGGTCAATCAGACAATACCAGCATAAACACGCTGTGAGTAATATGAAGGTAAAAACCAGAAGAACAAGCTCAAAAGAGTTTAATGCAAAAAAGTGGGAAAGAAATTCACTATTTTTTTAGTTATAAACCTTTTACAACTTGACTATTAAAAATGCATATATTGAGGCCGGGTATGGTGGCTCATGCCTGTAATCCCAGTACTTTGGGAGGCCGAGGTAGGCAGATCACTTGGGGCCAGGAGTTTGAGACCAGCCTGGCCAACATGGCAAAACCCTGTCTCTACTAAAAATACAAAAATTAGCTGGGTGTGGTGGTGTGAGCCTGTAATCCCAGCCACTCGGGAAACTGAGGCTGGAGGATCTCTTGAACCCGGGAGGCGGAGGTTGCAGTAAGCTGAGATCGCACCACTGCACTCCAGCCTGGGCAACAGAGGGAGATCATCTCAAAATAAATAAATAAGTAAATAATAAAATAAAATAAAATGGCTATATTGAGCATACCTAGCACCCACATCTTAATTTCTAATTCCATCCTCCCATAAAAAGAACCAGGGCTTCTTGGAGAAATGGCTGACTCTAGTACTGAGGTGAAAAACATACGGACTGAACCTGGAACATCCTGCAATGTCAGTAAGTAACAGCAAGAAAGTGCTTAAAAAAAAAAAAAAAAAAGGAAAATTAAAAAAGAATCCCACAATAATGAGATTATTTTAAAGAGCAAAGGAGATTATCAAAAGAGCTTCCAAAAAGCTTTGGCTCCACCTCAAAGCTGGAACAACCTGAGCAACAAAATAAATAGAAGAATACTGGATTATAATCCAAAGTATAAAATAAATATCTGAGTCCATACTGACAGAAGTAAATTATGACTCCATAAATAAGTAGGGGAGAATAGACAAATCTTCTCCCCAGAAGCATTATAAATAATTTATGTAGATACTCCCCACTCAAGGAGATAAAGCCTAACTCCCCACTCTTTCAGTGTGGGTTTGACCTACTGACTTCTTTCAAAAAAATACAATGGGGAGTGGCGGGGCAGGAGTAGCTTTACAGTAGAGAAAACTGACAAATACTACCTCAGGCGCCTGTTGATCAAGATCAACATCAACAATCAGTTGAGTTGATAATATGTACCCTTGACATGATGTAATATAAGGGTCACTTTATCTCTATGGACTTCCTCCTCAAAACCCATGACACTGACATGAAGAAAACAGGCAAAGTGAGGTGGTTCACACCTGTAATCCCAGCACTTTGGGAGGCTGAGGTGGGAGGATCACTTGAGCTCAGGAGTTCAAGACCAGCCTGGCCAACATAGTGAGACATTGTCTCTATTTTTGAAAGATAAATTAAATAAATAAATAAATAATAAACTTAATGTAGTATCCCAGGTGGGATCTTGGCACAGGTAAAGGCCATTAGCTAAAAAGTAAGAAAATATAAATAAAGTATGGATTTTAGATAATAATAATGTACCAATCCTGATTCATTTATATGATTTGATTTGATTGTTATTATTATTTTTTGAGACAGAGTCTTGCTCTGTTGCCCAGGCTGGAGTGCAGTGGCATGATCTCGGCTCACTGCAACTTCTGCCTCCTGGGTTCAAGCGATTCTTCTGCCTCAGCCTCCCAAGTAGCTGGGATTACAGGCACCTGCCACCACACCCGACGAATTGTTTGTATTTTAAGTAGAGACAGGGTTTCACCACATTGGCCAGGCTGGTCTTGAACTCCTGACCTCAAGCAATCCACCCACCTTGGCCTCTCAAAGTGCTAGGATTACAGGCATGAGCCACAGCGCCGGGCCGGTTCATTAATTTTAATAAATATATCACACTAATATAAGATGTTAATAATAGGGGAAACAGGTGTATGGTACATAAGAACTCTGTTGTATTATCTTTGATTTTTCTGCAAATCTGAAACTGCTTTAAAATAAAATTCATTTTTTAAAATGCACATATTCCTTTGTTTTAAGAGTGTAAATGTTAAAAGTAATCTAGTATCTGGAGGGGTCAAACACCGGAAAAAGAGACTAAACTTGGTTGTCTCTTCCTAAGTTAGATTCCATGATCAAGTTTCAGAATATTCACAAACATCCTAATATTTGATGCTCAGTTTTTATTAAAGCATATTATTGACAGAGTCCAAAGCAGTGCTGGATATTTCATGTTTTTGCCACCTTCATTCTCTGCATTTGGAGGTTTGCCTCTGGAGAACCGGACTTCCCTCATTCTCAGTCAATGCAGTTCAGGTGGCGTTGATTTCATTCATGGGCACAATTGGCTCAAGGATAGGCAATTGACTCAAATGAAGTCAAGGATACACAATCTTGAGATGTTTATTGTGACTTTTAACAGATAGAGACCCTCTCTATTTTCCTGTGGTCTGAGCTGTGAGGAAGTGAGCTGGAAGCTAATGTCAGCAGTCTTGCCACCAACGAGGAAAGCCTACCTCACAAGAGAACCAATCAAGCAGAAGGCAAGTGAGGAACTAAAGCAAGTCTAGGTCTATGACATGAGTGGAATCCCTGAAACAAGGCACATCAATGAGGCAATACATTTCCTTCTGGGCTTAAGTCAATTTGCATTGGGTTTGCAGTCATTTGGAATCTTAATTCTGAAAAAAACAAAAACAAAAAAACCCTCTGCAAAGCGAGAATTTGGCTGGATGATTTTAAAGTTTTTCCTATTTTAAGAGTTTAGGACTGGGCACCCTGGCTCACACCTGTAATCCCAGCACTTTGAGAGGCCGAGGCAGGTGAATTGCTTGAGCTCATGAGTTTGAGGCAAGCCTGGGCAAAATGGTGAAACCTCATCTCCACAAAAAATACAACAAATAGCCAGGTGTGGTGGCATGTGCCTGTAGTCCAAGCTACTTGGGAGGCTGAGGCATGAGAATTACTTGAACCCGGGAGGCAAAGGTTGCAGTGAGCCGAGATCATGCCACTGCACTCCAGCCTGGGCAACAGAGCAAGACCCTGTCTCAAAAAATAAATAAATGAATAAGTAATACAAGAGTTTATACTATTATCTGGTCCAACCACCTGCTTCATCAAACATCTGATTCACCTCAACCTTTTAATCATTCAGCAAGTGCCTGTCAACCTATTATGCTTAGACATGTGAGAATTCTGTTAGGCCCTGAGAATAAAGACAAATAAGGCATAGATTTTACCTTTACAGACCTGACAGTTCCAAACCTTTAAACAAAGAAGGGATTATCAGACCCCATTTTACAATAAAGGCATGACGCCAGAGAAGATAAAAGACTCTTATGTAATGGGATGAAAATAGAATCCAGGTTTTTCTGGATAAAGAGTCCTTTATAGTACCAATACTTTCTTTCTGGTAAATGGCATTATTAAATAAAATCCCATTCGTTCATTTTTATTCATTCGTTTCTTCATCATCTATAGCAAGGGTCAGCAAATTAAGGCCCATGGACCAAATATAGCCCAATGCCCATATTTGTAAATAAACTTTTATTGCAACACTGTCACTTCCATTTTTTAGCATATGGCTGCTTTCACACTACAATAATAGAGTTCAATAATTGCAACAGATATCATATGGTCCACAAACCCAACAATATTTGCTATCTAGTCCTAACAGAAAATGTTTGCCAACCCATTGAGTTCATGTTATGTGTAGGCACTGTGCTAAGCCCTGAGACTGTCATATCAGATGAGTCATTCTTGCCTTCAATAAACTCACAACCTAGGCGCTAGGGAAATGGAAAAGGAATGAACATTCACTAAGCTGTGGCTATGTGCTAAACACTCTGCTAGGTCTTGTTCACATGTAATCCCAGCAACAAACCCTCAAAGGAGGTATTATATTTGGCACTATACGTACAAGGAAAGAGGGATTGGAAGACATTGAAAACTTAACTCGAAATATAGCTTTTACTGCCTAGTATATTCGAGCTGATATCAGGACAAGAATAGAGATTCACTCAAATCACCCCGAGGAGGAGGTTACTCATGACAAGGGCACAGGCAATCTGGAATCAGCACCTCATTAGGAAACATCAAGGTGTTACTTCTGCTCTTCTCTGGGGTATCTCTTTCTGTCCCTCTCTGAACCTCTCCCCTGACCAGCTTTCTCATAAGGTCAGCTTTCTCATGGTCCTTATTATACACCCTAGCCCCAAATCCTCTAAGTAACCCTCAACCCAGCTCTCTGAGCTCACTCACTCATTCTTTCTATTCTAAATGCCAGATTCCTGAGGGAGAACTTGAGCCCCTCTGGTTCGCATTTTCCAAGGTAAGCCTCAGATTGTTTTCCACTGGCTGCCTCTGTGACTGGCTACCCTGAGATCAGCCTTACCCTGGAGAAGAAAGATCCCACCGTGCAGAATGCTACCATTCCATTTGCAGTTTCAGCAATTGGGCTGTGGATGGAGTATGGTTGCTCAGAAGTGGCTGGGTTTGGTAGGCAATGACTAACAAATCTAGTACAAATAGAAATTTTTTATGAGTCTGTTGCCAAAACAATCATTTAAGTCACTTAGGAATCCAGTCAACTGGAAGGAACAGAAAGTCCAATTCACAGAAGCCTAAACATATAAGGAGCTTGTTTTTTCTCTCATAAAAAGAAGCCTGGATGTAGACAGCCCAAGGAATCAAAAATATCATCAAGGAGCCAGACTCTTCTCTTTCTGTTCCTCCATACTGGTTTGTCACACCCTGGTCACAGGAGGGCTGAGGTACTTCTGGACATCAAGTTCATGTTTGGGAAGGGCAAAGGGGAGACAGAAAGGCTTTCACATTGTTAGTCTTTGACTTTTTATTTGGGAAGAGAAGCCCTTCTCAGCAGACTTGACTTATCCAGAACTAAGCCACCAGCTTACCCCCAAATCTATTGCATGAGGTGGCTATGACTGGTTTATTTATTTATTTTTATTTTTTATTTTTCCATAAGTTATTGGGGTACAGGTGGTATTTGGTTACATGAGTAAGTTCTTTAGTGGTGATCTGTGAGATTTTGGTGCACCCATCACCCAAGCAGTACACACTGCACCATATTTGTAGTCTTTTATCCCTTACCCTCCTCCCACTCTTCCCCACAAGTCCTCCCCAAAGTCCACTCTACCATTCTTATGCCTTTGCATCCTCATAGCTTAGCTCCCACATATCAGTGAGAACATACGATGTTCGGTTTCCCATTCCTGAGTTACTTCACTTAGAATAATAGTCTCCACTCTCATCCAGGTCACTGCAAATGCTGTTAACTCATTCCTTTTTATAGCTACATAGTATTCCACACCACAGTTTCTTTATCTGCTCATTGATTGATGGGCATTTGGGTTGGTTCCAAGATTTTGCAATTGTGAATTGTGTTGCTATAAACATGTGTGTGCAAGTGTCCTTTTCAAGTAAAGACTTCTTTTCCTCTGGGTAAAATCCTACCCAGTAGTGGGATTGCTGGATCAAATGGTAGATCTACTGTTAGTTCTTTAAGGAATCTCCACACTGTTTTCCATACTGGCTGTACTAGTTAACATTCCCACTAGCAATGTAGAAGTGTTCC